>NC_000004.12:8816477-9116477 GCF_000001405.40 Homo sapiens
GGAATGCAGTGTTATGTGTAGTACAGCTTAGAATTTCTCAGTGGCCAGAATTGTATGCTGCATCCATCATTGCTATCTTCTGTCCCTGTCCAGCCATCCTTGCTTAGCAGTGTGAGCTCTTTGAAGGCAGGGTCATGCTGGATCCTATCCTTCCCCACCCACCCCAGAGTTGGCCACATACTGGTGCTCCTTCAACAGGAGTTTAAGGATGATGAGTGGAGGGGGAATCTCTTTGGAAGACATGAAATCACAAACCTTACATTTCCTCTCTCCTGTTCTATTATCTAAATATATCTCCTGTGGCCCCCTTTCAGTAAATTATAACAGAATTAATTTTAAAAAAAACTCACCTGGCTCCATGTTCCTCTAAGATATTATTTCATTTTCTGACTCCTTTTGCACTAGAAGCCCTTCAAAGAGGTGACGTATCCTTCACATCACATTCTCTCTTGAACCAGCCCTACCCAACAGGCTGCTGGAGCAGGCTTACACTGGCTTGCGAGAGTAGTTGTTAAATTGTCAGGAAATTTCCCAACCAGTTGGTAAACTGTCATGCTCTGCCACAGTGGGATACACTTCAGAAATCAGCAAATACTAGAAATCAGCTTTCTCTCCCAGAGAACCAGTTGTTAAACATTTGCCAGCGTGCCAGTGTGGCCCCTCCACTGAGTCTGCTCTTATCAAGATCATGTCAAGGTCGCTGGAGAGCTCCAGGCTTGGAAGTTCTTCCACCAGGTCTGCCCCGAGGCTCCAGCTTGCTGTTCCCCAGGCTCAGAAGCTCTTCCACCCAGGTCTGCCTGGAGGCTCCGCCTTGCTGTTCCCCAGGCTCAGAAGCTCTTCCACCCAGGTCTACCTGGAGGCTCCGCCTTGCTGTTCCCAGGCTCAGAAGTTCTTCCAGCAGGTCTGCCCCGAGGCTCCGGCTTGCAGTTCCCAGGCTCAGAAGCTTTTCCACCAGGTCTGCCCAGAGGCTCCGGCTTGCAGTTCCCAGGCTCAGAAGCTCTTCCACCAGGTCTGCCCAGAGGCTCTGGCTTGCTGTTCCCCAGGCTCAGAAGCTCTTCCACCCAGGTCTGCCCAGAGGCTCCAGCTTGCAGTTCCCAGGCTCAGAAGCTCTTCCACCCAGGTCTGCCCGGAGGCTCCGGCTTGCTGTTCCCTGGACTCAGAAGCTCTTCTACCGGGTCTTCCCCAGGCTAGCTCTGCTTGTTGTCAACTTGGTCTCTGCTTAGGACTGTCCCTGTCCCCGTGTCCAGCACAGGACTGGATGCACAGTAGGAGCACAGATTGCTGGTGAGGATGGAATGACAGCCCTACGGTGTGGACCAGCTGCCCCTTGACACAAAACTGCATGGACTTCTGGGCTGCAGAGTTGCTGGGCAGTCGATGCTTGGGGAGCAATGCCCATGGCAGGAAGCCAACTCGGCAGGAAGGCAAGGAGGCCCTGCTGAGCCCCACGCCACCCACACCAGGTGCTGGAGGATTCCACGGCTGTGGGAGCCTCACATTACAGTGCCTGCCCCAGGCCTGTCCCCAGAGACAGCCCCAGGTGCCGAGGCAATCTGTCCTCTTACCCCACCCTTCAAGTCCCTGGAGGCGACATCTTTGAGCTGTCACTCCTGTAACCTGATCAGCAATGGGACAAGGTTCTGGGGCACAAAACAAGAGACATCTTAATTGGTGGCTCTTCCGGAGCAGCCAGAGCCCCAGACATCTCTTAATTTGTCAGGTGGGTCTGAGCCGGAAATGCAGGCTTCTCATGTGGCCATGGGACATGCTGGCAGCTCGCCTGGGTGGCTCTACATGCAGAGGGATGCTGACCTCTCACGTGGGCTTGTGTCTCTGATGCCTCAATTCAGCCTGTGTCTGGTTTAAGACAAGCACCGCCTCCCTTCTCTGCATGCAGAATTGAGCTCTGGTCCCCAGAGGTGGTCACTCCAGCAGGACACTTGTCAGGCTGGGCAGCCTGCAGCACCACACGGGGAGTTTCAGCAGTGTGGTTCCCATGCCTGCCAAAGATCAGAGCCTCCTGGCAGCTTTGGGCAGCACCTATTCCTTGGGCCCTGGCCCAGGTGCTTGGGGAGAGCAACTGGTTCTCAGCTGGTGACTGACTGGGTGAGGTGACCGACACAGCCGTTCCTAACCATTTGTGATGGGCCTGGCAGGGGCATTTCAGCCAGGCCTTAATGCCCAGGTGGGACTCAGGCAGGCAAGCAGAAGGAACAGCCTGGGCAGAGGCCCAGCCACAGGAGCACATGGGCCTCATTCAGGGAGTGGTGACTGCCTGGCAGGGGAGAGCAAGGGTAAGGGTGATAGGAGGAGGGGAGCAGGCAAGCAAGTGACCCAGGTGGCTCGCTGCGGCCCAGAAAGCTTTGGGTGGAGCTTGGGCTCAGCCAAGAAAGTGGATGGCAAGGCAGCCTCCCAGTAAGAAGGTGGAGGATCGGGCAGCATCCCCAGTAAGAAGGTAGAGGGTGGGGCAGCCTCTTGGTAAGAAGGTAGAGGGTGGGGCAGCCTCCCCAGTAAGAAGGTGGAGGGCCAGGCAACATCCCCAATAAGAAGGTGGAGGGTGAGGCAGCCTCCCCAGTTAAGAAGGCGGAGGGTGGAGCAGCCTCCCCAGTAAGAAGGCGGAGGGTGGGGCAGCCTCCCCAGTTAAGAAGGCGGAGGGCGGGGCAGCCCCCCCAGTAAGAAGGCGGAGGGTGGGGCAGCCCCCCCAGTAAGAAGGCGGAGGGTGGGGCAGCCTCCCTTTCAGGGGAACCACCTGTAGCCCAAGAGGGAGAAGGGGCAGGGTCTGCAGCCAGACCCAGCTTTGAGGCTCAGCCTGGGTGCACACTGGCCACGTGAATGTGCCAGTCCTCAGCCTCGCAGAGCCTCTGTTTCCTCCTCAGCAAACTAGAGGCCACTGCTATGTCTCCATTCTTAGAATAGAACATGCAACTCTCATTTAGCCCATGCTCTGGACACACACACGAGCATCAGCACAGTTCAGTCTGAATAATGGCCCGACATGTACATGGCCTGACTTTTTGTTAATGCCTGAAACACCCAGATCAGGAGCATCTGCTGCCCACGCCAGATACACATGCAGCTAAAATGTCTGAACGCACGTTGTAGAATGGGGGTGACCTCAGGGGAAGGGGAAGGGAGTAGGAGACCTCAGCTGAGCTGTAACGTTTCACTTCTTAAAATACAATAAGCCTATGAAGTAAAAACGATAGCAACCACAGTATCATCACAACAAAAGCGCCGAAACTGAAACCGGGCTGAGGTGGAGGTTCCAACAGAGAAGGGGCCTCAGCCCTGGAGGGAGTCCTGGACGTTGCGGAGCCGCCCACTCTGGCCAGCCCCACACTATGCACGGCTCACTCCTTCCCTGCTGGCTGCAGCCTTGTGTCCCAGTGATCCGGTGATCCAGTGAGCCCAGGCAGAGTGCTTCTGAGCTTTGGGACTTCTGCCTCTTGCGAGGCCTGCGGAAGGCCCCTGATCCCGGGGATATGGACAGTGAGTGAGCTCCCGTGAAAATGAGCTCATAGACTCCATGCTCCATGGATGCCCTGCTGGCACCAGCATCCCTGGCTGTTTCCATGGCCAGCAGAGGGCAGGTGAGGGGCTGAGGTTCCTCTTCTTGAGGAGCAGTGGGGAGTGGGGTGGAGTGGAGGAGGTGGGGGGGGTGCAGTCACTGGGGGTCCCGTCCCTGAAAGCTGCGCTCTGGCCAGCAGGCTAGGATAACAAGTGCCAGAGATGAGGGAACTGTATGGAAGGGAGAGGTCCCCATCGCCGGGCACTCGACTGACCCTCGCCTTGGGGAAGCTGTAGAAGAGTCCCTCGTAGGGGGTAGGGGATGGTGAGGAGGGTGGAGGAGTTGGAGCTGCCCCCTTGGACCCTAAAACCTGTTCCCAGAGGGCCTGCCTCTCTCAGGACAACGCCATCTGTGCGCCCCCTTCACCAGCCTGGCTGCACCCGGGGGGGCTCAGTGGGACCTCTCGGGCACACTGAGGTCACGCCCCTTGCCCTGTCCAGATGGGCCTGGGCCGACTCCGTCCGCTGCAGGCGAGGACAATGGCCCCTGTTGTCGTCCAGCCACCCTCGGCCACATTCTCCAGGGACCTAGTGACCCTGAACAGGACGGTGAAGAGGTCCCCGCTGACTCAGCGAGATGTCCACTCGCTAATGAAGGGCCGTTGGAAAGGGCGTTGACCTTGGTCAGCAGGCTGGGCTTTCCATCCAGGGGTCACTGCAAGGACACACAGGAGACAGTGATGCCACGCCCGCCCCACCCCAAACACTTGCCAGCAGCTCAGAGGACAACTGTCTGGCGGTCAGCCTACGCCAAGACCCACCTGTGGGGCAGAGCCAGGACAGGCAGCCCGGTTCAGAGGTTTAAACCAGGGGCCAGCCCTGCTGCCAAGTAAAATGGCAGCAACCACATGGCACCATCCAAGCCCTGACTGAAGGAGGCCCCAGGTTCAATGGAATGGTAGATGGTTCCTAACCCAGCGTGGAGACCAAGGAAGGCTGCCTGGAGGAGGGGATATGGAGCCGGGTCTTGAAGGATGGGTAGCACTGGCCAGAAATCACTGAAGGAGAAGAGGGGGCTAGACAGAAAACAGCACTGGCAGCGATTTTTGGGCAAAGAGGGCAGAGAGATGGAACTCTTTTGCGTAACTCAAGCATGGGCTGCCAAAAGGAGGGAGGCTGGAAGTGAGCAAGGCGGTGGGAGGCGCCGAGGGGATGAGACAAGGAGAAGGGCGTTCAATGTGTTAGAAACACCCCATGTGATCGCAGCGGGCAGGCAAAGGCGTGGCCGGATAATGCCTTAGATTGAGGGAAGTCCAGGGGGGCGCAGGCTCCACAGAGTGCTGAGCAAAGTCACACTGGCTTTGCAGAAACCCCCGGGGAGGCTATTCCACCTTGAGCAAAGGCCTGGAGGCCAGAAAGTGCGGCCCATGTTGGGGTGGTGACAGGCCACTTGACGGAGAGCAGGAAGCATGAAGGCCGGGGAGGACCTCAGAGGGAAGGCTGGATGGGGTGGACCGAAATGATGTGGGCTGGAGAAGGCACTTCCGACGGGGGCTCAGCTTCAGCTAAGCGAGGGAGGCTGGAGGGGCGCAATGAGGGTCTGGGGTTGCAGATGTGAGAATGTGTGGCAGCAGACATGGCACCGTAACTGCTGGCCTGTATCAGGACCAGGGCCCAGTGCTCATGGCAGGCAGAACCCACACACCCTCCCATGCTGTTCCATGGTGTTCAACACTGTTCCATTTGGCACCATCAAGGTGCCCCACAGCAACAGAAGGAAGGAGCTGTGCTCCTCCACAGGGACTCACCACCAGGCAGCTGTGGAACTCAGGCTCATGACTCTCCCTCTCTAACCTGAATCCCTCTCCTATAAAATGGGGCTATTATCTGCCCTGCCGCCCTCCCAGGATTGTTTGGACCCACTTATAAGGGTATAAAAAAGCACCCCGTGCTGCCCAGCACTGAACATGGTGAAAAGCAGTCTCCACGATGACACGATGATATGACGGCACTTCTGCAGGAGAGTCTGAGCTCTCTTTCAAACACAGGAAATCCACTTACAAAACTTGACGACCTACAGGTCAAAAATTAAACCTCAACAAATTTCAAAGAATGATTTTCATATGCAGTATATTGTCTGACCACAATGTGATTCATTTAGAAGGTAACATAAAAAAAGATTAAAGATAACATAAAAAGATTATATAGGTTTAGAAGACTGACACATGATCCTAAATAACCTGTGGGTTAAAGAGAAGATTGCAATGGAAATTACAAATGATTTAGTCCTGAATGTAAAAAAAAGGGTGGGAGGCATTATATAGCAGTTTTCTTGGTTGTAGCAAATTAGTTTTTAGAGGTATATTTGTAAACTATGCATTTATTATAAAAATAAGAAAACTTACAAATACATAAGGTACAATCTTAACTAAAAATAGAAAACTGACAATAATTCTAAAGAACATAGAAGAAAAGAAGTAAAGATATGAGAAGAAATGGATTAAATAGAAAATGAAGAAAAATAGAAATTATCAACAAAAGCAAAATTCTGCCCTCAGAGAAAATAAAATAGAAAAATTTCTAGTAAGACTAATCAAGAAAAAAGTGCTATCAACAAATCACATTAGGAATGAAGAAGGAAGCAGAAGAGATTTAGAAGAATTGTTAAAGGATACTGCAATCAACTTTATGCCAATATATTTTAAATTTCAGTGTAATGAACATTTTTCCTGAAGAAAAATTAATTACCAAAATTAACTCAAGTTGAAATAGAAGACACAAACAAAGCAATAACCAGTGAAAAAATAGTATTGATTAGCAAACATTTATATACCCAAAGAAAACAAACAAAAGTCACCAAGCCCAGGTAGTATTACAGCAAGAGCCACCAAATCTTCAAGAGACAAATGATCCCTAATATATGCACACTATTGCAGAGAATAAGGGAAAAAAATGGGAAACTTATCAATTTACTTTAAGAGAATAGTATAAGCTAATGACTAAAGTTACATGACCGTTTACGAAAAGAAAATATCACGCCAATTTCAATTCTAAACATAGATTTTGAAAATCTTAGGGGAAAGTCTGGCAAATCAAATCTTGCTGCATATTAAAATAATGACAGCTCATTTTAGTTTACCTCCGAAAGTCAAGGAGAGTACTCATTTCAAAAATTTAGGAATAGGCCGGACGCAGTGGCTTACGCCTGTAATCCCAGCACTTTGGGAGGCCAAGGTGGGTGGATCACTTGAGACCCAGAGTTAGAGACCAGCCTGGCCAATATGGTGAAACCCCGTCTCTACTAAAAAAATACAAAAATTAAGCTGGGCGCGGTGGCTCACGCCTGTAATCCCAGCACTTTGGGAGGCTGAGGTGGGTGGTTCATGAGGTCAGGAGTTCAAGACCAACCTGGCCAAGATGGTGAAACCCTGTCTCTACTAAAAATACAAAAAAATTAGCCAGGTATGGTAGTGGGCACCTGTAATCTCAGCTACTCAGGAGGCTGAGGCAGAGAATTGCTTGAACCCAAGAGGCAGAGGTTGCAGTGAGCCGAGATCATGTCACTGCACTCCAGCCAGGGCTATGGGCTATACAGCGAGAGCCTGTCTCAAAAAAAAAAAAAAAAAAAAAAAAAAATTAGCCTGGTGTGGTGGCATACACGTGTCGTCCCAGGACACAGAAGGCTGAGGAATAAGAATCGTTTGAACCCAGAAGACGAAGATTGCAGTGAGCAGAGATGGCACCCCTGCATTCCAGCATGGGTGATAGAGCAAGGCTCCATCTAAAAAAAAAAAATTAGGAATAAACAATGACATATTAAGAGAGGAGAGGATGAGAGACTCCAATTTTATCATCTTAATAGAAACTAAAAAAGCATTCAGTAGAATTCAGCATTTATTCAAGATTGAGTTTTTCAAATTCTTAGCAAACTATGAATAGCATGAAGTTTTCTTATTTGGATACATTTAGACAAGGTAGAAAGATGCTAAGCTGCTGAACAAAGGGACACCAAAACAGAGTGGCTGGGATGGGAGTGGAGTTTGTGAACAAAGGGACACCAAAGCCAGGTGGCTGGGATGGGAGAGAAGTTTGTGTCTGTGACATGTAACAGTGCAGGGGAGGTGGGAGACAGAGGCACTGGAGACACAGGTGCCTCCTATTGTGATGTTTTACACGTTCTAGAATGTTGTCCTCATCCACAGAGTCAAAGTACATTCACTATTGTCATTTCCACAGAAAGACAAAGAGGAAACGTGATATATAATTTGCACACATCACTTCTCCCATGCCTATTAATGAGAACCTGGTCATGTGGACACACCAGGCTGTAAGGGAAGTGGAAATGTACTTTTCACCTAGGTAGACACATGTTCGTCTACAATCCAAAGGAGATCTATTACTAAAATAAAAAAAAAATAAGGGAGAAGGGGTAAGAAGGGTCTGTTTGCAGGCTCTGCTACAGCTGATAAAAAGTGTCTATCTAAAACACAGAGTAAACATTATACTTAATTATTAAAGTTTAAAAGTATTCCCACTGAAGTCAGGATCAAGACAAGGATGGATTCCTCATCACTATGTTCAACATTGTACTTGTAGATTTAGACAAGGAAAAATTCAAAGATGCAGACATTGAAAAATACTATGATTGTCCACACAGGAAATCTAAAATAATCTATGGACAAACTGGTATAAGTAGTATAAATATAATACAGGTATAACTAATAACTAGTAAGTTTGCTGGATACAAAAGCAAGAGAATTTATATATGCCACTAATCATCAATAATAAAATAGAGAAAAGATTCCCAATCATAAAGGCAACCAAGACTTTAATATTTTGAACTGTGTGATATGTTTACTGGGAAAAATTATGAAATATACCATATTCATGGATAGGCAGACTCAGTATCAGAAACACATTAATTTTTCCTAAATTAGCCTTTAGAGTCAATGTACTCTCAATTTTTGAATCAAAAATTCTAACAAAGTTTTCCTCATAGGACATGGAAAGCTAATATAAAAGAATAATGGAAGAAAAAATGACTAGAATAACGCACATTTTTAGAACATAAAAATATAAAGGATTACTTTAAAATTAATTTGGGAAGACTTCAGAAAAAGGAAAGTTATAAGGAATAAAGAGGGTCATTACATAATGATAAAAAATTCAATTCACCAAGAAGACATAACCATCCTTAATATTTATGCACCCAATAAGAAAGCATCAAACTACATTGAGGCAATAACTGATAGATCTGCCCGGTGAAACAGATAAGTCTGCTATCATAGTTGGAGACCTTAACACACCTCTGTCAGAAATGGATAGATCCAGCAAGCAGAAAATCAGTAAGGACAAAGTTGAACTCAACAGCGCTATCAATCAACTGGATATGATTAACACTTATAGACTACCTCATCCAACAGCAAATTACACATTCTTCTCAAGCTCTCATGGAATAACTACCGAGACAGACCACATTCTGGGGCATCAAACACACCTTAACAAACTGAAAGCATAGAAATCTCACAATATCTGCTCTCAGACCACAATGAAATTAAATCAGAAATCAATAACAAAAAGATGCCTAGAAAATTTTAAATTACTTAAAGATTAAACAAAACACTTCTAAATAACATATGGGTCAAAGAATAAATCTCAAGAGAAATTTAAAAATATTTCCAACTAAATGAAAATGAAATACAACTTATAAAAATTTGTTGGATGAAAGAAAAGCAGTGCTCAGAGGGAAATTTATAGCTTTGAATCCATATATTAGAAAATAACAAAGATCTAAAGTCAATAATCTAAGCTTCTACCTTATGAAACTGAAAAAGAAGAGCAAATTAATTCCAAAATAGGAAGAAATAATAAAAATTGGAGCAGAAATCAATGAAACCAGAAGTTTGTTCTTTGAAATATCAACAGATCAATAAGCCTCTAGCCAGGCTAAGAAAAAAAGAGGACAACAATAGCTAATACCAGAAATGAAAGACAGGATATCACTACAGATCTCATGGACATGAAAAGGATGATACAGAAATACAATGAACAACTGTATGCTCACAAATTTGATAATCTAGATGAAATGGGCCAATTCCTTGAAAGACACAACCTGCCAAAGCTCATGCAAGAACAAATAGGCAATTTGAACAGGCTTGTATCTATTAAATAAATTGAATTAATACTTAATAACTTTCCAAAAGAGAAAGTCCAGATGGGTTCATTAGTAAATTTTACCAAACATTTAAGAAATAAATTATACTAATTCTTCACAATCTCTGTTAGAAGACAAAAGCAAGGAAAACACTCCCCATCTCATTCTTTGAAGCCAGCATTTCCCTAATACCAAAACCAGACAAAAACATTACAAGAGGCTGGGCACAGTGGCTCATGCTTGTAATCCTAGCACTTTGGGGGGTTGAGGCAGCTGGATTGCTTGAGCCCAGGAGTTCAAGAACAGCTTGGGCAACGCAGTGAGACCCTGTCATGGTGGCATGAGCCTGTAGTCCCAGCTACTCGGGAGGCTGAGATGAGAGGATCACTTGAGCCTGGGAGGCAGAGGTTGCAGTGAGTGCTACTGTACTCCAGCCTGGGCAATAAGGCAAGACTCTGTCTCAAAACAAAATAAAACAAAAAACAATGACATTACAAGAAAAGAAAACTACAGAACAATATGTGTCACAAACATAAACGCAAAAGTTAACAAAATATTAGCAAATAGAAATCAACAATGTATAAAAGAGAATTATACACCACAGGATTTATCCCAGGTATTCGAGGCTGGTTCATATAATACATTACATCAATAGGCTAAAGAAGAAAAATCACATGATTATATCAATAGACACAGAAAAAGCATTTGACAAACTCCAACATGCATTAATGATAAAAATTCTCAGTAAACTAGGAATAGAGAGGAACTTTCTCAACTTGATAAAGAATGTCTACAAAAATCTTATAATTAACATTGTACTTCATGGTGAGAAATTCAAAACTTTCCCACTAAGATCAGGAACAAGGCAAGAACGTCCTCTCTCACCACTGCTTTTCGACATCATACCAGAAGTCCTGGCTAATGCAGTAAGACAAGAAGAGGAAATAAAACATATACAGAGTGGGAAGGAAGCAATAAAACTGTCTTTGTTCACAGTTGACATCATTGTTCATGTAAAAAAAATCCAAAAGAATTTACAAAAAATACTCCTAGAACTAATAAGTAATTATAGCAAGATTGTGGGATACAAGGTTCTTATACAAAATTCAGTCACTTTCCTACACGGCAGCAGTGAACAAGTGGAATTCAAAATTTAAAACATGATAAACACAATACCATTCACATTAGCACCCCCTCAAAATGAAATGCTTAAATATACATTTAACAAGATATGTATAAGATCTATAAAAAGAAAACTACAAAACTCTCATCAAAAAAATCAAAGAAAAACTAAATAAATTAAGATATATTCCACATTCAGGGATAAAAAGACTTAATATTATCAAGATGCCCATTCTTCCTCACTTGATCTATAGACTCAATGCAATCCCAATCAAAATTCCAGCAAGCTATTTTATGAGTATCAACAAACTAATTCTAAAGTTTATATGAAGAGGCAGAAAACTCAGAATAGCCAACACAATATTGAAGAACAAAGTTAGAAGATCAACACTACTTGACTTCAAGACTTACCATAAAGAAAACTATAGTGTGGTATTGGCAAAAGACAAGACAAATAGATCAACATAACAAAATAAAGGGCCATGAAATAGACCCATATAGTCAATTGATTTTTGACAAAGAAGGATTGGCAATAGAATGGGGTAAAGATAGTCTTCTCAACAAACGGTACCAGAATGACTGAATACCCACATGCAAAAAGAAAAAGAAATGAACCTAGACACAGATCTTATACAGTTCACAAAAATGTAACTCAAAATGAATCATAGACCTAAATATAATATTCAAGACTATAAAACCCTAAAATATAACATAGGGGAAAATCTAAACAATCTTGAGTTTGTTAATGACTTTTTAGATACAATACCAAAGGCAGGATCCAGGAAAGAATCGATAAGCTGGGCTTCATTAAAATTAAAATATTTCTGCTCTATGAAGCCACTGTCAAGAGAAGGAAAAGGCAAGCCATAGACTGGGAGAAAATATTTACAAAAGACATACATGATAAAGGACTATTATCCAAAATGTACAAAGAACTCTAAAAAACTTAACAATAAGAAAACAAACCCAACTAAAAACTGGGCCAAAGATCTTAACAGATATATTACCAAAGAAGATACACAGATGGCAAATAAGCATAAAAAGATTAACCACATCATACGTCATTAAGAAATTGCAAATTAAAACAACAATGAGACACCATTATACACCTAGTAGAATGACCCAAATCCAGATTACTGACATAATCAAATGCTGACAAGGATGTGGAGAAACAGGAACTGCCATTCTTGGGTTGTGGGAATGCCAAATGGTATGCCTGCTTTGGAAGACAGCTTGGTGGTTTCTTACAACACTAAGCATACTCTTACCAAAAGATCGAGCAGTTGTTCTCTTTGTTATTTATTTACCCAAGGGAGTTGAAAACTTATATCCATACGAAAACCTACTTATAAACATTTAGAGCAGCATTACTCATAATTGCCAAAAACTGGGAAAAAAAAAAAAAACAACAAGATATCCTTCAGTAACTGATTGGATAAATACATTGTAGAACTCCTAGGCAACGAAATGTTATTCAGCACTAAAGAGATATGAGCTATCAAGCCATGAACAGACATGGAAGAAACTTAAATGTGCATTACTAAGTGAAAGAAGCCCAACTGAAAAAAAAAGTACATATTATATGACTCCAACCATGTGGCATTCTGAAAAAGGCAAAACTATGGAGAGGAAAAAAAATCAGTGGCTTCCAGGGATTCGGGGAGAGAGAAAGATGAGCAGGTGAAGTGCAGGGGAGCTTAAGGTGGTGACACTATGCTGTATGACAGTAAAATGGAGATACCTGTCCTTGTACCTTCATGTAAACCCATAGAACCCACAACACCCATAGCGAACTCTCCTGCGAACTCTGCACTTTGAGTGCTAATGGTGTGCCTGTGGAGACTCACCAGTTGTGAGGAGTGTCCCACCCTGGTAGGGATGTTGGTACAGAGGAGGGCTATGCATGTGTCAGAACAGGGGGGAAATGGGAAATCCCTGAACATATCTTCTGCTCAATTGTACTGTGAACCTAAAACTGTTCTTAAAAATAAAGCCTACGAATTTAAAATTACAGTCATTAGGAAAGTATGTGAGTGGGTCATGAAGAGACAGAAAGACAAAGGGAGCCAACCAGGAAACACGGAAACAACATGTAGGAGTGTGGGAATTCCACTTTCGATGGAAACAGCAACACAAATCGGCACCAAGAGGACAGATCAGCCCTTCGTGGCGCTGGGACAGTGGGTTTTCCACAAGGAAAAAGAGAAAGTTAAATCCCTACCTCCCTGTACAGAAAAATCAATTCCAGATGGATTAAAGACATAAATGTGAAAAGAACTACAAAACTTTTAGGAAAAAATATAGAATAATATTTTTATGACCCCAGAGTAGGAAGGAATTTCTAAACACAATGCCAAAAAATGCACACTGTGAAGGGAAATATTGGTCCCGAGACTTCATGAAGATCTATGCCATCTCTTTAGGCCTCGGCTTGCAGTGGCCACACTGTGACTAATGCCATGTTCTATTGACCAAAGCAAGTCATGGGTCTCTGAGGCACAGGGCTGGGCACCAACACCACCCTGAAGACTTATCTGGCTAAACTGCAGCTACAGAGAAGGGTGGAGGACTTGGGCCACTTTTGCCACCAATCTTCCATGCCCCAGCCTGGTAATCAGGGAAGACCATAGAGAGGAGCCCTATTTGAGCAAGGTGATGGAGAAAGTACAGAAGTCTGGGGGGAAATTAGGAAAAAAGAATAACTCAGTGAGGTGTGACCCAAGGAGGGGAGTCTGGGCGTCCCCACTGAAGCAGAAAGAGATTCATCACAACTCCTTCCAAAGTGACTGATGTTGAAAACCATTTAAAATGCATGTGTGTGGTCCAGGAGGGCCAGTAAGTGTCTGCCTGTCTCCCTCCCACTCTGGTCCCCGAGAACCTGGCACGTGGGGCACAGGGAGGAGTTTGAGAAGGGGACAGAGAGCCGGTGCCAGCTGGCACCCAGGCTGGCCAGAAGAACACCAGTGGGCATGGGAGGGAAACCCAAGCTTGGTAGCCATGGTCAAGAGGAGCCCGCAGGGAGCCACCTGTCTCCTTTGACCAGTTGGTCTGCAGAGATGAGCTTCCTAGAATTAAACACAAGTGGGGATTTATCTCCGGAGCTTTGAGGATGGAGCATTCATTAATCATTCCCTGCAGTGGCTCTGCTGGGCACCGGCGCACATCTGGCCCAGATTCAGATCTGACTTTCCTGCAGAGCCCTCCCTGGACTCAGGGGAGATGTGGGAGGTATGCAGGGGTGTCAGGGGCACTCTGGGGTGCAAAGTCTTTGGTCCCAAATGTCCAAAGGTCTTTTTGGAGTCAGCCAAGGAGCTGATATGCTGCAGAGGGCCAGGCTGGCCCCAGAGCAGCAGGCATTCTCATCTTCAAAGACTCTGCCAGGGTCTTGGAGGTTAATCTGGGGGGACTGCAGTGTTTTTGATGATGACGTTTTCTTGTCCCTGCAGCTTCCACACCAAATCTGTCTGAACCCCCAGACCAGGGACTAGGAAGTCAGCCTCGATGCCCGCCGAGGTTCCCCTACCCCCATCCAACGTCCCACCAGGCACCAAGCCCTCCAGAACTACCTTTCCCGTCTGTCCGCTCCCCCAGGTCTACTGCCACTGCCTGGCAGGACTAACACCCCAGCCTACCTGGATCCTCAAGGACCTCTTGGTGGTCACCTTTCCCAGACTCACCCCCCGGTTCTCCCTCTCCCGCTGACGGAGAGCTTACCAACAGGGCATGATCAGCTCCTTCCCTGCAAACAAAATCCCACAGGTTCACCATTGCCCCTGGACAAAGTTTTCTTCTGAACCAGAAAGTCAAGGCCCTTGTAGACTCCTGACCACATCCTCTGCCACAGGGGGGCCTGAGGCTGAGCCCCCGAGGTCCCTGAGGGCCACACCAGCTACTCCTTCCTGTTCCTCTGTTTTCACTGCCCCCAGGGCCCTGTGCATCTAGCAATTTTCGCTTTAAACTTTATGAATCTCTGAAGTGACACCACCTCCAGGAAGCCTTCCTAGAGGCACCAAGCACAGTTGACATCCTGCCTTTGTGCTGTAACTGGCAACAAGACAACCTCTGATTGAGGATGAACAGCTCCCCTGAGCCATGTGCTCTCTGACAGCAGGACGGTGTCCAATCCGTTTCCATGGCCCCAGGTGGGGATGGACTAAAGGCTTATTCTAAGAGGACCCAGCGAAAGCTGGTGAAACAGAGATCAACCCAGAGCCTGGTTTAGCTCTGACAACCTCCACACAGGCCCAGTGGCCTTGGCCACTGAACAGAGAAGGCCAGGCATGGTGACTGCTCTCTCTGGAGCCCACAGAGATTTGCAGCTCAGGAAGCCGCTCCGGCCTCTGGCCTGACAGATCTGGACCGAGGCTGCTGAGGGCTGGATGGAGCTCAGCTCCCAGGGTGTAGAGGGTGGACAAACTGGCAGGGCCTTGGTGTCCCCTGGGCAAATTTCCTCACATCACAGGAGAGGAGGCACCAAGCTACACCGCAGGGGCATCCCTTGCTGGGCCCAGAACTTTCCTCTGCCTCCAGAGTAAATTCAGAGTCACCTGGGAAAGGGACCCCACCTGCCACCTTAAAATCACCCCCTTTTCCTGTCTCTGCCTGCCCCTCCCCATGAGCTTGAGCCCCTGAGAACTGAGGCTTAGGGTAGAACAGCGACCAACCCCATCACAAGCCTGATGGGCTCACCGGAGCGGGGGCTGGGGGCCGGGAGGATGAGGATCTGGGGCAAGAGAAAGGGTGCAGGAAGGGAAAACGGGGAAGCAAAGACCCACGGGCCTGGGTTGGAGGGAGGCTGTCACAGAGAAGGAGGGACTCCCCCCAGCTCTGCCCAACCCTCCTGCACCCAGGCCTGCATCCAGTGGGAGTGGCCTTTTTAGAGGTCCTTTCCTCCTCCTGTCACCCCTGCATGGCAGGTGGGGACACACCACCCACCCATCTGGCAGGCCAGGCACAGGCCAGGTGAGGCTTACACACCCCAGGGTCCCAGAGCAGAACAGGAGACCCCATCTACCCTGTCTCTGCCCCTCAGTTTCAGCGTCTGTGGAATGGAACTCCGGCTGCCCGTCTTGCAGAGAGTTTGAAGGATGATGCCGCCGCACTGCCTTGGGTGTTTGGAGGCCAGGACTCTCCCACACAGTAACCCTGACCATGACGCCACGAATGCCCTGCCCCTGGCCCCCTGCTAATTGAATTTTTCCAGAGGCCTTGTAGTGTTCTTTGAGCACTGCCCACTAAGCCACAGGTGAGGAGCTGTGATGTTTCAGCCACACATTCCTGGCACCCCCTAGCCGGGGCATGAGCATGCTCCTTACGGCTCAGTCTTGTCTGGGGCTCCATTAAACCAAGCTTACAATTAAGGAAATGTGATAGGAAAATTAGCTGATGTGTGAAACCGGAGCCTCGGTACAGTTACAAAAGACAGTGTCTTCCAAGCCCTGATTAGCCACTCAGCCTGACGTGAGGTTAAGTAAAGAACGCCAGATTAATCCAGATGGACAATTATGACGCGTTCTTCTCCGGCGTCGAGCCTGTTGCTAAATTTCTCATGTGGCTCCCTGCCAGGAAGGTATTGTGTTCTGAGACTTTTCTACCATTTCTGCTTAAAAAGTTCCAAATGTTCAGCCATATGATGTGAAACTTAACTTCAAGAAAATCCTAGGGGGGGTGTTGATGGTGGGGAAGATGTGGGGGTCTGATCCGCTGACCCCACGCCAGGGGAGGATACAGTTTCAAGCCTTTCTTCTGGCCCCACTCCTCTCGCCTAGCCCTAAGGAGCCCTAAGCGAGCCGGGTCCTCCAGGAAGACGGGAGCGCCCCTGGTGAAGGCAGAATCCACCAAGGCCTCTGTCCTGCAAACCCCTTCCCAGTGTATGGGTTTTCAAGGGCCGTGCAACAAAGTCTGGAAGCCCGGGGACCTGGGTTCCAAGCCCCGCCTCTGTCAGCCTCGGTGTCCTGGGTTTCCACAGCTCAAATTAAATTCCATCAATAATCCTGCAGGTTACTCTTCTAGAAGCACAGTTACCTCATTTAAACCTCACAAAAACCCCAGGTGGGAAAGCTCTTACCTCCACCTTACAGATGGGTACACTGAGGCCCAGAGGGCTTAATGACTTGATGAGACAAGCGAGTGGTGGAGGCCAAATTCCAGCCCATGTGATGTGAATCTCACGGTTTGATTGACCAGGTGTCTGCAAGTGTCAGCTTGGTGTGAGGGGCTGCCCCAGACCCCTCTAGCTGGGACGGGTGACTTTCTGTAATGAGCGTGTTGGCTCCTTCATCTGAGTTCTATACAGGGGAGGAGAGAAGGGGAATGGCCTCAATGCCTTGGTCCTTGAGGCTCTGCCTCTCGTAGCCCCTCTAGGATGGTGCAGTCACCTCTGCACCTCAAGTCCCAGGCCCAGCACCAGGCATGGAGAAGCTCAAGGCACAGCCGTCAAGCTGTCTAAAATTAATCACATGGGGCCATGGCAAGTGAGCTATAAATATGTGCATAGTGCATTGTTGGGTTTTATTTATTTATTTATTTATTTTGAGACGGAGTCTGGCTCTGTCGCCCAGGCTGGAGTGCAGTGGCGCAATCTCAGCTCACTGCAAGCTCCGCCTCCCGGGTTCACGCCATTCTCCTGACTCAGCCTCCGGAGTAGCTGGGACTACAGGCGCCCGCCACTACGTCGGGCTAATTTTTTTTTGTATTTTTTTTAGTAGAGACGGGGTTCCACCGTGTTAGCCAGGGTGGTCTTGATCTCCGGACCTCGTGATCCACCCGCCTCGGCCTCCCAAAGTGCTGGGATTACAGGCGTGAGCCACCGCGCCCGGCCGCATTGTTGGGTTTTAAAACCCAAGCAGGGCCCAGCAGTAGGATATCCACTCTGTAGATGATACAGGAATTAGATAAAGACCCAGGAAACTCAGATCGTGAGGCCTCATCAACTACTGCATGCCTAACTTACCAATCGTATCGATAGGGATCAATTACTGTGCCTAACACAAAGCCCAGCCCAGAGGAGGCAAGTGAATGAATGAATGAATGAATGAAGCCCTCCGGAGCCCACAGCCAGGAGTCTGCAGGGGCTGAGGCTGCCTTGTTCACCTTGGGGTCCGCCGTGGCTGGGTGAACAGCCTGGAGCAGGTGCAGAGTGGCTCTGATTTCCTTTGCAATCTGTCCCTGTGGTTTCCTTTTGTGCACTGCACAGGAGGCAGCCTTTGTAATATCAACCAGGCAATAGACGGGGTGACGGGACATGACCATACCATGAGGCCCCCCAGCAGGGACTCCCAGCCCAAGGGTCCCGAGCTCCCAGGACAAGCCAGAGAAGCAGAAGCAGCCCCGGGCAGCGTGTGGTCTTCACTATGTCTCCTGAAGCATCCCATCCCCAGGCACAGTTGCCAACCTACCTCCCCAGGAAAGGGGCACGTCACCTCACCACAGAGGAACACCAGAGCCTCAGGGAGCTTTCAGGATGACATAAAGGAGGAAGTAGGACTTGAACTCCCAGCCCCGGGCCCAGAAGCTCAGATGGGCCGAGGTGTGCAGGTGGCCCCTGGCTGGGCATGAATGCAGTTCCTTTTCCTCAGAGACTCCTCCCACAGGCTTCTGCCCAGGGCACTTCCCAAAGCATGAGCTGCCGGCTAGACACTCACAGGCCCCCCAAGCTTTTCCCCACCCCCATCAGGGCAGTCTCCCCTCTGCTTTTCATACCAGTCTGAGGCCCCGGGGACTCTGTGGACTAGCGGCTCCTTTTCCATCAAGGCTCCAGGCCACCACTCAGCAGATCATTCAGGCTGCAGCCAGGCTCTCCCCTTCAACGTCGCTCTCACTAATTCAGACCAGGCCCGAGCTGCTGAACTCTACCTAGGGTGCCTCAAGGAGCCACAGATGCAATGCATCAAATGAGGAGCACGTTTCCAGCGCTCAGCCCCTCATAGACACGTGGAATTCTAGACTCTCTGGGGTGGGAAAGATCTTAAAAGGCATCCTATCCAGCCACCCCCATCCACCACCACTGCTGCCATCCAGGGCCAGGAGGTCCCCACATGACCAGGAAAAGTGAACACAACATCCAGCCTCTTACACACCTCCAGGGACGGAGAGCTCACTACTTCACTGAATGGCCTGCTCTTTCTACCATCGGCTACATCCTTCCTGAAATGCATGTGAAACAGGTGCTTCCCCTTGGAGTCCCCAGCGCTGACCTCAGGACTGTGCAGGGCACTTGAGCCCCTCTTCCCAGAGACAGTGTTCTCAGGGTCTGATCCCCTCTCTTTCAGGTGTCACAGCCCAGTCTCTGCCGTGACCTCACACTGTGTCCTGGGACCACCTCAGGCACTATCTAATTACCCTTAATTTCTGAGCAACTTCAAGGTACCCAGAAGAGTCGGTGAACTGCCCCTCAGTGGGGACAATAGCCCCATGCACTTCTGAACCTGACCCAACTGCATCCACAGCTGTGGTGCGGCTCTTCGTACTGGCCCTTCTGGGACTAGATGCCACACCCTTGGGGGGCTCACTGAAGCCTCATAATGAACCTAATAGGCAAGCGCTGTTATTCCCATCATACAGGTGAGGAAAGGCTCAGAAAAGTCAAGTGATTCACCCAAGGCCACACAGCCGTCTGTGATAGACCCAGGTCTGCCAACTCCTCTGAACCAAAGCCTGAATGGGCTGCTGCTGCCATGCTCAGGAGACAGGCCATCCCCAGTGCAGCAGCTGCTGTGACCCCAACTGCCCACAGGCTGGAGCTGCACCCTTCAGCCTGGGGCCTGTGTGGCCTGGGTAGGCCCTTCTCTGCCGTGTGCAGGGCAGGCAGCCAGATGTGCCCAGGGAATGAATGGCCCGTCCACCCGGAAGCAGGTGGGAGCCGGATAAACACCCCAGCTCCCACACCACTGGGGGTAACTCTCGGGCCCCTGTTCTACACGGCATCCAACATCTTCCCAACAGGATGAAGCTCCAGGTGCTCGCTGTGGAAGCCCCTCTGACTCTAAGCCACTCACTACTTCCTTTCCCCATTCCCCACCTGTGTTTCCTGGGATCATCTGCCAAATAAGTCCTCGTCTCCGTGTCTTCTTCTGGGGACCCAAACTAAGACACCAAACACCTGAGATGTGAATACTAAGGGTCCCCTAGATCGCCCCGGACTTCCTATTCTAAAAGCCTGAGATCTGAATAATCTTCAGGGGTCCCCTAGATCACCCCGGACTTCCTATTCTAACTGCCTGAGATGCGAATACTCAGGGGTCCCCTGAAGATCACCCCAGACTTCCTATTCTAAACGCCTGTGGGGTGTTTTTGTTTGCTCGTTTCTGTTTGCGTTTGGACTTTGATACTCAGAAAACACTTTGGGGTCTTACTCGACTTCTGGAAATGCAAATAAATGTACCAAAACCAGTTTGGGATTGGATGTGACAACATGGCTAATGGGAAGGCTGCGTTGGAGGCAGCGAATTCCAGGGCGCTCCTCAAGGTGACATTAAAGTAATAATGAGGTAACAGCCGCGGCACAGTCCGGCCTGGACATTCGTGTCTGTGACTCATCTTGTCCTGCAAAAATCAAGTCCAGGATGTGCCTGGTTCTGGGTTTGAGCTCTTCCACTCCCTGGGACTAGACCCAGAATGGGGCAGTGCCCTGCTTCTAGAAGCTCTAGGACCCAGCGCTGGGAAACGGGCGGTGGGATTGTGAGCACTGCAGGGTGGGAAGGGGGTCTAGTCCAAGGCCACGCAGCCTCCCCAAGCCTCTGTTTCCCTGTAGGGTTCCCGGAGGGCTATGACGCAAAGCCCCCGCAGCACTTGGCACCTGGTGTGTGCTCGGCAGACAGTGGTGACCGTCAGGAGCTGGGCAGAGAAGCAGACCAGGACCTGGAGCCAGACGAGGAGGCCTTCAGAGATGAGCCGGAAAAGCCCAGGAAGCAGTCGTGGATTGCACAAATGAGGCTGGACTGGAAGATGCTGGAGCCCAAGTGAAGCTCTGGCTCTCGTCTGTTAGAATGTGGCCTCCGCTCCTGCTATGGGGTCATGCAGTGGAGGTCTGGGATGGATCAGGAAAAGCTGCTTCACACACATCTGCTCGGCCATTGCCCTCGTGCCACAGACAGAGCTAACGAGCCAGATGCCACAGCTCCTGATACCGACCATTCACCGACTCCGCGGCCAGAAGCACCTACTATGTGCCTACTACGCACCAGGCACCGTGCCCACACAGGCCCAGCCAGCGCCCTGCCCTGTCCTCTCAGCCGACACTTCCCCGGGCGCATCTGCCAGAAAGGATTAAGAAGTTGCCTTAGGAAGGCCTGGCTTTGTTTGGGAAATTTCCCCCAGCTGAGAAGGAGAGGCCAGACAAGGAAAGAATGACCAATTATACGCTGTGTTGTCTTCAGATGAAAGGGCCTTTTTGTGGCCCTCCTCCATCTCCTGTTTGGGCTGTCAACAGCAATTTGACGAGGAATGTTGCTCGGCCTGACCTGTTTTTTCAAGATGGTAACCTATATTGTGTATCATCTCAGCCCTGGAGATCACCAGCCGGCACCCTCCTCAGCACAGTCCCCCCAGTTGAACTTCACCTTTAAAACCAGGAAAATTGATTGGAAAAAAATTCAGGGAAATCTCCCACTAATGATATTTTGAGTTCAGGAACAAGGGGGGGAATTAAAGTGGCTTTAATCTGATTCTCAACATGGATTTCAGTGGTGAATGGTCAATTGTTACTAAATTCTAATTGGTTCTGGGTCACTCCCTTTGAAATAGTGGCTGTGTTCTGTTCATTTTTTCAATTAAATCTTAACAATTCACATCTGACAAAACTCAAAAATCTTGTCAAAAATTGTTCAGATTTGTATAGTAAGAATGTGCAAGAAGCAACATGGAGCTTGGACTGGGGGAAACTTTCATACGGAGGAACAGTTTAAGAGCTAATTATGAGAATGCCGATTTTATTGTTTACTGACTCACTTCCTTAGACTACAGAGAACAAACCTTTTTCATCAACTTGCAAAAACTATTTTAGAGGAAATCGAAAGGACCACAAATGCCTTTGCCTAAGCAATGATTGTTCTCTGGATTGAGAAATTCAAACCCTTTTCACGTCTCATCTCTCATTGTGAGAAAGTTTTATTTTATTCTTCAAGTAAAACAGGAGACAGCTTGATGGAGAAAAAACAAGGGCTTTGCAGCTAGCCAACTCGAGTTCAAGGCTGGCCCCTGCCGCCGAAAAGCTGGGCAGTAACTTCCCTGCCGAGACACTGTCAGAGCCTCAGTTTTCTCACCTGTGAAATGGGGGTGATGTTTTCTAGATTTCTGGTCATGAATCAATGCTGTTTGATACCTGAGGCACTCCATAAACAGAAGGTGGCACTCAGATTATAGAATTGCTACGGCTTGGTCCCAGGCTTTGTTTTATCTCTGAAGACACTCCAGAGCAGAGAGGGCCATGACTGTCCCAGCATCACACAGCCAATCAGTTCTGGAGCCAGAAAGAGAAGCCAATCCTTTTTCTCAAAGCTGCTTCCGGAAGGTTTCTGGGTGACATTTCAGAATCTGGGTGACATTTCAGAATCTGGGTGACATTTCAGAATGTGTGCATGGCTGTCTAGAGCTCACGCCTGGCTTCTCAGAGTGTGGTCGCTGGGCCAGCTGCCTGATATCACCTGGGAGCTTGTTAGAATGCAGTTTCAGGCCCTAGCACAGGTTCCGAATCGGCGTTATCACGGGCCCAGCAGGATCCCGGGCACTGGAGGGTTGGAGGCATGCTGACTTGTGGCATTTCATCAGGCTCTGAGGACCTGAACACTAGAGCCGCTGCCATGTCCACGATGGCCCTGTATGCCCTCCAATCTCACAGCCAGGCCTGCTCCTCATGCGGGACGGGAAAGGCCGGGGGGATGCCGGCGAGGACTAGCGAGGAAGACCCCAGCCCGTGCAGCAGCCTGAGGGACACGCAGCCATAGAGGACGTCCTCCATGACATCGTCTACCCGTGGTCGTCGGTGGCAGCCTGCCCTGCTTAGCACCTCTATGCGTTACTGCCCTGACCCCTATAAAGCAGCACCCCCATCACCCACGTTGTCCGGCCCTGCCCTGCGGTTCCTAATTTCCCCTCCACATTGTCCACGTCTCTTTGTCTGAGGGGGTGCTAAGGAAATGGACACCCCCTCCCAGCAGCCCTCAGCCAGCACCCTGCCCCACTGCGGGATCACTCAGGAGGAGTGCCTGGAGAGATTGGCACAGCTGCTCTGGAAGGCAGTTTGGCAACTTCCTGCAAAACTAAATGTAATTAAAATCTAATCCAGCGATTGCGCTCTTTGATATTTACTCAAATGAATTAAAAACTTACAGCCACCCAAAAACCTGCACATGACATTTATAGCAGCTTTATTCATGGTCACCAGAAACCGGAAGCCACCAAGGTGTCCTTCAGTAGGCAAATGGATACATAAATTGTGGTACAGACCATGGAATATGATTCAGCACTCAAAAGGAACGAGCTATTCTGCCATGAAAAGCCATGAAGAGTCCCTAAGTTCATGTCACAAAGTGAAAGAAGCCCATCTGAAAAGGCTACACAGTGATATGGTGATACTGGAATATGGGGATATGGGGGTGTGGGAAGATGGGACTATGTGGATATGGGGATATGGGGATTTTGGAATATGGGGATATGGGGATTTTGGAATATGGGGATATGGGAATATGGGAACTCTTTGTGCTTTTTGCTCAATATTTCTGTGAGCCTAAAACTGCTCTAAAAGTAAAGTTCATTAATTAAATTTAAAACAATAACAACAATCCTGTGCCTCAGCTGCCCAGAGCTGCTGCATGAGGCAGTGGAACTCAGATGGGCGCAATTGGGCACCTTGGGAAGGTCAGCCCTGCCAGGGTTGCATGGGAACTTCCTCTGTGCCCAGGAAGACAGAGAGAGGAGTCGAGCCTGCCCGGGGCGGGGTGGGGGGTATGAAACATGAGGCCTGCAGCCCAGAGCAGGAGATGGGGTCAGAGAGTGACGAGGGTGGGGACAAAGAAGGTGATGTTATGAGGCCCCAGGGGCAGAGCAGGATGATTCCTGGAGGAGGGGGCCAACAGCTGAAACTTAAGAGTGAGTGAAGAGTGAAGAGAGCCTCTTCCCTCAAGCCAGTCCCAAGGGCTCACCTACTGTCACCCAAGGTCCAGCACATCTGTGCCTCCTCCCCACACCCGGCTTGGCTCGGGACAGGCCCTTCCACCCTGGCTCTTGCCCCATCCCCTTTGCAGCCCCTCTTCACAGCCCCCACAAGGGACTGTTCTACAATGCAAAAGGGGCCCAAAGCACCCTGCTCAGAGCCCTTCAGTGACTCCCCCTTGCCCTCAGGAGAAAGTCCCGTGCCTGGCCCAGCTTCCAGGTCCCTAGAGACCAGCCCCACCCCCTTGTCTTCCACCTGGCCCAGTCAGGTATGTGAGGAAGGGTGAAGAGACAGGAACCATTCTGGGTGGCTGGGACTGCACTATCCAATTCCACCAGCGGGGCTGAGCCGCCCCAGGTGGCAGCTCTTGCAAGGAGCTTTCAGGAACATGGACCCCTCTTATCCCAGCAGGGAGGCAAGGTAGGCAAGTGGCCCCCCATCTACAGAGGGGGACCAAGATGCCAGGAGAGGGTGTCCCCCTCTGTAGATGGTGCTTGACCCAGTGCTTCCTGGAGAGAGGGGGCTGAAATCCCCAGACAGCCCACGTGTGAGAGGTGGGGGTCTCGGCAGAGGGAGAGGCCTCCCCGCCAGGGCCTGGATGAGGGACCTCAGGACGCTTGTGACCACAGTATTTGCCCACCTGGGTTGGCTTTTCTCAGTCCTGGGGAAAGGGCAGAGGCAAGGGAGGGGCGGTGCATAGCTGCGGAGGTCTGGGCTGCGCCCAGGAGAGGAAGCATCCCTGGAGCACTTGGCCTTGACCCCAGGAGGTGAAGGCCATACTCTGCTGTGGCCACAGCACTCAGCTAATCCATTATTGAGCACCTCGGCTGGTCACCAGGCAATTAGCGCCCAGGCCTCCGTCCTGACGCCTAATTGCACTAATTGATAGTGCTGGCCGTGGTCCCCCAACCCTTGCCCTTGTCCAGAATGGCTTCACGCCTGGGAGCCCAGCCTCTAGCCTCCCTCTCTCAGGGCTTGCTGAAGCATCTTTTCCTGGAGGCCACAGTCTGGGGACCGCTTGGCCAGCCCTCCACTTTGGCCAGGATTTTACTCCAGTACCCACCTCCCCTCACCTTCCCTCAGTCCCTAATACCAGGTCCTCCATTCACATATCTGTAAGATGGATGGGCAGGACTTGGTTAAGAGCAAAGGTCAGGTTCAACAGGTGCTATGGGGTTGGGGGGTAAGTGACTGTTCCTTTTTGAGCCTCAGACCCAGTTTGTAGGGCAGCTGGGATGACTAAATTAGGTGACAGATGTAAAGCACAGAGCTCTGGGCCGGGCCCCAAGTGAGGGGCTCAGTACACCTTCTCAGTGCCACCACAGTGATGATTGTGATGGTGGTGATGGTGATGATGGAGGTGGTGATGATGATGGAAATGATGATGATGATGATGAAGATGGTGATGACAGTGGTGACGGTGATGACAGTGATGATGGTGATGGTGATGGTAGTGTTGATGATAATGGTGATGGTGGTGATGATGATGGCGATGGTGGTGATGATGATGATGTTAGTGGTGGTGATGCTGATTATGCTGATGGTGATTATGGTGATGATAGTGATACTGTGGTGGTGATGGTGATGGTGATGTGGTGGTGCTGATGGTGGTGATGGTGGTAGTGATGTTGATGGTGGTGATGGTAGTGATGTTGATGGTGGTGATGGTGGTAGTGATGTTGATGGTGGTGACAGTGGTGATGGTAATGACAGTGGTGATGGTGATATGTTAATGATGATGATGATGGTGATGGTGGTGGTGGTGATGATGGTGATGTGCTGGTGATGGTGATTATGGTGATTATGGTGGTGATGATGGTGATGGTGATGGTGATGGTGATAATGGTGGTGGTGATGGTGATGTGCTGGTGATGGCGATTATGGTGGTGTTGATGGTGATGATGGTTGTGATGATGGTGATGGTGACTATGATGGTGGTGATGGCGATTATGGTGGTGTTGATGGTGATGGTCATGATGATGATGATGATGATGATGGTGGTGATGATGGTGATGATGATGATGATGATGGTGATGATGATGATGATGATGATGATGATGATGATGATGATGATGATGATGATGATGATGATGATGATGATGATGATGATGATGATGGTGATGATGATGATGATGATGATGATGATGATGATGATGATGATGATGATGATGATGATGATGATGGTGATGATGGTGGTGATGGTGATTATGGTGGTGATGATGGTGATGGTGATTATGGTGGTGGTGATGATGATTATGGTGGTGATGATGGTGATGGTGATGATGGTGGTGATGGTGATGGTGATTATGGTGGTGATGATGGTGATGGTGATTATGATGGTGATGATGGTGGTGGTGGTAATAGTGGTGGTAATGATGGTGCTGGTGATGATGACGGTGATGATGATGTGGTAGAGATGATGGTGGTGGGGCAAATGGCCTCTTTAATGAGGGAATGAGAGCCATACACGAGCAGCCAGGATGTAGTGAGGCCCAGCAACATTGTTGTTTGCTGAGAGCCTGGGAGCCCATCCTCTGATGCCCCACTCCTGGAAGAGAACTATCCCTCCCTTGAAGATCTCTGATGCTTGCAAGAGGCAATAATGCTTCTTGGTACAACTACAAGCCCACCTTCCTGTCTCCTCTGAATGGTGAAGGCTTCAATGCAGAGCCCCGATGGCATGGTGGTGAAGAGCCAGAGCTCGGAACCAGATGCCAGGTCCAGGCCCTGCCTCTGTCTATATTAGGTTCACTGTCTGGAGCCTCTTACTTGATCTCTCCATTCCTCTGTTTCCTCAACTATGGCCTGGGGACAATGGGAGTCCTGACTTCATAGGTTGATGTGCAGCTTAAATGGGCCAATATATACACTACTCTGGCATGGGACAGTCACCATTGTTATTAATTGCCTGAAAATTAACGTAAATTAGTGTAAAGCTTTTTACTTCCAAGCACTCCATCCAAAAAGTAAAAAGATGACACAAAGAATGGGAGAAAATATTTGCAACACATATATATCATTCAGAACCTGTATCCAGAATATATAAAGAACTCTGACAACCCAACAATAAAAGGACAAATAAGTCAATTTAAAAATAGCCCAAGGATTCACATAGTCATGTCTCTAAAAAGGATATAAAAATGGCAGATAAATAGATGGAAAGATACTCAGTATCATTAGTCATTAGGGAAATGCAAATCAAACCACAATTAGATACCACTTCACACCCAGCATCACAGCTGGAATAAAAAAAAAGGCAGATAATAGCAAATGCTGGTGAAGATGTGGAGAAATGGGAACCCTCACACACTGCTGAAAGTAGAATGGTGCAGCCACTTTGGAAAATCGTCAGGCAGCTCCTCAAAAACAGAGTGTTATGACATAAGTCAGCAATTCCGCTCCTAGGTATGTGCCCAAGGGCACTGAGAACATCACCATCTTAAAAAGATGTGCATGCGTGTACATGGCAGCACCATTCATAATAGCCAAAAAAGTGGAAATAACCCAAATGTCCATCCACTGATGAATGGACAAAGAGGTCTATCCATACAGCAAAATATTATTTGGCCATAAAAAAGAATGAAATCCTGTTACATACCTTGAAAACATTACACAAAGTGATAGAAGCCAGACACGAAAGGCCACAAACGTGATTCCATTTACGTAAGTGTCCAAAATAGGCAAATCCATAGAGATATAAGTAGATTAGTGGTTGCCAGGGCTGGGAGTAGGGAGAAAAGGTGGGTGACTGCTAAAGGGCATGGGGTTTCTTTGAGGGGTAATGAAAGTGTTCTAAGCCCAGTGCAGTGGCTCATGCCTGTAATCCCACCACTTTGGGAGGCTGAGGTGGGAGGATCTCTTGAGTCCAGGAGTTCAAGACCAGCCTGGACAACATAGCAAGACCCCCATATCTAAAAAATTAAATAAAATTAGCTGAACATAGTGATGTGTGCCTGTAGTCCCAGTTACTCAGGAGAATTGCTTGAGCCCAGGAGGTCAAGGCTGCAGTGAGCCGAGATTACATCACTGCACTCCAGCCTGGTGATAAGGCAAGATCCTTCCTCAAAAAAGAAAACAAAAGAGGCCGGGTGCAGTGGCTCATGCCTGTAATCCCAGCACTTTGGGAGGCCAAGGCAGGCAGATCTCTTGAGGTCAGGAGTTTGAGACCAGCCTGGCCAACATGGTGAAACCCTGTCTTTAATAAAAAACAAACAAAAAATTAGTGGACTGCCAGCAGATGCCTGTAATTCCAGCTACTTGGGAGGCTGAGGCAGGACAATCGCTTGAACCAGGGAGGTGGAGGTTGCGGTGAGCCTAGATTGCAACACTGCATTCCAGCCTGGGTGGCAGGGCGAGCGATACTCCATCTGAAAGCAGAAAGATGAAAGAAAGAAAAGAAAGGAAGGAAGGAAGGGAGGGACGGAGGGAAGGAAGGAAAGAAAGAAAAAAGAAAAAGAAGATGCTCTAAAATTAGATCCTAAAATTTAAAATTGGGGTGGTGGTTACACCCCAATCCTATGAATATGCTTAAAAAAACACTGAATTGTACAATTAAAAGGCTGAATTCTACAGTATGTGAATTATATCTCAATAAAACTGTTATTAAAAAAGAAGCCCCCAGTAAATGTTGGTGGATCAATGGAAGAATTTTTTCCCAACTGGGACATGTGGAGGATGGAGGTGAGTCTGCGCTGCTGAGGAGTCCCTGCCGTGTTGTGCCTGGGCTGGCTGTGCAGGGTGCTCCCGGCTGCCCCACGCCCTGGGCTGGATGTTCATCCTTATGATGCCAAGGACAGATGGGCACAGCAGGTGGGGAGATGGCTGGAGAGAAAGGGCCTTCTGAGGCCAAGACCCCAACCCCACAGCGTTCCCCTGGACGAATCCAAAAGTAACGACCCCTAGGCAGCAGCAAATGCTGCTTAGCTCCTCTTAGCAAAGAAGAGTCCAGAAGGTTCTAGCTATGATTTATCGTTATTATTCTCCTTGCCTCACCCCTCCCATCTGCCTGCTGAAGCTTCCACACGTCAGATATTGAACAGCCTGCCTCTCGCAGTGTGCGCTGCCCCCGCCGTGCTGCTGAGGAGCTTCCCACAGCTTCTGTGCCTTCTCTGGTCAGAGGCTCCCTGAGATCCCTCCCTCAATGCTGACCAGAATGAAAGCTATTCTATGTCCTGTCTGCTTCCCCCAAAGTGAGCTCCTTGAGGCACACAGAGCGTCCTATGCTCTCTGAACCTGCAAAGCCCAACTCAGGGCCTGGTACTCACTCTACACCCAGTTTGGGGATGGATGAATAACTGGGTCACCCTGGACTGTTGTATGGGTTGTGCACTGCTCAAAAGTGCCTGGCCAAGGGAGCGGGTCAAGGCTGAAATTCAGCTCACTCTCTGCTCACTGCTCATCAAGCTGAACAGCCCAAAACTGCATCGAGCTGGAGGGCAAGTCTTTTCCTAATTTCCACAAAGATGGTAGAGAGGCTGGCTGCCACCCAGGAGGGAGAGAAGGGAAGGAGAGAGAGGGGAAAAGGGAAGGGAATGTGATCTATTTTAAGTGCTCAAAATTTGTGTCCACAAACATTTAACAGTGTGCCCCCAGGGTTAAACAAGGGAATGAATGTGCATTCATCATAATAGGCTAAGTTACACGACAGTGACAAACAAAATCCAGGTGGGTGCACACACTAAGGTTTATTTCTTGCTCACACTGAGTGCCCCCTGTGGGAACACTGCTCCACGCGGTCACTCGGGGGTCCAGGCTGACAAAGGCTCCACCGTGTTGTGGCTGCACCATCCAGTCCCTGCGGCCTCCTCCGCCATCCAGAGGCTCCCACTGTCACTTCTGTTCACTTTGTATTTATCAGCTCTGGTCACCTGCCCCTCTCCACACTGCACAGGCTGAGGTGTAATCTTCTGTGTGCCTGCAGGGGAGAAAAACCAGGTATTGGGAGCACTAGTCATGTCTGCACAAGGTGTCAGCTAATCCTGGATGCTCCACTGCCAGCCACATGGCTCAAAACCCAAACCTGGCTCACAGAGTGGTCTCCAAACTACAGGGACCTAGGACTCCCCGGGAACTTGTCAACATGGGGGTTCCCACTCCCAGAAACTGGTGAAGTAGGACCAAGCTGGGAACCCAGGTGTAACAGGCTCCCCTGGGATTCCAATGCAGTGGCCCTGGGGCGAGTGGCACTGACCATAGGGTGAAGTGCCACCTGCAACCCCATGAGTCCTGAGCAGGCCTCCTGCCTCTTCCACCTCTCACACTCCCCTGCAAACACCCCACACCCCAAACCTCTCACCCCTTACCCCACCAGGCATTGAACCATACACGGAGCTCCTACTGGGCTTGTGAACGCCCCTTTCATGTACCCAGAACCCCTTACCCTGGTCTCTAGGCTCATCCTTCATGCTCAGTTCCAATGTCTCCTCCTACAGGCAGTCTTCCTGGATCCTCTGAAAATAATTGGCCCTTCCCCTGATCTCCAGCATGTTGTTGTTTTAGTGCTTCTTTTTAGCCCACATTTTAATCAGTGGCCACTGTCAGGCACCCCCTGAGGGCAGGGTGCCAGCTAGGGGTTCCCTGTGTGCAAAAGTGACATGGGACACGGAAATGACTATGACTCAGCTCCTGTCTCAAAGTGCCAGGCCCAGGGCTGCTGACACAGTGGCAAAGTGGGAATTCCCTGACCATTTGCATTGCCACATCAAGGGCTCTAAGAAAGTCTACAAATAAAAGTACAAAGCCATTGAGCCGGGCGTGGTGAGGGATGCCTGTAATCCCAGCTACTTGGGAGGCTGAGTGGGGAGGGTTGAGCCCAGGAGCTCCAGTCCAGCCTGAGTAACGTAGCAAGACTCTGTCTTTAAAAATTAAAAAAAATAATAATTTAATTTAATTTAAAAAGCCACTAAGTGATCTGATGTCTCCTGAGAATATCTTTGACTTAAGAATTCCTGGTTCACACCAGGAGGAGCAAGATGTTTCTGGGAACGTGGTTTGAGAAATGCTGTTCACGGTGAAGCCACATCTGCAAAGAGCTATTTCTGTAACGGGATGCCGCCAACAGACGGAAGCCACTGAGCCCTGCTCTTCGGAAGATGCTGGGCCGGGCACAACTCCTGTCCCGAGAGCAGGCGGACCTGAAGGAACATCGGCCAGACACTGGACACGTGCAAACCACCCCCTTCTGTCCCCACAGAGATGCTTCTGCTCAGGGCCAAGGGCTCCCAGGTCACAGATGTGGAAACAGCCTCCCGTGGAGCTAGCAGTGCCCAGATTTGAACCTGGAGCTGTGGTCTTTCCAGTATATGAGGCCTGCCTTGACTATACTGCCTCCTTCATTATATCCTGCATACAGTTGGTACTCTGTAATTGCTTTCTGGACACAAGAATAAAGAAACAGGATTCAGAAACAGGGGAATGGGAAGGACAAGAAGAACCTCGGGGTTGGCTGGAGTGGCTCTGGAGAGGACCTGAGCTGAGAGCCAGTGGATTAAGTTGAACTGGAATCAACGAGCCCCCTATACTCCAGGCTTTACGGTAACTGGAACAGGCTCCGACTCCCTGGAGCGCCAGGTCCAGGGTGACATCTGAGCTCAGCGAACCGAATTTTGAATCTAAAACTCGACACTCGATTCAGTTATTGGACAACACTGAAGTATGTTTGGAACAACTTGGGTCTGAGAATCTGCTTTTTCAACTGTAAATCTTATGATAGCTAAATTCAGATCAAGTATTTCCAATAAAACTTCGGCATCTGAATGGAGATGTGCTGTAAGTAAAAAATGCATACTTTTGTGCTCTCCAAAGAGAGTCCGAAACATGTAAAGCAACTCAATATTTTTATATTGATTGCATACTGAAATGGTAATTTTGAACATGTTGGATGAAATTATCATTTATTTGCAACTGTTTGTTCTTTAATGTAGCTACTAGAAAATTTATATCACATATGTGGTTCACAGTCATAGCTTCTATTGGACAATGCCACCTTGAAGCCTATGATATTTTGATAAAATGGAAATAAAGAGTTTGCGGAAATTTTATGATTGTTTTTTACTCATCTAGGCAGAGTACTTGGAATGCCCTAGTTCAATCCCCTTGTTTTACAAATAGGAAACCTGAGGCCAGAGAAGGCAAGTAAGTTGCCTGGGTCACACAGCATGTGGATGGAGCTGGGCCCATAACTTGGCACTTGCTCCAGGCATGCTTGGAGGTGCCGGCTGCTGTAGACCAACCTAAACCAGGCTCCCCCATCCCCCTTTTTTCAGATATGCCTTGCAAGAACACAGATCTGCAGGCCACTAGAACCAAGCAAGATGCCAACATGCCTGACACCCAACCTGGGTCAGAAGATTACCCCAGGGCAAGTAGCAAGGAGACATCATAAGGGCTTTTCCTGGTTGGTGAAGACCACAGGCTGCTGCCCAAGGGAAGGGCCTGGAGTCCCTGACACTTGGCCATCTGTGCACCGTGCTCAAAGCCTCACCTTCCAACTACAAAGAGAAAAATGTTCCCTCTGTGAAAAGGTGGGCTGTATCCAGCAGAGGGTAACCTGTCCAGCTCACGTTACCGCAGGAGCAATTCCTCCTCTCTGAACAGAGTGCAGCATCGTGGGGGTGGAGACCCGGCTGAGGGGGGTGGGCCTCCTCCCCCTGCCCGCTGCTCCATCGTGGACGTCTTCTCTCAGAGCCTCGATTTTCCCATCTGTGAAACGGGGGTATGAAGTGTGGGATGAAGCCTTTTCATGAGGTTGTGAGACGGGTCCAACCATGGCAGCTGTCATGAGCTGAACTGTGTCCTCCCAAATGTGTATGGGGAGGTCCTGACCGGCAGCACCCCAGAACGGGAGTTTATTTGGAAATAGGGTCTTCCTGAGGTAAGCAAGCTGAAATGCAGGCAGGGCCCTACCCCAAGCTGAGTGGTGTGTGAGGACAAAGAGAACTTTGGACACAGACTCACTAGAGGCAGGGCAGCGTGAAGCCAAGGAGAAGGCGGGCACTCAGCTGGCACCACGTGGCCTTGAGCCACAGATTGCCAGATGCCATCAGAAGCTGGAGGGGGCAGGAAGGGCTCTCCTCTAGAGCCTCTGGAGGGGCACAGCCCGACCGACGCCTGGGGCTCAGACTTGTGGTCCCCAGAACTGCAAGATAAAACATTTCAATTGTCTGAAGCCCATTGCCTGTGGCCCTTGGTCCCGGCAGCCCCAGGACACTCACGGAGACACACGCAGGGCAGCTCTCCTGGGGTCCCCCCGGCCCCAGCGTGCGGTCTTCAACTGTCATCAGGCCCATGTGGATGCAACCCCAGGGGTTTTTCTCCCTCTCTTCCAATCCTCTGCCCTTGCTGGGTAGGGCAGGAAGAAATGGGGACCCTCACAGGAGGTCTCTGAGCTGGAACAGCCCCTCCGGGCATCGGGTGTGGTCTGCCATTTGTCATTTAACTCCACCCTCAGCCCGGAGTCTTCAGATGAGGGTTCTCTGCCCTTGCTTCCTGTCAGGGGGGCCCGATGGGAGGGACACAGGTGGGCAGGTGACAAAGGAAGTGGCCAAGGGTGTGTCCCAAACCCTGTGGGTGTTGGTTTCTCTGGGCCTCCTTCTCCCACAGCCCCACAACCCCCCTCAGCCCACCCATGTGCCGAAGAGTGTCTCACGTGGCAAGCCTGGCACCTGATAGGCACACGGTGAGTCTGTTGACTGAATGAGTGAAGGTAGACAGGGTGCTGGCTGGGGCTGGGTAAGGAGTGGAAGAGCCCAGGTTGCAGACCGCTGGGAAACAGATGGGGGTTCCCGGAAACCCAGGTTCAGCCCAGCACCTGACCCTCACATCTTTGCCCCTCAGAGCCGACCTCTGCCCGTGCCCGCCTGCCTGTGGGGAGCCTCTGCACAGTGTGGGAGTCCCAGGCACCACCTTGGGGTGGTCAGCTCTGCCCCGACCCCTTCCGGTGGGGTTCCTGGAGGTGTTGTCTCCATCCCCACCGCCCCGGTCTCCACTGGCCCTGCTGAAGCTCATTGTGGCCCCTCCAAGCACTGTCCCTTACCCTGACCTCGGGCTGCAGGATTAAGCCCAGGCTCCTGGCTGGGGGGCAGACTGCGCCCTCCTCCAGGCCTAGCCTCTGCTGCCCTCCCTGGCCAGCTCCCTGGACTCCAGGCCTCTCAGGCTCCCACAGCATCCGCACCTCACCCCACAACACATGACTTGCCCACAATCGCCTCCACCACACCCCATCCCACCTCCTACCTGTGTTCACACCATCCCTTCAGTTCAGAATATTCTTCTGGCTATCTGCCCCTCCGCCTCCCTGGAACACCAGTGTTAGCGCCTGCCCTTCCCCGCGGGTGGGCGTCACCACTCCACTCACCCAGCCCTGCGACTCGGTCTTCGCTCCTGGTCTGGATCCGGCATCTCTCCTGCTGGACCCAGGCTCCTGAGAGGCTGGGACTGTTGCCGCCAGTGTTGTCTGGAATCCTGGTCTCCAGGACAGTGCCCACATGTGCTGGGTGCCCCAGAGAGTACACTGCCTCTCCAGACACAGCTGCCCCCTTGGCCGGACTGGGCTCCCCCAGGGCAGGGAGTCTGGAATCCATTTCTGGGTCTTCGTGCCTAGCACGGGGCCCTGGCAGACACTCTCCAGGCTTCTGGAATTCTGAACGGCATTCCCATTTGCAAACACAAAAACAGAGGCTTGGAGCACCTTAGCCAGCTGCCCAAGCAGCCGTCGTTACTGAGCAGGGAGACCAGACCCCGTGTGTCTGACTCAAGCCTGAGGGCCCCCTTTGGTTTGGGGCCTTACAACACAGGAAGGACAGGCTGGGATCTGAAGAGGGTTCGGGTCTTCGTGGCAGAACAGAAGGCCTACGAATGGCCCCCACTCCCATCCCAGGCTTTCTTTCCCACAGGCTGTGCTCAGGGATGGCCTAGATCCAGCTTGGGAGAGACCCAGGCCCTCGACAGGACAGGATGCAGAGGTGGGCATTCTCACAGCTTCCCTCCATGGCTCCCGCGGGTGTACAATGCACCCCAAGGGGCAGCTGAGAAGCGAAGGCAGCCAGCACATTACTCCTAGGAGGTCTCATGGTTCATCACCGGTCGGGGCACCTTGTAAGCTCTGATGCCATCCAAGGGCCCTCTGTAGAACAAGCACAGACACATCAGTTGGATACAAGACCCCCTGAGGCCCACTCACGGATCACCAGAGGCTCTGCGGGCCTGAGGCCAGGATGCCCCCGAAGGGAAAGAGGAGGCCTGGGACCCACGGTCGTCTCAGGCATGAATCTGCCATGGGCCTGTGGGCCAGTCACTGGGCCTCTCGGGGCCTCCATTTCTCCATCATAAAACAGGAGCCTGAAGTCTAACCCCCAAGTCCAAGGACTCTTCCTCCTGCTTCCCAGTGGGGTGGGCTTCCCTGACATCCTGGAAAGACCATCATTCCCACCAGCAGCCCAGGCCTGGGCACTGTGGGGACACACTTTCCTCCGCTCATGCCCCGAGGCCAGGCAGCGGGCTGGAGACAGCTCCAGGCAGAGATGGGAGGGCCTCGAACCTGCGTCCTGTGTCAAGGAGGCACCAACAGAAAACCATAAAGGGCTCAAGCTGGTTCCCGGGCAGGCAGCCCCTCTCGTCCCTAGACACTGCAGTGGGAGTGCAATCCAGGGTCTCCACCTCTCCTGACCCTTCCAAGCCCCGGCTCTGGCTCCAAGGGGCTGTGGGCAAGGAGAGCGTGATGAGTATTGACCCTGCATTCAATGGGCAATCACTCATGTTATTTTGGGTAACAGACCTTGGGTGAAGCCAATTTAGTGGCAATTTGTAATAAAAATAACAGATGGGCTCAGCCAGCAAGGCAGACATCCAGTGAACGCGGCTGCAGGGAGGTGTCGAACCTGCTGGAGCCGCCTGAAACCCAGGCCCTCACGCCCTGCATCTGCTCCACTGCACTTTGTCACGGAGCAGCTGTAACGACCTTGGCTATCATTTTTTGAGCACCTAGGACAGATGAGGAAGTGGTAGATCAGAGAGGTCGGAAGCCTTGGACAAAGCCACACAGCCAGGAAACAGGGGGCTGAGACTTCCTCCAGGTCGGCCTGACTCCAATGCCCGGGCTCCCTGCTCTGCACCACGCTGCCTCACAGGAGGCTGCACACGCGGGGCCTGGGTGTGGGGAACTGGACGCATCCCACCCCTGTGTCTGAGCTCACGGGAGTCAGCCTCCGGGGCTGGGGAAGAACCAGGTCACTGGTGCAGCTGAAGGGCTTTACAAGTCCTGGTTTTGGTGCTTTGTGGCCAAAACTGACAGCATTCTCTTTTGTGAATTTTCCCCTCTGTGCAGGGCTTCCAAGTTGCCTCCCAATAAATACTGTCCCCTCTGCTTTAGCAACAAAACTCTTTGAAGATAGGGGTAGCCAGAGAAACGAAAGCAGAAATCAGTGAAAGAGGCTTCTGGGCTATCTCTAAAAGCTGAGAGGAGGCCCACCTTTGCCTCTTGCCCTTCCCCTTATTCCTGAATAAAACAGGAATGTGAGAGCTGGTGCTTCAGCAGCCATTCTGTGACCTGGAGGATGAAACTTATCCACTAAGGATGGCCAAAAAAAAAAAAGCAAGATAGAAGGAGTCCCTGGGTTCCTGGCCACACTAGCCCTGGGCTGCCCACCTCCCACTGTGGTCAGTGCCCTGTCAGCAGCCAAACACAGATTCTGACTGGCCCAGTTTACAAGAGCCTCCTGTATTAGGGTATTGACTCTATTTCTTAAATGGAAGCCAAGTCATGGTAGCTTACACAAGACAGAAAGTTTTGTTTGTTTCTCACAAACAAATAAATGAGTGAAGCTGGTAAACCATCCAGGAGGTAGGACAGCTCTGCCCCAGGTCACCAGGGACCTGGCTCCTTCTATCCGAGGCTCTGCTTTGCTGTAACTAAATTGTCCTCACCTGACCATCACAGCCCCATTCCAGGCAGCCAAGAAGGAGAGTTTGAGGGTCACCCAACTTCCTGATAAGTCAAAGATCTATCCAGATGTTGCCCGCTGCACATCTCATGCTCACTGGTCAGAACCACATCATGTGACCGGGCTGAGCTGCAAGGGAGGCTGGGAAATGTAGTCTTTAGCTAAGTGCCCAACTGAAATCCAGAAGGGTTCAATTAGTAAAAGGTAAAAGGGGAGAATGCGGCTGGGCATGGTGGCTCACACCTGTAATCCCAGCACTTTGGCAGGCCAAGGCGGGCGGATCACCTGAGGTCAGGAGTTCAAGACCAGCCTGACCAATATGATGAAACCCCGTCTCTACTAAAAATACAGAAATTAGCTGGGTGTGGTGGTGGGCCCCTGTAATCTCAGCTACTCGGGGAGGCTGAGACAGGAGAATTGTTTGAACCCGGGAGGTGGAGGTTGCAGTGAGCCGAGATCACACCACTGCACTCCAGCCTGGGCAACAAGAGCAAAATTCCATCTCAAAAAAAAGGGGGGCGGGGGAAGAATGGATCCCCCTTTCCTCACTCTGAGATCAGATAAAAATGTATGAGTATTTTTAATCTTTTTATAAAGCTTTTTGCTTTTGCGTTTACATCTTGAACCAGCCTGAGAGGAAGTGTGTGCCCTGAGCCGACCCATGGCCCTGCCCTGCCATCCCTTCCTGCTGATCCCTGCATGGTGTGCGAGAAACAGCTGTCCATCCCCACCCACCCCTTCTCCCTGTCTTACCCTGCCTCGAATGGGTCCTGGAGGCCTGATGTGAAGGACACAAGTCCCTGCCCTCCAGGAGCTCGCAGCCAGGCAGTGGGGGGTCGACAGATCCTGCTACACCTCCAGGGAAGTGCTCAGGGGCTGTCGGCCACCCCTGGAGGGTAACAGCTGTGCTGAGGGCTGGGCTCAATCCCCCAGCAGGGCCTGGGCCCCATACAGGCTGATGCCGGGGAGAACCCTGAATGGGATGAAGAGCCTGAGGCTCACAGAGGCTGCTCAAATCCAGGTACACATTTGCCATAATGCCAGTGAAAATATCACTGCTGGGACACTCCTGTGTGTTTATGTCAAGGAGGGGTGTTAAACTTCACATGGATTAAAGGCCTGAAGTGCAAACACTGAGGTTCCCCCAAGCAGCAGGAATTCCCTTCCAGGCTGCAACACAAACTCTGCCTGGGCTGCCAGCCTGCTCCCTGTGGAATCTGTCCTCAACACTGCCACATCGGCTCTTGCCTGAACTCCCAGCCTGCCAACCTGCACTACAAACTTTGGGCTTGCCAGACCACACGCTCATGCCAGAGAATTTCTTAAAATTGCATATGTGCTCCCTGTCTCTCTGTCTATCTAACTATTCTATTGATTCTCTTTCTTTGGAGAACCCTAATTCCTAAGAACAATACGAAGAAAAACATTCAAAACATGAAGTCTAAAGTAACAGTAGTAAGTCCAACATCACCCAGCACACTTCAAACCATTTTGTAGCTATAATCACAGGGAGGGATTCATTCTACTTCCTAAAATGAATCTGTAAATACAGAAGCGTGCAAAACAATTTCAGTGAACAATGGGAATCCTAGCACATGAGAAGCACTCAACTTCTTTCTTCCCCCACATCTTTCTTATGCATGAAACACACGTGTCCTGCTAAGTACAGTGAGTCACCACACAGCAGACACCAGCAGGCAACCATCCCTCAGCCAAGAACAGGAGTGACGCCCACGCTCCACCATGGGCTTCCCCCAGCGCCTGCAGTCCCTCTCCCCCGTGGACTCCACGCAGATGAGCCCGTCAGGCTCCTGCTCCAGCCTCATCACAGACCAGGAAGACCCACGCTGTTAGATTCATTTTACAGACCTGGATTCAAGCTGCAGCTAATTGGCTGTGCAAGGCTGACCTCCACTGTGTGGCTGCGGTGAGGATGAAGCTGCTGTCTCATTCACCCGTTTATCAGTGATGATGCCTACCTCTGGCTGCCCTGAGCAGCTTGCTGGGATGGCAGAGCCTGAATCTTGTCCCCAAGGAGCTCACAGTCTCACAAGAAAGTCAGACAAGAAACAGCCGTGACCTCAGGGAATGCAAGGGAGGCAACGATGGGTGGACCTGAGACTGCTGGGGGCCAGGCGGGAGGTCTCCTAGCACACTCTGGGGGTCGAGGTGAGTGCCCTGGACAGATGGCCAGCTGCCGGGTGACCCACCAGGTGCAAGAGTTCTGGCAGAGGTCCAGAAGGTTCTCTCACCTGGCACTTAGCAAGGTCAAGGATTCACCCTCCAGGACACTCTGCAGCCCAGGGATGTGGCCAGGACCCTTGGAGACTCCCAGTCTGTGCTTGGGTGTGAACCGGGAGTGAAATGTGACCCAGAAGTCGCAGAGAAAGTTTCAAGCAGCTGAGGAGGTGCACGTGAGGGCAGGAAGGGCCTGGGGAGTGTGGGAGGCTGGGAGTGAGAGCCAATCTGCCTGCTGACCTGCAGAAGCCTCTGGACTTGCTCTCTGAAAGCAGGATCCAGCGGGAGCTGGAAAGAGGAGGTTCCTGTACGGGGCCAGCCTGCCCTCCCCCTCCCCACTCAATGTGGTGGGGTCCCTGGGGATCTACGCCCTCCAGCGGACAGTAGCATGCTGGAAGGGAGCTTGGGGACAGATGAACAACAGGACCACAGAAAACCAAGGGGGAAAAGGCCACTAGTATAGAACAAACGTGTGCTCATAGTGCACGCCCAGCTGTGCAGGTTGTTCATGGGAAGCCGCTGTGAGCGCTGGACCGTCTCAGCTCAGTCCAATGGAGAGAGGGAGGGAAGGGCCCTGAGTGCTTTTGAGTGGCATGTGAGCAAGTGAACTTCCCACCTTCCAGACAAGACATAGACAGTTGATAGATTCCTTTTAAAAAAGAAAGAACCGAAAAAATGAATTCAAGCAATCGTGGCAGAAGCGTCCTATTTAGAAATATAGAGGCAGGTAGAAGCAGAAAGAGCTGGCGGGGTTGACAGCTGTGTCCTCCGGTGGGGGTGGGATGAGGAATCTCTTCTGGTAGTGGTTTATGCTCTTTGTAGAAGTGGAGGACATTTTAAGTTGTGTGCTGAGTAGCTCTGGTACAAATGAAGACTAGGAGGAGGAGAAGAGGCCGGGCAGGGGAAGGGGAGGAAGAAGGGGGCACTAGGTCTCTCTGAATTTAAACCGTTTAGGCGTCTATGTAGACATTTTTCTTTCTTAAAAAAATGGGGATGCGGGTGGTGGCTACACGGGTGTGCACATTTATCAAAATTCCTCTGATTGCACTCTTAAATTTGTGCTTTTCTCCCTAAGTACATTCACTTCCCATTTTGAAGAAGGAGGGGAGGGAGGCTTTCCATCTTCTACCTGGTTATACGTTCGAATTTCGTGCCTTGGCGATGCATTGCTTGTTTAAAAACTACATACATCATGAGGGAAAATCTTTATCAAAAACTCTGGTCGGGCGCAGTGGCTCAAGCCTGTAATCCCAACACTTGGGGAGGCCGAGGCAGACGGACCACTTGAGCTTAGGAGTTCACGACGAGCCTGGGCAACATACAGCACCCCTTCTCTACAAAAAATAAAAATTAGCCGGGCGTGGTGGCCGCGCCTGAAGTCCCAGCTACTCGGAGACTGAGATGGGAGGATCACTCGAGCCCAGGAAATGGAGGCTGCAGTGAGCCCTGATCGCGACACTGCACTCCAGCCTGGGCGACACAGCGGACCATCTCAATAACAAACCGAAACTCTGGCTATCTCCAGGTAGTCGAACTTGGGATGCCTTTTGTTTTCAGTGCTTGTAATTTTCTGAATTTTTAAAATAACGAACAGAGTCTCCTTGCGACATTAAATGCAATGCAGCCGCCGAGGAAGCGTCGGGGACAGATGGGGTTGGACGCCGTCCCCACTTCCTCCCCTGCAGCCGCCTCCAGGCCGCCAACCTCGCCCAGCCGGAGCCTCAGTCCTGGAGGGTCGGGCGGCGGCGGCCTTCCCCTGGAGTGGCATTCTTGTTGCCCGTGGGGCCCCCTCCCCAGGTAGGAGGCAGGAGGCGGGGTCTGGGGCAGCCTCCGCTTTCTCCTTCCTCCTTCCCCCGCGGCTTCCCTGCTGCGCCGGGCCTCCCAGGTCTCACCCCGAGTTTCCGCACCCGGTGGGGCGCGGGTTCCGGCCCAGCTTCTCTCGGAAGTGACGGCTGACCTAGAGCCCATCCCTGGCCTCGGCCTCCGCACCCCCCCGCCCCCCTGCCTGTGGAACCCGCAGCCCAGAAGCCTGGAGCCTCTCTGCGAGCACGCAGGGGTCTCCCAGCTTCCGGATCGTTCCGCCGTTCGCCCTGGGTCTGAGTCTGGGGGTTCGGGAAACAATTTTGGACGTTTCTGGTTGGATTGTGTCTAAATCGTGCATTTTACGCGACAGGGGACTCGAGGTCCTTGAGGATCCCAAACTGCCGCAGCCCCTCCCTCCTCCTCCCCTTGCCCTTGCCCCTGCCCAGAGAAGTGCGCTCCTCCAGGGTCATCCACACGCGCCGTGCCGAGCCCCGGGCCCCAGTTCCAGGAGCCGCGTCTCTACGGGCCAGTGGGTCCTGAGAGAGTAGGGCTTCGGGCGCTCGGGGAGAGGAGGCGGAGGAGGGGTGAAGCCGAGGGGTGGCTTTTAACGAAAAAGAAGTTGAAGCATCAGCTAAGCCATTAGGGCTAATGCGATGTACTGTAAGACGGGGATCAATGCCGGGCCTCGGGGACCGGCGTGGGGGAGGGGGCAGCAGGCCGACCGCCCCCAAGCCGGTCGAGGCCCCCGTCCATTTGGGGGAAATGGATTTTCGCGATTTAAGAAACAAACCCAAATCAAATGAGCGAGGCCCGGATGTGCTGACGCTGCGGTTACGCGCGCGGAGCTGGAGCCCCGAGAGCGCTCTAGGAAAGGCGCAGCGGCGACCGCGGGAGGGGGTGAGAAGCCGAGGCAGAGAGGTCCGGAGAAGCAGAAAGAGATGCCGACCGGCAGAGAAAGAGCGAGACAGACACACCGAGGGGTGAGGGGGCAAAAGGGAGCAGCCTCGCAATTTTCGCAGAAGAAAACAGGCCGGCGCGGCTGGGGATGCGCTTCTGGGCCAGGCGCGGCAAGACCCCAGGAACTAGCCAGAGCCCCAAGACCCAGGCGCCTATTTGAGCTCCTTTGAGTCCGGCAGGAGGCCTAGGTCCATTCGGGAGAGAGAGGTGCCAGCCCCTACCTTGTGCAGTCCCCTCGCCCGGACGTCATGGGGGGAGTGCCCCCTGAGCGCAGGCCCCCGGGCGGCCGGGGCCTCGCTTCTGGCGGCCGGGAGAGGTCGGCACCGTGACACTCAGGCACACATACACCAATGCCCCGGGCCCGCTAGGGACGCTGAGCTCCAGGCAACGAAAAACGAAGGTCCTGGAGTCGGTCCTGAGTGCATTCCTCCACTGGGCCCCGTCGAGAATGAAACTCTCGGAGCATCGTCACTGGGAGGTCCTGGGGGGACACTGGGGTGGGCGAGCTTCTTCAAAGACTCGGTTTCCACTGGGCCCTCCCATTCCCTCCTCTCTTCGTCACGCGGTGGTGGTGGTGGTGGGGGGTGCAATAGCCCCTCTGGTTCCTGGGGCACCCCTTGTGGTGGGGTGTGCCCTCCTGGCTGGACCCACTCCTTGCTGGGTGCAGGAGCAGAGTGGGGAGGAAGGAGGCCGGTGGATTTGGCTTCTGGGCAGCCCACCTCTGCCTCTCCTGGGGCCACACTGGGCTTATCTGTAAAATGGGCACAGGTGAGATAGAGTTGGCCAAGGTCTCTTCTAGCAGGCTAAGGGTCTGCTGGGGAGGCGGGCTCGCTCCAAGGCTGGCCCCCCCCCACGCCTCTTGACAGTGCCACCCCCAGGATATGAGGAACCTCAGGCAAATATGGGGGATTCTTGTCTATATAAACAGTTTTAGTCATCGCAAACTCATAATGTCAGCACCATCCCGTTAGCACGATTTCTCTAGTCCCGATTGACAGCCCTCCCAGAACCTGGGCCTTACAGGTCTGAGCTGGCTTAGAGCTTCCACCCCAATCCCAGAAAAGGCCCGCGGGACTTAGAAAATTCCAAAAATAAAAGGCACTCCACAGTATGGGGCCCTCTGAGGTGCAGCCTGGGGGCACAAGGGTACTGCCTCTCAGACCCCCATGTGGAGAGCCCGCTGGAAGAGGGAGAGGAGGATTGAGGAAGTGGGGAGGGTGCGAGACCTCCGGAGCTGACACCCTCCCCCACTCACCCAGACCAGGGGTGAGCTGGGCTCAGCATCCTCATCTCCTCGCCCTGTCATTGCCGCCACTAGAGAAATGGGGACAGAGTCTCTGCCTTCTCTACACACGTGCGTGGTCTATGTGACGTGGAGTCGCACTGGGACCCGAATGAGGACATCCCCCCGCCCCTTCGTCATCGTGGGAATACCGTGGAACAAGGCGGGCAAAGGGCTGATCAGCTCCCGTCCCGGCCCGAAGAAAGCTTCCAGGGGAGGCGGAAGGGCCATTCGCCATTCCAGAGCAGGCGCGGGCAGTGGCCCACGGCTCTGGGCCCGGATCTGTGTCCACCTCTGGATACCCAATTCCCGCCACCATGTTGTTGGGAGCAAGGAGGCACAACTGCCCGTGGTGGGAGTGGAGGGCTTAGGTCCCCATTAGAACCGGCAGAGCCCCGACGGGGCCAACGGCGGTGCTGACAGCGCGAACTGCGTCAGGGGCGAAGCCGAGTTCGTGGAGCGCCGTTGCGCACAAGTGCGCGGGTCAGCAGGGCCCTGGTGCCTGGACACCCCCGGGTGCGCGCGGCGTGGCTGCCCTGGTGCCCCAGTGAGAGCATGACTGCGCGCCAAATGGAAGTGGGGGCGCCCCCTGGCCTTTCCTATACCCGGGGCCAAAACCGCTGGGACCGATATACTGCAGGAGTCCGGGCACAGGCTGAGGGGACCGGCCCGTGCGTTGAGCGCCTCGGAGGTGCTCCGGGTCATGGTGGGTGCTGAGCGGGAACACGGAAGGCTGTGTACACAGCAGCAAGCAATGCACCCGCGCTCCCGTCATTACATCGCGCCGCCTTCACCCCCGCTACGATGACCACTCCGCAGATGGGCAAGACGGGCTCAGAGAGATGAAGTGACTTTCCCAAAGCCACACAGCGGGCCAGTGAAGGCACCGCGCACGGTCCAGGAATCTAACCCTTCCTGGGGAGTGGGGAGGGAAGGGCTCGACCCGAAGGGGCCAGGCGGCAGAGAGCCCCGCGTCCCCCGCCACGGGCTAAGACGCAAGGCGGCCCGCCGTGTCTCCACCTGCGCGCCTCGAGCTTCGCTCCGCTCTAGCCTTCGGGTTAACACCGCTTCCTTCCAGAAGCCTAAGGAGGCCCGGGCGGATCAGACGCCTCCCTTCTCCGCAGCCCCATGCCCTGCCCGCAGCTTGAGCTCACCGCCCTTCTCGGGGTGGCGGTGCGGAGACCGGACGGCTCCACTGTGCAGACCCCGAGGGGTAAGGGGCCGGGTAGGGGAGGGGAGCGAGAAGTGGCGAGGTGAGAACTGAGGGGCGAGGCTGAAGGCTGAGCCAGACTTCCAGACGCCAGAGAGACGCCAGGTGAGCCGGGCGGGGGCGGGGGCGAGGGCGGGGGAGGGGGCGGGGCCGGAACCGCGGGGAGGGGGCGGGGCGCCCGGGAGGGCCGCGAGCTGGGAAGGTCCCGGGCGGCCGGAGACGGTGAAGAGGCGGGGCCGAGTCGCGTCCGCGGGGTCCCGGACACAGCGGAGCTGGCGCCACTGTCGGGGTTCCGTTCCATCTAGGTCGGGCAGCCCCGCGGGTCCGGGCGCCGCTGCCCTCCTCTACCTGCTGGGAAGCGCAGGCCGAGCAGGGATGAACCTGGCTCCAGGGCCCCAGCGGGGCAGGCAGGGCCCGGACCAGAAGCTGCGGCACCGACTTCCCACTGCCCGACCGGGCGACGCGGGGCCTGGGAGGGGCGGGTCGGGATCAGAGCGCCGCTGCGCCCCGGAGGCCGCGCTTCCCGCGGCCTGTGCCGAGGAGCCTCTCCGCAAAGAAATAAACACGCCCTGTCTCCCCGACCCCGACTCGGGCCGGTCAGAAGTAGGGAGAATCACGCTCGGGAAAGGGGGGTAGGGAACGACGGGGGAGCCTCGGTGACCAGGGCAGATGCACGCGCGCGCGGGATCCTCGTGCGCCGCGAAGAGGGACGAGCAGAGGAGCATCGGAAGAAGACAGGCGAAGGGGACCGCGGAGCAGCGTAGGCGGAGCCCCGGGGGCACGGCCGAGGCTGCGCTTCAGGAGTGTCCGCCAGGCGCCTTCCCGGGCGGTTGGCGAAACCCGAGGAGGCCCACAGCTCTGGCCTGGGGCGCCGTCGTTCCAGGGGCCTCTGCGCCTCTCTCTGGCGTCTGTCTGGACCCTCAGAGCCCCGGGATCAAGGCGCCCATCCTCTTGATGGCGGGGCGCACCTTTCGCGTGGGTCGGGCGCTGCAGACCAAGCACGCCGAGTGCGTCAAGGAAGTGCCCGGAAACCAAAGACAACGCACCCGGGACCAAGAGGAGGCCGCTGCGCGCAACCTCCCAAACACTGCAGCGAAGTCGGAACCACGTCCGCGTGGGTGACTCGGGCTGGGGAGCCGGGAGGCGGCGCCAAGGACCCTTCAGCCCTTGTCCGTCCTCCCTGATATGTCCTCGACGCGGTCTGAGGCCTCCCCAGCGGAGGCGACGCCCCGGCGCCAGGTGCCCTGGGTGGGGGAACCCGGAGGGGGCACCACGACCAGTGGAGAAGGGGCGGAGGCCGGGAAAGCTGCGTGGAAAAGAGGAAGGGTTAAGACTGAAATCATTCTACAGAGACCACGTTAATGGGTTTAAATGCGAACATTCTAGCTAAGTAGAAAAAAATTTAAAAGCAGAGTGCAAGCTGGACCAAAGTGAGACCCCGATTGGGCGTAGATAAACCTGCAACCAAAACAGCCCCAGGCAGAGATTCAGCCGCTGGGGAGCACAAACCCCTAATGTTTCTTGGTAGTCACTTTTTGAAACATTTTATTATGGAAGTTTTCAAATATAAAACAAAATCGAGGGAGGCTTCAAGTGAATTCCCGTGTACCCACCCCTATCCCACAGTTCTTAAACCGTGACCAATCTAGTTCCCTCTATTGGCCTCCTTTTATTTGTACTAACTTATTTTTGTTGCCTTATTATAAAGCAAACACAGACACATTTTCACTGAATACATAAATGCATTTTCACTGATAATAACTTTTTTTAAAATAACAATACGGCTTAAGTTACAATTCCCAGTAAATCCACACTCAAAGGCAGTTGGCTTTTGATGTTGGAAGTGCAGACGTATTTCCATTTGAACTTCACTGCAATGTCCAGATAATAAAAAGCACTATTACTTTTGTAATAAAAAATAAACAAAAACTCAGCCCCACAGCTCCAGAACGTGGCGAGGGCCGTTTGCTCCCCAGGCGGTGAGGCTGGCTCTTCGACCACTTAGCTGTTCTCGGCGCCCGATCCTGTGTGTCCTTCCGTGCATGACACGCAGAGCTTAGCTCTGTGAGGACAGGGCTGTCCCCTCTCCGGCCCACCTATGAAGGGGTGTCCACCTCTCCGTTTCCCTCCAGGGCAGTCATTCATTGGGTGATCCGCCTTGGGGACCTGGGGATCGGCGAGTCCAGGAGGCCCAGCGAACGAATTTCCGGTGGCTGGGACCCACTTCCCAGCGGGACCCTGGATAGGCATGCCCACTCTGGCTACCAGAAGGGCAGGGTGGCCGAAGGGTATGAAGCATATGAGTGCACAGGCGGGGAGGAACAGCAGCAGCACCAGCGCAGGAGTAGCCCGCTGGCCTCCCTCAGGCGGGTGGAGGAGGGCGCCGGGGAGCCTCAGTGCCACCGTGCTCCAGAATTCCTGCCCCTCTCAGAACCCCGGTTTCCCTTTCCAACAAGTTGCAAGGTGGGGCGGAAGGCCACGAAAGACTCTTGGGGGAGAGGCACTGACAGAAAGGGAAAGAGAAGCCCACCCGGCCTCTCCCGCCTCCCTGGTGCTGCTCACCCAGCCAGAGTCCAGAGCCTTCCGTCTCCGCCCAGCTGGGTTGCCTTCGGAGTGGGCTCAGAGCCAAGGATCTGGGAAACCTCCCTGCATGCGGATGGGTGAGGGCACTGGGCACCCCTCCCCTGCACCTGATGAGGATCTTCTCAGGGTGCTCCCGCCTGAATGGGAGTCGGCGGGCAGAGGAGCCCCATGGGGGTTCGGGAGTGCAAAGGCCAAGCTGGGTGGAGCGCGCGGGGGAATCCACACCTCCAAGGGCACTGCCTGGGTACCTGCCTGTCTCTCATTTTGGCTTTGGAGGAAGCAGGGAGGACAGAGCCCTGGTTGCTGCCTGCTCTCTCGGCCAAGGGCCTGGAGTGGCCAAGGGCGGTGGGACCACCTAGGGGAAATGGGGCAGGCCCAGGTCGGCCTCCAGGATTCCAGTAGCTCCGATCCCTGTGGAATTTGACCTAGGCTGGGAATCTCTGCTCTATAGTCATTTCCCGAGGACAGGACCGTTAAGCCCAGACAGCACATCCTCCACGCCCAAACACCACCGTAGTGGCCTTTCCTGGTGCTCTGGGTATGGACTCTGCCTTTGGAGGTCCCAGATGCCCAACACTGGGGCAGGGTGGGGAGCTGATTTCCCACCTCTCAGGCCAGCTCCAGTGGGGATTCAGCTTTTATAGTCCCAGAGCACTGAGAGGCCCAGAGGAGGTGGGTCACCCACCAGTCCCACCACAGCATGGGCCCTGGGAGCTGGGGAGGGATGTCCTGTTGGCCTCACTCAAATCACAGGAGGCCCAGCATTTACAAATTACAGACCCTAGTTCTCACCATAGGTGTGCGGTGGGGAAACGGAGGCCTGGAGGAGAGAAGGGGTGTGATTACGGTCATGGGGAAGTCGGACTGGGTCCAGTATAGGCGTGTGTCCAGGATGTCCAGAGCCCGCTGCACCCACTGGTGCTCGGAGCTGTGCAACTGGAAGCCCTGAGCAGCTCAGGGTGGCTGGAATCCGGACTCAGGTGCGGAGAGGGTGAGGAGGTGGGTGGAACCCGCGAGGGGGGAGGGTGCATGGCGCATGTGGTGGAGGCAGATCGAAGCCATTCATCTTCTGCCAGTGGTGGAGCCAACGCGCTCGAGGTGCACCCGCGATCGATGGCGCCGGAGCTCAGGACTCAGAGGGGCCAGGCGTACCCCCTGCTTGCCCCCAGCCTGGTCCCGCTTGCTCTCCAGGGCTCTCTGGGTTCCAGGTCCTACACTGCTTTTCTCTGGTTTGTTCTGCCTTTGGTGCCAGCCCCAAGACGCCAGAGCCCCACGGATAACAGGGCAGGGCCAGCTTCCCTGCGCCCAGTTGGCCTAATCCAGCTTGGGATCTGTTTTCTCTCTTAACAGTGTTCCAGGCCCCAGCCCTTCCCTGAGCTCTGGAACGGTCCCCTCCTCCCACGCCGGCTCCCTCCTTCCCACCAGGGCAAGCCCTGAGTCGAGGCCCATAAGACGCTCTCCAGCCCGATTTTTAATTAATTCTATCGAAAGACACATCCACTCTCTCCAAATCTACCCTGCATTTGAACTGTGTAGACCCTGCACCCTCTGATGCTGGCTGCCAAGACTAGGCTTGGTGACCGGTTCCATGGTTCCCTAGTAGCCAGAGTGGACGATCTAAAACTGGCACCCATAGGGCTCTCACCCTTCCAGCTTCCTGGTGGCCCGGAGTCAGGTGACTCCTGGAGTGGTTAAGGCCACCTGTGAAGGGCTCCAGTGCTGACTGAACCGCCTGTAAGGGGATTCGCCTGAGGACCTGGGCGCCACCACTGCGCTAAGAGGCACCCTGCAGTCACCACACAACCTTGGGACTGCACCCACATCGGCCAGAAGCAGTCGAATAAAACAGTTGCATCACAGCGATAACCCCTTTGGCCTGAGCTTCAATGACCCCCTTCTAATAGGGCCGAGGAGGCAGGCGTCCTCGTGGTGCGAGTGCCCGAGGCCTCGCCAGTCTGAGTAGCATCGCCGTTGGGAAGGCCGAGGCAGTGCCACCGGCACACAGTGCCTGGACCTCAAAAGGAGAGGCTACTGCTGCTGCTTCTGCTTGCTGGGCCTGTGTGGGACTCGGAGGCTCCGCGGTGTCGCCGGCTGTGCCCTGGCCCCTTTCCTGGACTCGCAGCGATGTGTCCCGGTGACTGGGTGAGGCCAGCACAAAAGCGACAGAAGCCCAGAGGGCGAGGGTCCCAGGAGCCTGAGTCAGGGGTGCGAGGTCTAGAGGGCCCAGTGGGGAGAGGGGTCAGAAGGGGCGGGGGGTGAGGGTTGGGACTTTGCCTGAGTGGCCACGAAGAGCCTCCTGGGACACCCCTTGCCCCTCATGGCCGCCAACAGGGAGCTTTCATTAGTTTTATTGAGGCCTAACCTGAGTCCCTCCCAGATGAAACCGAGTGAGAACGGACTTCCTGGTTTAGCCAGGAAAGCAGTTGGGGCGCAGCCCCAAAGCAGCGAGGGAGCCCGGACACAAGCCTGGGAAGGGCTGGAGGGGGCCCAGGCAGCAACAAGCCTGCAGGGTGGGGACTGGGTTGGGGGAGGCCTGCTGCAAGGCCAAGGATGGCTGCCCTCTCTAAGAATCTCTCAAAATGCCCACGCTGTCATGACACAGGGCCTGGAACCCAGAGGTGTGGACCTGCGGGCCCAGAGGCTGAAGGAGGCCCCCTGGGCTTGCTGGAACCCTGGCCTCACAGTAAGGAACCAACTGATGGGCCGGGGCGGGGGCTGGGGCTTGGAGGACATGATTCTGGGTCAGGAGCTGGATGGTAGAGACACACAGATGCACTGACCCCCAGGCCCACTGCACGCTCTCCTTGGCCGTCTGGCGCTACCTTGATTGCCCCAAGACCAGCGTATGGCCCGGCTGCTGCCCATCTCACCCGGGGAGCGTCTACACCCAAGTGAAGCAGGACAGGGAGATGGGTTTTCTTAGGGGCTCAATTCTGCCATGGAAGTGAACTTTTCAAACCCGAACAACATATTTCTCCTAGGCTGAAACACACACCAAATACTGTCCCTCCCCCACCCAAAAGCAGCCAGCTTGGGGCTGATGGAGGTGGGGTGGCCCCAGTGGCCCAGAATAGGGGAACGAGCTCTCCTTCAGATCCCATCATCACCGGCCGTGAACAGCTTTGTCCACCACCTGAGTCCTCCAGCTGACCAGAGACCAGAGACTGCAGGCCGGGAGGAAGACCCAAGGCAAGAGCACGGTGGCCTGACCTTGAGTGCCACGGCTTTGTTTTGGCCCAAAGAAAAATTCCATACCAGATAGGAAATGGCTGTGCACACGGGGCGCCACACAGCCGAGCCCCTGTGACGAATGCCAGCGGCCATCAGTGGGCCTCTGCCTTCACCTGCTCCTGCCTTTCGGTTTCAGTCAAGGCTCTAGAACTTGGGACACACCATCATCACTTCCTCCTCCCTACTCCCGGCTCCTGGCCCTTCCCTGTGGTGTGTCATAGAAGAGGGGCACAGCGCTCATCACCTCCGACTAGGGTCTGCCCTGCCCACCTGCACCTGGCCCAGCCCTGGGCTCCAGGTGTCCCCAGTCAGCACTGAAAGGTGCTCCCAGGAGGGACGGCACCCAGCGCAGCTTGAGCTGTCTCTGCCCTCGTGATCACAAAGCAGTGAAACTGTCCAGAAAATGTCCCTTTTTATTCCATACGCAAATAAGTAGATTCATTTAAAAAAACAACAACCCGGAGGCTGCGACGTCTGCAGAGAGCCCCAGCCTGCCTGCTCCTGGAACGGACGATGGGACCCACAGGTCCAGGGTCCTTTCTCCACCAGCACCCGCGAGAGGGGTAGCACAGCCCTCCGGGCCGGCCTGCTGTCTGGGTCCCAGGAAAGGGACGTTTAGTGTTGGGGGCAGTCTGTGGGGACAGTCACCGCTCAGCCTTGGACAGCCGGTTCGTAGTTTTCCTTTGTTGCGCTGGGCTTGGCCTGAGGGCAGCTGCCCCGGGTGGCCATGGCCGACCGCTCCTCGCTGAGGCCGGGGGGTGGCCGTGGCGCCGGGGGCTGCGCAGCCCAGAGTCTCTGCATGGCCCCCTGTTCGAGTGGGGATCCAGCCTGGCAAATGGGTGGGGCGTCCCATTACATTCTAGAGGCGCTCCCCACAGAAGCTGAGGCCCGCCCGGCCGCGGCCTGCGCTCCCGAGGTATCTAGGAGGCCGCAGGAGCGACCATCCCTTCCCTAACGCCCCCTGAGCCCTGCGCCTGCCGCTGAATCGCGCGTCCACACAGGTCCACAGGGTCGTGGGGAGAGGGCCCGGCAGGCGGGGCTCACACCAGGCCAGGCATCTGCGCCCGCAGAAAGGGCACGGAGGCGGCGGCCGGGAAGGCGGCCAGCGGGTAGGCGAGGGCCCCGGAGAAGCCGAGCAGCGGTGGGGGCGGCGCGGGCGCGGCGGGCGCCAGCGGGAAGGGCAGGGTGGCCGGGGGCCCAGCGGCGGCTGCGGCCGGGGGGCTTTCGTGGTAGAGCACCGGCACGCGGACCAGGCGCTGCGCTCCCGGCGGGGACAGGCTGGCCGCCTCCAGCTCGGCTGCCAGCTGCCGCTTCCACTTGTTGCGGCGGTTCTGGAACCAGATCTTAACCTGCGTCTCGGTGAGCTGCAGGGAGGCGGCCAGGCCGGCGCGCTCGGCGCTGCTCAGGTAGCGCTTCAGGTCGAAGGTGGATTCCAGCTGGAAGACCTGGCTGCGGGAGAAGACTGTGCGCGTCTTCTTCTTTCGGCCGCCGCCCACGCCAACGCCGCCGCGTGTCTCCCCAGCCGCCGCAGGGACCTCGGCCAGCTCCGACGCCTCCTCCGTGCCGGCCGCCGGGCCACGCGCCGCCAGCTCCGCTGCCTCCCGCTGCACCGCTCCCGGCCCGGGGCCTCGCGGCCAGGCGCCCTCCGCACGGCCCATCTCCTCGCCCGTCTCCGGTGAGTCCCGGTCGCTGGCTGCAGGGGAGAGAGGGCACCACCGTTGGTTCTAGGGCACTGATTACCAGACTCAATCACTGAGGCCAGCCGTCCCCACCTTGAGGTCGCTCACAGCCACAAGCAGGAAGACCTTCCAGCACAGGGCTGGGCACCCAGCAGCTCTGGGGATGCACACATTGTCAGAACCGTGGGAGGCGGCCCAGAGACCAGGCAGCAGCTCCAAACCAACACCCCGCAACACACCAACACCCCGCAACACACAAACACAAACGCACACCCATGCCAGAGGACAACAAAGGGATGCAGAGCAAAGAAAAGAAACAAAAATACTACACAAGAAAAGCAGGCTGACCCCAGTGAGCACTCCCCACTCCCAGCTGCACCACGGGCGGCCCGGAAAAACACACAAACCTCCCGCAGAAGTCCCGGGACAAGAGGAAAGATGTCCTTCCGAGAAATGTTCACACCGAAAAACAAGCACAGGACACCCCCTGCCACCTGGCATCCAGCCCCACGCCAAGCTCCCCAGAAGGAGGAATGAAGAGTTCACAGGCCTCTTCCCGCGCCCTCTGCCCGCTTGCACAGAAACATTCCATAGTAGGAGGACAAACCAATGCAAAGGATCCCCAAAAGAGAACTCCCATCAGGTGAGGCTGTCACCCCCACACCACATACTCCTGTAGCCCTGACCCAGTGTCCACAAGGCAAGTCCACACCAGCCACAATCATGCTCAAAGGGAACACGGGCACATGCCACTCTAAGCAACATGCAGCAGCTGAGTCCTGCCCCAAACACTTTCAAGACTGGAGGTTCAGCCTCATGGGTTTGGGCTGAAACCAGAAGCTCACAGGCGGTGTCTGAGTTCATGTTCCAAGTACCAAGCTCCCCTACTCATCTCCTAGGAACAAGAAGAGGCCCACAGGCTGGCAAGGGATGATGTCAGGTTAAAGAGGCCAGCCGGGACCCAGAAGCACTTGCCCAGATTGAAGAGGGCAGCAGCCTCCCACTGCAGGGCTCTGGAGGCTGACTCGGACCCGCTGCTTTTCTGCCTTGGTCTGGAGCCTCCCGTGCAAAGGGCAGGCCCAGGTTGACAGGTTAGAGGTGGAGGCAGAGTTTGGCCTGGCCCTGGGCCCCTGGAAGGCTGTGCACTCGGCCGGGTGTGTGCCTGCAGTGTATTTGCAGCATTTGCACGCTCATGCAAGGGGTGCGCACACTGGTGGGCTTCTGTGCGTGGTTCCAGCTCTGTGCCTCATGCCCAAGGAGTGTGCACATCCCACTCACGCCCGTGGCCAATCCCCATGGTGTGTGCCCTCACAGCACCCACAGGGGAGTCAGGCAGCAGGTTGTGGTGCATGCTACTAGATCTGGGGAGTCCCTGCCTCCCCCCAATACCCCAAACTCACAGAGGCCCATGTGCTGCCACAAGGCACTAGGCTGACTTGCCAGCTCCAGTGAGGAAGTGGGACCCTAACCCGCATGGCACGAAATAAGGGGGAGCCGCCTCTGCAGGGGTGCCACCTGGGCTGCAGGAGGGGATGCACCCCAGGGATGAGTGGAGAACAAATTTCACCCTGAGAAACCCTTTCCATAGTCTCCCCCAGAAGGGCACTAGACAGAGTCGCTCGATTTCTGGGAAACCACGGAAGCCCTGCTCAAGTCTACGTGAAGGGGGTGGGGGCCTAGACTTCCTGAGTGTGGGTGCCGAGATGTGGGGGCTTTTGCAAAGGATCACTCCACGACATGGAAAGGGTTATCTAACAAGTGAGTGAGGGTCGTAGGCCACTTACTCCCCAGCACACACTAATATTCATACAGAGGACAGCATGGATCCCAGAGCCGGAGCCTGCAGAGGGCCCACGTCCTCAGCTGGCCTCAAGGTCCAAAGGCTGTGTTGGGGGTGGGGGGCTGGCTAAGCCAGGGCTTGGGGGGTTGGACTGGCTTTCCTGGCCTTCCTCCCAGGGGTCTTCCTAAAGGGCAGGTACAAAAGGGAGGCAGCGACCCTGGAACCCTGGGGAGGGGAAGCAGAACTAAGGGGTCAGATACCCAAGCAAGGGGGCAAAGGGGTTCTGGGGTTGAGAACCCCCAGCCCCAGTCTCAAGCCCTCAGCAGGGAACAAAGGCAAGGAGGGGGAGGGGCAGAAAAAGAAGAGAGAGGGGTTGGACTGGGGGCCTCAGAACAGGCTCCCTTCTTGCCTGGCACAGCCCATGCCCCTCAAGGACCAAGAGGGAGACCCAGGCCCCTGCCCCAGGCTGTCTGCAGCGGGCACAGAGGAAACAGGACTCTGGGGGGGCACAGCTGCCATGTTAGATGGCTCCCCTCCCCGGCCCCACCCCCACAACACTGCACCCTCTGCTCAATGCCCCCTTTTATTTTTCCACGTCTGATGCTACTTTGTCTCCCTTTCCCTCCATCTCTTCCTCCTCTTTTCTCTCTCGGATCACTCTTGGGTTTCTTTTTCCTGCATCTTCCCCTCCCCCCACCCCATTCTCTCTCCCGCAGCACATTCCTTTCTTCCTCCATCCTCCCATTTTCTTTCTCAGCCTCTTTCGCCTTCTCCTGTATCTTTCCCTATCCTCTTTCACTCTCCTTTCTTTTTTCTTTGGCCTCCTGTTGTCCCCTGTCCCCAGCCTCCCTGGGACCGGAGGAGCCCGGCAATGGGTGAAGCTATGGCCTGCAAAACCTCCTCGTTAGCGGAGCTCCTGCCCCAGAGGGTGGGCCTCCAAACCAGCCCAACCAGGGGCTCCTGGGGGCCCCACAAGGCCCAGACGCCGTTCCACAGAAGGGAGAGGATGGCCCAGAACGGGCGGCGACGAGCCCGAAGTCCCCCAGCAAATGCGCAGGGAGGAAGTCGGGCCCCACCGCCTGACCCACCCTCCCCGCGCCCTCACTCACTGTCAGGACTGAGGCCGCCTCCATAGCCACCGTGCGCCCGTGGGTACCAGCGCGCTGCGCCTCCGCAGCCCAGAGCGAAGGGCGGCCCGGGACCGGGGGGCGGCCGAGGACCGAGGCCCAGCGCGCCCGGCCCGAGCAGCGCACGGGCCCGCGCCTCCCCGCCGGGCCCGGTGCCCGCGAGCAACTGTCGCCGCCGCTGTAGCCGTCGCCGCCGCGCCTGCTCGGCGTCCTCGTCTTCGGGGTCGTCGTCGTCCTCCTCCTCGTCCTCCCGGCTGCCGTCGCCCTGGGTCGCGCGCCCTGCGCCCTTGGCCTCGGCCGCCAGCAGGTTCTCGATGAGGAAGGAGGAGGCGCGGGCCGGCGTGGCGCGCCCGGGCTCCGTCAGCTCGTCAGGCATCGCGGCCGCGGGCTTCTCGGGCTCGGCCGGGCTCCTCGGTCCCCGCTGGGGATGGTGGCGCGCGGCTCCCGGGCGCACGCGCGGGCCGGCCCTGGAGCTGCTACCCGGACCGCTGGCGTCGGGCCCCGCAGGGCAGGCGGCGGCCTCCGCGCCGGGCTGGGCTGGGCCGGGCCGGGAGCGAGTGCGCGCCGACAGCTGATCGGGCAGCCGCCTGGCTCGCCTTTCAGGTCGCCGTTCTGGTCGCCGCCGGGGCGGCCTCACTGGGGGCGGGGAGGGGGAGGGGCCAGCAGGGGCGGGGGGTCGCGGGCTGGGCCGGGAGGGCGGCCCGCTGAGCCCCGAGGACGCTGCGCCGGCCCCGAGCGCGGCCGCTGCCGGGAGACGCTGCCCAGACCTGAGCGCGCGGGCAGCGGCGCAGCCGAGGGCGGGCGGCCCCGGGCGCAGGCGGGGGGTCGCGCCGGGTCCGATCCCGCGTGATCAGTTCCCCCGTCCCGCGCCACCCGCTCCGTGGGGGCGGGGCCTGGGCTGAGCGGCCACCCATTGGCTGTGGGGCCCCGATGAGGAACGGGCTGGCCAATCACCGTCCGGCCAGAGCCGTAATTACCCCGCTGCGAGGAGGGTGTTGGACCGACCGTGAGTAACTGTGTGTGTGCGCGCGCGTGGTGTGTGCACGAGTGTGCGTTTGAATGGCTGTGTGTGTGTGGAGGGCGGCGTGGAGACCCCGGGGCTCCCAAGAAACTGCAAGAGGCTGGGCCACATTTTTTTATTTAAGACTTTGTGTGTAATTTAAAAATGGGAACACTGCCAAAACAGGACTGCGAAATGTGGCATATCTTAATATTTGCACTTAAGGAAAGATGCTTTCAATGCCAACTGTAGTTCGGTAGAACTCTTCAGTTCCCGGGCTCGGTACCAGTATGTAAGGAAGTGCAACCACAGGGCTCCGCTGGCAGCCCGCTCGATGTTACCAAGCAGGTCTTCACCGCGCCAGCACCCCCACCGCCCGCTCCAGGGGAAGCCAGGGCCTTAGAAGGGGGTGGGAGCTTTTGGCCCAGCCTCTGCCCTGGGCGAAGGTCTTGGGGGCAGGCCCCTTCCCTCGTTGTGCCTCCGTTTCTTCGCTCTAAAGGGGTGGGGAGGTCCTCCCATATCTGCAGCGGGAAGTTCGGGAACATAACGCACCCTGGAGCTGTCTCCGTTCCGGCGTCGACTTCAGACTTACCTACATTAGGTCACTGCGCGGACGCGCGGGTTAAGCCGGCTTCACCCGATGCGAGTTATTTCGCAGAGATACATCCATCCTCCCAGGGCCAGCCCCGGGCCCCTCTCCACCCGAGTACCGCCCGCGTTCCCGGAGGTGACCGCAGGCCTGGGGCTTCCGCTTTGTTTAATTCTTCCAAAAAAGCACGGTGGAGGGAGCATCGCCCCCATTTTTCAGCGGAGAAAACTGACGGGAGAAGAGAGAAGAGACTCCCCCAGAGGGTAGGTGGCTCCGGCAAGCCTGGAATTCCTTCACTGATGCCCCGGAGTCCGGCTGGTTGGCAGGGCGGTGGGGCTCCAGGAGCGGCTGAGGCCTAGCCAGCTGGGCCCTCGCGGCCTGGGTTCGCAGAGACAAAATGGTGCGCCTCTTGGGAGCGTGTCCTGGGTGCGCTTTCTGGCGGCTGCCAGGAAGGACCTCTAGTGCTCAGTGGCTGCCGCGATCTCGAGTGGGAGGACTTTTCCAGGGACTCTAGGACAAGATGCTCAGCCCATCTCCTTTTCCCCGGCATCCTAGCCCAAGAGGGGCAAAAATAATCAATGACAGGGACTCCCCGGGTTGTTTAGCCTGGAGGCAGCCCACAGATGGGGGCTCCTCCCTCCATGTTGTTGATGAGGCCACTAAGCCAAAGTGGAGAGAGTTGGGATCTTAGGGAGGAGCTGAGGTCTCCCAAGCCCTGCTCCCTGGGATGTCCAGGGTCAGAGAGACTCCAAGGAGCAGAGGTACCCCAGCCAGAGGGGGCTGGGCCAAGGAAATTGGGACAGAGCGCCCGATTCGATTAGTTTGGAGCGCTAGCCTTGGGGCAGACACCGTCTACACTAGGGCGCTTTTGACAGATAAGGAAACTGAGGCCAGAGAGGGGCCAGATAAAAAGACAATGTCTGTGGGGAGAAGTGTTTTTCTGATAGCCGTCCAGTTCACACAGGCTCCCCTGGGTCTGTCTGTGAGAGGCGCCTGGACACTCCTGCCCCGTCCAGCCACGCGCCTGCCCAGGTTGGTGGCATTTCCATTTCTCCCTCAGGCCTGGCGGGCTTCCTCTGAGTCTGAGTTCTAATTCCCTCCGCTCTAGGGTTGTGTGGCCCTGGAGGAGGCGTCTTGTGTCTCTGATCCTATAACTGCGGACGATACGCGTCCCTGACGGTGCCAGGTTGTTGGGAGTAGAGGCTGGCCACCACCAGGCGGGTGGTGGCCCTGAGCGCATAACGCTCGCGGGTGTCTTCCCACTGCCTCTGGGGGGCGCGCATGAGAGGGGCGCTTCCACACACTGCCGCGTGGGGCCTGGGATGGGAGCGAAGAGGGGCGGTGGATCCGAAGCGAGGACCGTGCACCCTTTTCCTCTGGGCGCCCGCTGTCTGGGGGTTGCGGAGAGAGCGGGCGCCAGCTGGGCAGAGGCTGGCGCGTCCACACTCTGAGTCTCCCACGCCGGGTCCCAGAGACTTTCCAGCGACAACTGCAGCGGCGAAGCCTGGTCGGCGAGGCGTAGGTGTGGGCAATTGGGCAGATTGTTGACGCTAAAGCGCAGGGTCAGACCAGGACGCGCGAACTGACCGGACTGGTGCTCGCCCAGGCCACTGCCTCTGTGCTCGGTGCTGGTGGCGGAGCCGGCCAGGATCGAAGTCCTGCGTCCAGGTGAGTGGCGACGCCCAGTTTGGAGACAGAATTGCCGGCGGAGGCGCAAGCGGGAATCGCTACCTTCGCGGCGTGGCGCATTTCGATGCGCCCCAGGTCAGAGAGGCTCGCAGTTCACGGCCCAAGAACAGTCTCGGGCAGGGCAGGGGGAGGTCGGGATGCGTGCTCCTCGCGCTCGGAGGCTGACCCCGCAAAGCCGTCACCTTCAGTCGGGGTTTCTTGCCCTCCCAGGAGCACGGTTCAAGATTTCTGATCACTGTTGGACACGTCCGAATTCTGGGACTGAAGGACTCCCCCATCCAAAAAAAGCAAAACGTCTCAAAGTGAATGAGTTGTCACCTTCCTGTCTCCCCATCCCTGTGAGGGCACACACACACACACACACACATCCCCAACCCACAGCCATCCTTCCATGCAGGCAGGGCGCCACCAAGCCCACCACCTCCCTGTCCACTTTAGTCCCTAGGCCTCCCTCCCCTCCTGCGCCTGCCGTGCATCCTCTCCCTTGTATCCTGACCCACCTTGGAACTTCCAGCAAACGCCCTCCAGGGAACCCAGTGCCCTTCTCAACTGGACAGGGAGGTGCCTGACAGGGCCTAAGCCCTCCTCACCGGTGTCCCCAGTGCCTCGCTGGATGCTAGCAGCCAGATGAGTGAGTGGGAAGAATCCACAGAGCATAGATCTGGGGAGGCAAACCACAGCCGCTGGCGTATGTTTGGTTTCCTTTTAATCAACTTTTTTCTTTTGGAAGTTTTAGAGAATGTCCATTTTAAGTTTTCTATTTTCTTGCTTGTTTCATCCCTCATCCCAGTCTTACCCGTCCTGACGTCACCTGTGCGGCCCCACGTACCTGCTCTTGTGTCTTAATTTATAGAAACAGTATGACATTTCACACCTCCACTACTTGTCATTTTGAAAGTATATGTTTGAAGTCAATGACATGCTGGCCAATGCAGCAGTGCTCATTTCCTCTTTATGCTCTCTGCACAGCTCAGCACTCACATGTGCCACGGTTCCGTTTCTATCACGTGTTTCCCCAAACCTTCGTAGTGTGGAACAGCCGTGGATCTGATGCTCACTCCAAGTCAGGGATGGCTTCTCTCCAATTCCTGAAATCTGGGTCTCCTCTGGAAGACTCAAAGCCGGGGGCCGGGGTGGTGGACTCTTCTCAAAGCCCATTTGATCTTTTATCCAAAAGCTGATGCTGGCTGTGCACTCAGGGACCCTTGCTTGGGGCCTCCCTATGTGACCTGGGCCTCCTCACAGCACGGGTTCCCAGGACAAGTGGAGGAGGCCGGAGACCGAGGGAGAGAGAAAGAGAGAGAGTGAGAAGAAAGAGAACCCTCTGCTATACTTATTGATTGGAGCAGTCACAGCTCTCATCAAGGTTCAAGGGAAGGGACATGGACCCAGCTCTCAGTAGGAAGAATGTGGAAGTCACATTGTCAGACTGAACAATGAGAAATACCGTTGCGGTCATTCATTCAGCCCAGGTGCCACAGGGCAGCTTATTCCCCTGGTGGGAGATCTATCTGTAGGCTGCTTCCTATCTGTAGGCTGACTCTCCGCTTTTGCAAATAACATTGGAATGAACAGACCAGTCCATCTTCCTGTAAGAGCCTGAGTTTTTCTGGGGATGAATGCCCGAGAATGGGAATCCTGGGGCGATGGATCTATACAGACTCACCTTCGTGAAGCACTTCAGAATCATCCTCCACAAGAGCTGTATCTATTTCTGTTTCCTCACATCTTCGCCAGCACTTGGTCTCATCTGACTTTTATACATGTGACGCTGTGACAGGTATGAAGGGAAACCTGGCATTTAGGGTGATAGGTCTCTGCTTGCTGAGAGGGTGCAGAGCTGAGCATGTTAGGAAGCTAGAGGGTTGGGTTTATATGAGACAGCTGCTGGGAAGGAGGGAAAAATGATGAATTGGGGTCTGGTTATGAAGACCCCTGCATGCCGAGCTGAAGAATACGGTTCGGTTCTTAATTTGCAAAGCAATGGGGAGCCACTGAAGGTTGTTGAGCTGGGGAGGCAGGGTTAAAGCTGGACCCTAGGAAGAGTCATCTGAACACCACCCATATGCAGGGTGGACAGGAGATGAGGAGGTGCAAGTGGAGGTTCTCAGCATGGCCCAGGGATGAGCAATAATGCCCCCTGAAGGCAGGGGCAAGCCGAGGCCCATCTCCACTGTCTGTGGGGCCAGACACAGTGTCGGTGGGTGTGGAGGGAGGGGGCCCCAGGCAACTGTTGGCTGTTGAACCTGGCTGTGTCTTATTTTCTCCCTTTAGCCCCTCACGCTCAGGCCTGGGGAGCAGTACAGTCTCGAGACATTCTCGTTGTCTTAGTCTGATCCCCACGTCGCAGCCAGCAGGAAATGTCCTTGCAGCTGTGGAGATGTGGATCGGAACTAGGGCACCTCACTCCAGCTCAGCCGCTGGCCCACTAAGGTGTGAGCAAGTCACTGCCCTTGAGGGACCTTGATGTACCCCGCTGTTGAGGGGAACAGCAGGAACGCCCACCCCTGGGCTGGGATATGGGGAGTGCAGATCACCGCATACACAAGCCTTCCGCATACACTGAAAGACACCAAATGCTTTGAAAAAGATCAAAATGTTCAAAACCTACTGTGGCTGCCTTCTGGGGGTCTAGCCATTCCTTCCTTGTGAAAGTCTCTCTTTAGAAACTGGAAAGAGAAGAATTTTCATAAACTACCACGCCCAAAGGCTGGTGGACCAGAGGGGAGAGAGGAGAGGAGTGGGGAGAGGAGAGGAGAGGGGAGAGGAGAGGGAGAAGAAAGGGGGAGAAGGAAGTGAAAAGAGAGGGAAGGACTGGGCCTGAGGAGGAGGAGATGGGAGGAGGAAGGAAGAGGGGGTGGAAGGGAAGAAGGAGTGGGAGGAGAAATGGAGGGGGAAGGAGAGAGGAGGAAGAAGAAGGAGAAAAGAGGAGGTAGGAAGAAGGGGAGGAATATGGAGGGAGAGAGGGAAGGGAAGGGGAAGTGTGCAGGAGGGATGGGGAGAAGCGGAGGGGAGGCATGGAGAGGAGGGGAGGGATGGAAGGAGGGGGAGGGGAAAGATGTTGACCTCGGCATTCCTGGTTGCACAGGTCTTGCAGCAATGGGGTTCAGCCCTCTCCCTGCCTGGGCTCACTCATTGTCCCGGGGAGCTGAGGCAGTCATGGGTGCCATTCTCCCAGGGAAGGCCCACCCGGGATACAGCCTCATGTGCGCGTCCCCCAAGCCTGGCTCCCTGCAGGCTGGAGACTGCCCTGGAGCCTGGAACCGCCGGGGCCAGCTGAGAAGCCGCCTCCGCCGCTGGAGTCCCTGGGAAGGGTCCCCTCCACCTGCCCACAGCCAGCCTGGGAGGCAGACGCGCCAACGTCTGGCCCCTCAGCAGGGACAGCGGCTCCAACAAAGCCACCCCCGGGAGGGGACGCTGTGCCCATGGGGCTGCTCCTCCCCCAACCCCAGGGCCTGGCCCCAGCACCTGCCCTGTGCCAGGGCCACCGAGCTGGGCTCCCTTGCCCTCCATTCAATGCAGGATTTCCCTCTTAACTTTCTTTCGATTTTGAAAACTTTCAAACATAGGCAACAATGAAAAGAACTGGGCAGAGAACACCGCCTGCCCCCCTCACCCAGGACCCCATTGTCCCCCGCCCCTCCCCGCTGATTTCATAGTGTGTGGCAGGCCCCAGCACACCTGCAGGTAGACTGGCTTTGGAGAACCTCTCTTCTCAGAGCCCATTACAAAGGCAGAAATTTGTGAGTTTGGGTCCCAGCTCTGCCATGGAAGCAGCAGGAAGACAGCGCTATTCATCGTCCTGAGCACCGCTTCTTCCTGTGGAAATTGACATAATGAGGCCCCGTGGGAGTGGCTGCAGTGGCTGGGGGGAGACAGTGACGGTGCACACCCAACTCGGGACCTCTGTCCCCAGGAAACCGCCTGGAGGATGGATGCTCTGGTGATGACTTTCAGAAGTGTGATGCCAAAATCAGGCACTGGAGGTAGACTGGCCTTGCACTCAGCCACAGCCCGCTGGACGCCAGCCTCTCCCGGTCTCCATGAAGATACGTGAAGCTGTGGTCACTTTAAGGCTCCGGGTGTGGGAATATCTGGTTTTAATATCAAGAGCACCTCGAGGTGGGTAGGTTTTGGTTTCCACAATGGAGCACAGATTTGTGCTCTGAGTTCCCCAAATCACGGGGGACCTGCAGCCGTCTCAGGCTGCCGGTGACCTTGATTAGAAGTGACTTGGGGCTGGAGGAACAAGTCTGGAACACAGGGCTAGGGCAGCCACGGTGGAGAGAGCCTTTTCCCAAGGAGCCAGAGGGAAGTTTCTGGAAACCACAGCCGGCCAGCACAGGAACCCCACCCGTCTAGACGCTTGGCCCTGTTGGTCTTAGAATGGATGCCGTGACCCAACGGGACTTCCTTGCAGCGGGGGAGCACATGCTCATGCTCGGGGTGCTGGGGAAATGTTTGGCCCAGGCATCCCTGGTTAAGTCTGGAGGAAAATTCCAGGCTTAGCAATCCTTTCCGTAGGAGGGTCTTGGGAGGGCTGCAGGAGGTGGGCAGGGAACAAGCCCCCCACCCAACATCGGAGGCGGGCAGAAGTCAGAAGCTTCAACAGGTTTGGCAGCCACTTTCCACCTGAGCCTGGCTGTAGACTCCGTGCTGGGCTCCTCGTGGATGCTCAGAAAACCCCACAAGGACTTGTGGGGCCTGATGATGTCCCCCATTCACCCCCCTCCCCCGCCCCAGCTTATTCCCTGCGCAGGATTTGTAATTTCAAACAATGGAAACACCCTTCATGTGGATCAGAAGCTGTGACGCACACAGGCGTTCATCGTCACACTGGTGCGTTATGCAGCTGGGAGAAAGAATGGGGTGCACTTGTTATGCGGCCACCCCGAGGACCCATTGAGGTAATCAGACAAGTAGAGGACAGGAAGTGAGTAAAGGGTGGGGGGTTAATGTCCATTGGTACCTACGTCAACATAAGAACCATGTGTCGACGTATGCATTGACGGTTGATGATGTGTGCCTCTATCATGGGTTGAATTGTGTCCTAAAATTCACATGTTGAAGTCCTAACCCCCAGAACCTCAGAAGGTGACGTTATTTGGAAATAGGGTGGTTGCGGATGTAATTAGTTCAGATGAGGTCATGCTGGAGATGGGTGGGCTCTGATCCAACATGACTGGTGTTCTTATAACAAGGGAAAACGTGGACACAGACACGCACCCAGGGAGATGCCGTGGGAAGGTGGAGGCGGAGGTGGGGACAGTGCTGCCACAGCCAGGGACCCACCAGAGGCTGCAGAAAGGCCTGGGCCTCATCTTTCCCTAGAGCCTCAGAGAGAGCCTGGCTCTGCCCACAGCCTGATGTTGGCTTCCAGAACCGTGAGAGAATACAGTCCTGTGGCTCTAAGGCACCCAGCATTCCTTGGCTCCTGCAGCCCCCGGACAAGGTTATCTGTGGGCAGGGATGAGAGAACCTCGCTGGAGCAGAACCGGGTGCTGGAAACAGAGGTGGGACGACCTCTGCCTCTCTGCGCTGTTCAGAACTTCATGGTTTCAGTTTTGTACCAAGTGCAAGTATTAATTTTTTAAAATGTCTGCTGCCCTTCTTGAAAAAAAAAATGGAATGGAAACACTGAAAAGTCACCAAAGAGATAACTTAGAGGTGGTCAGGGGTGTCTGGCCCTTAGTAGAGGCTGACAGAAGCTTGGGGTACGAAGAGGCTGCCCAGCTGTGGAAGGAGAGTAAAGGATGTGGAAGAGGTGTGGGGGTCCTGAAAGACTGGGAGGGCCCTCCAGGTTCACATGTGCAGGTGTGTGGGGGCGGAGCAGGGCAGCAGTTTCACATGCCATGGACCCACCGATGTGAAAATGAGGGAGAGTCAGAGCGTAGCCATGGAGGCCCTGGGGTCACCCCCTTACCTACTGGAGGAGGCAGGAAGGGTGGGCTCTGCGCCCAGACCCACCAAGTCTGCTCTGCCACCCTGAGCCTCCACTTGGCCTCTCCGAGCCTCAATTTCTTCATCTGATAAAGGAATGAACACATACCAACACCAGCAAAAAACACAGTTCATACAGCACCTTGACTCGGGCACCCCCCACAGCCCCACAAGCCGAGGTGGGGCACAGGTCGCTGGCGCAGCCCATCTGAACCCAACGTGCGTAAACCTGGCCCATGCCTCACGGTGCCCAGGCTGCCCCTTTGGGCCCTCAGTGTCTCTGCCTTTACCTCAACCTTCTTTTTCCACAACAAAAATGGCTTTTTATAGTATATAAATACATGCTGAACACAGAGAACTGGACAGATCCTCCACGATGCGGAGATAACAGGCCGTCTGTAAGCGCACCACTCTGAGACTCCCGTCAGCATTCTGGGATGGTCTCACCTGGCATCTCTTTAGGCAGACAAAGGCCGAAACACACACGCACACCCCACACTCACCGACGCCCACAGACCCATCCCTCCACACCCCCACACAGTCACATAAACACACACCATCCACACCTGCACCCACACAGCCCCACCCTCACACACACCCACGCCCCCGTCCACACAGAAACACACCCACACACATCCATCCAGGTCCACACAGGCCCATGCACACAGACACAATCTACAAACCTATTCACACAGACCCACACCCCTGCCTTAACACACACATATGAAAACACGTGCCTGTCCACACCCACACAACCCCTTATGCACACCTCTCCCCATAAACTCCTCACACAGTCCCCTGTCTACACTGACACACACCCCTGTATACACACCTCACCCTGTAAACGCCTCACACATCCCCCTACACACACACACACACACACACACACACACACACACACAGACACACACCCCACGGGTCCGTATAGGTGCCCACACAGCCCTACCCCCTTGACATGCCCCCACAGCCATACATCCTGCCATGTCACCCAGATGGATACCAGGTCCCGTTCCCGCCCATGGGGTCACAGGCTCTGTGTGGCCCATCAGGAACCCACCCATTCCCATCCCATCCCCCTCCAAATCCTGCATCGCCAGCTCGATGTCTTTACACATCGCTCTGCCTCTCGATGCTCAGTGAATCCTGCAGAGACGCAGAGCAACGCAAGCACGTGTGGCTGCAATGTACAAGCAGTAGGGTTTCGGGCTCACCGTTTTCTGTGTGTTCTATCCATGACACACATTCTTCTGCCTGTTTCTTTCCCATCCAGTGGGCCCTGAAAACCCCTCTCTGTCTTCTGGTTTAGCCTCCACTCCCTGTTTAGTGGCTGCACTCATTTCCATGGTGGTGGTGGTGGGGCGTTTCTGCATCTCCCCATTCACGGGATTCACTCTGTCTCCAGTGCTGGTGACAGCAGATAACCCTGCAGCCGTGTGGGCCTGTGAAGAAACCTGCCGCTGCCTCCTTAGGTGCTGGTGGGGCTGTTTCTACCAGAGAGATTCCTGGGTGTAGTACTGATGGGCCTAATGGGCTGGGTGTGTGTAGTCACTGATGTTACTCCAATTTTCCAGATTGCTTTTCCAAAAGACTGACCCCCCTGGGCCTTCCACCAGCGCCATAGAGGACGCCTCTCCCAAATCCTCTGCCTATAGGTAGCACAGCTCCTTCTTAAGGCTTTGCCAGACTGAGGAGTGTAAGTAGTGGCTACTCTCTGGGGTGTAAATTGGTCTTTACTCAAAGTCAGGGGACTGGTGAGTTGCAGTGAATATGTCACTGGCACCCACCCTTCTGGAGCCTGGTGTGGGTGGGTGGGTAACTCAGGATGGGAGGGGAGGCCTGCATCTGCAGCGGGTGCGGCGGGGAGGGCGGGGAGGCGGGGAGGGCAGGGAGGGCGCTGCTGAGAGTCAAACTGGACTCCTCCTCCTGCCCGCCCCCTCCTCCCTACCCCCTAGGCTCCTCTAAGCACCACACCATCTGCCGCACCCCCTGCTGGCTGCCGAGATTGTCATCAGACAGAGGACAGAGATGACATCTGTGTGCACCCCAGCTCAGGGCTCTGCGCACAGTAGGTGCTGGCGTTTGAGTGGGCAGAGGCAGCCGGCCCCCTCTCATGCCAGTGGCCTGTGGAGACCGTTACCTCCTCACTGCCAAGAGCTGGTCGTCCCAAACCAGTGAGCTTTTCAGCGGGTCCCACAGTGGGTGAAATGTTTGCCGGCTGGAGGGGTGAACTTAGGTCACATCATCGCCCACCCATCTATCATCATCTACAGGAATCTTTGCTCCTCCAGAGCTGCTGGAAGGCAGAGGCTTGGCCTGGGGAAGACTGGAAATGGAATCGTCTTCATCCTGTGGCACCCTCCCGCTGAGCCATTTCTCATTACAGGGCCTTGCAGAGCGTATCTGTTCTGGCGTCTGCAGGACAAGTTTGATAACTGAAGTGTGAGAAGGATTTTGAAGGAGACAAGGCAAGAATGAAACTTTCTCTCCCTGCCCCACTCAAACTCTCTTATGGCTGTGTGTAGGCAGGGTGGAGGAGAAGCACCCTCCCCACCAACATTCCTGATGGAGGGACCCCCAGACCTCAGGCGGAGAGTGGAGGCCCCTGAGACCTCAGGCAGAGAGTGGAGGCCCCCCAGACCTCAGGCAGAGAGTGGAGAGGGTCCCTCAGACCTCAGGCAGAGAGTGGAGGCCCCCAGACCTCAGGCAGAGAGTGGAGGCCCCCAGGCCTCAGACAGAGAGTGGAGGCCCCCAGACCTCAGGCAGAGAGTGGAGGCCCCCAGACCTCAGACAGAGAGTGGAGGTCCGCAGACCTCAGGCGGAGAGTGGAGGCCCCTCAGACCTCAGGCAGAGAGTGGAGGCCCCTGAGACCTCAGGCAGAGAGTGGAGGCCCCTCAGACCTCAGGCAGCAAGTCCTGCTGGGTGGCTCTGTAGCCGCAGCCTGGGCTCCGAGGTTGCTACGACGCTGAGTTTTGTCTGTGAAACACCAAAGACCAATCCACATACACCTGGCCTTAGTCCACCTGTACCCGTAGAGTTCCACAAACCTGGTGGCATAAAACAACAGAAATGTATTCTCTCCCAGTCTGGCGGCCACAAGTCCAAAGTCAGTAATGCCGGGTTGAAATGAGGAGTCAGCAGGGCTGCACTCCACGGGAGGCCCTCGGGGGGGGCTCCTTCTTGCCCCTTCCAGCCCCTGGTGGCTCTGGGCGTTCCTTGGCTTGTGGCCACATGGCTCCAAACTGTTTCTGCCTTCATGCGGCCTTCTCTGTGTGTCTGTGGCCAGGTCTCCCTGCCTCCCACTCATTAAGTATATACATGATTGCATTTAGGGCCTACCTGGATACTCCCTGCTCATCTCAAAATCCTTACCTAATCTCATTATCAAACACCCTTTCCTGCAAAAGGCAACATTTACAGGTTCTAGGTTTAGCACCTGATATCTTCGGGAAATAGTGCTGAGGTTTGAATGTTTGTGTCCCTCCCAAATTCATGTTGAAACTTAATTCCTAGTGCAAGAATATGACAAGCTAGGGCCTTGGGGAGGTAAGAAGTGCCCTTATAAAAGGGCTTGAGGGGGCGAGTTCACTTTTTTTTTGTCCTTCTGCCATGTGAGGACGCTGCAAGAAGATGCCATAGTAGAAGCAAAGAGCAAGTCCTCCTTAGACACCAGATTTGCTGGCACTTTGATCTTGGATTTCCCAGCCTCCAGAACTATGAGGAATACATTTCTGTTCTTTATCAATTACCCAGTCTATTTTGCTATACAAGCAAAAAGGGATGACAGCAGACAGTATTCAGCCCTAAATGCTCATTAGCCTCCGTGCAGTAGCTTGAGCCAGGGCCCCTCCAAAGTTATGTAGCGTATCAGCTGTTTGCTCCTTTGGCCTCGGTGAGGCTACCCCAGGGACTGCAGAAAGTGCGATTTTGAGCCACAGAACAGAAGTGTTGACTCGTCTAGGAGTCAGCCTGGAAAACTAGTTCAAAGGGAGGCTCCCAAGCAATGGCCCAGTGTAGAAAACTCCTAACAGGGATCATTTTGCTGCTGCTCACATACCTGTCCTGACAGGGAACTCACTACTCTGCAAGGTTACTCATTTTTTTTTTTGCTCCTACCACCCCCTTGACTTAAGCCTGTAATGATGTGCAGAAAGACTGTGCTTCTGAGATGCTGAAAAGGGACCTCAGTAGTGCAGAGGCCAGCTCTTTGAGAACATGTGAGAGCTAGCTGGGTGTAAGGAAGAGGCAAGTTCCAGGCTAGTGCCCACCCTTCAGGCTGAAACCAGCTGGAACCAGGCTGACCAATTATAAGGACAAGAAGGCGAGTGGGGATCTTCCATGAGAAGGGCCAGCAGAGAGCCTTGGGAAGAGATGTGTCTAATGGGGTCTCAAGCTGTGCGTTGGGGTCCCTTCCTTTGACAAGACAACCTCCTCCCGCCATCTTCAGTGCATCAGAGAAGCCAGTGTGGCAGCATGGCTGGGTTTCTCAGAAGCCAACAGGGGTGGGCTCCGGGGATGGGAAGGAGGTGGTCTGAGTCTCCTCTAACCCTGAACTTCGGTCTCCCTGCAGGCTGGGGGCCTAGCCCGAGCCCCTGTGGAGGTATCTGGGGTGGGGGATAATCATGTCTCCCACATCTCAACTCCCTTGGCCCCTTCTCCCTGTGGCCCCTCTTGGTGGTAAGCCCACTTGGGGCTGGCTACAGCCCTCCTTGGGGATAACTGCTCACACTGGCAGGAGGCAGGCAGGAAGGGGGACCCCTTAGTGGGGGCGACAGCTGGATGGATGACTGGGCTCCCATCAAATCTGACACACTCATCACCCAACTCCACAGAAGACCCAAAGCCTGTGCTGCCAGAGGGGACAGGGTGGCAGCAGCTCTCTGAATGCCCCAGGCCTGAGAAGGAGTGGGTGAGTGGGCATCTGGCTGCCAGGCCCCAGTCAAGCCGGGACCCCCTCCCCCCGGTTAGAGGCCTCTAGACAGACACAGCCCCTATGACAAGCCTGGATACCTGTGCCACCTTTAGGGGAATGAGTCTGTTGCACTGCGGTCTCTGACTGCCCTCAGCTCCACAGGGCCCACGTGAATCCCTGTGCCTATGATTCTTAGCAACCAACGAAGTTCATTTTGTCCCCACCAGTCTATTCTGAGCACCCCAAAAGGGATCATTTGGATGGGGCTGGGAGGGGCAACCAGCACATGGACATTTGCAAGGTGGGGCCTGGTTCTCAGTCCAGGGTGCCCCCGGCGGACTCACAGCACCGAGATGAAGATGGGGACAGACACCAGCTTTAAAATAACCTCAAATAAATTTGCCCACAAACAGTGTCCCAATCACCCTACATTACATTCTCAGGACCAGGGGAGGACGTGCTAAAACAGCACAACTCCTTGGACCTGAATTGTCCGGGCCAACCGTCTGTCAATGAACCAGATTTTGCTGGAATTCTCTCGCTTCTTTAGCACAGTGGAAGTATTCATCTAAGGTTAATTTATTCTGAAGGCTTAAATACGCAAAGTAGAGCCGCGCTGGGATGAACGTCCTGTCCCAAGGCCGCCACCTCCAGGAAGTTTGTGGAACTGACTTGAAATAACAACACCCTCCTTGGACAGAGATGCGGAAATGCGCATTTTCCCTCTTAAAACTCCCCTGTGCCTGTAATCCCAGCACTTTGGGAGGCCGAGGCGGGTAGATCACGAGGTCAGGAGTTCGAGACCAGCATGATCAACATGGTGAAACCCCATCTCTACTAAAAATACAAAAATCAGCTGGGCATGGTGGCAGGCGCCTGTAATCCCAGCTACTCAGGAGGCTGAGGCAGGAGAATCACTTGAACGTTGGAGGCAGAGGGTGCAGTGAGCTGAGATGGTGCCACTGCACTCCAGCTTGGGCGACAGAGCAAGACTCCATCTCAAGAAAACAAAACAAAACAAAAAAAACTCCCCTGCATCTCCACACCCACACCATTTCTACAATTCACATGGTATCTTAAAGTTTCCAATGTGGTTTTGGGCCTACGAAGGAGAAGAACTGAAGTGAGCTTTAAAAATGACTCTTCCTTGTTCCTAAAAATGCTAATCGGACCATCTCCAGGGGAATCCTATATGCACAGCCACCCCGCTCCCCGCCACCAAATATGCAACCTAAATCTGACAGCAATGACCCAGGGCTCCTGGCAGGCCAGACCAGCAGGTGAGGTCAGGGGTGGGGGGCGGGCAATACTGCTGTCTGCAGAGTCCTGTGCTGTTCACATAGTCCTCCCAGCCAGGAATGTCTCATCCCCACCGGGGCATTGCCTCTTCTGTCCTCATCTCATAGACTACAAATTCAGGCCTGGAGGAATGAAGTCACCTCATTTATTTGCTTAGTCATTTGTCCGACAACTACTGATGTAATGCAGTCAACAGGCGAGGCCCTGTTCTGGCCCCAAGACAGATCCCAGAAGGAGCTCAGCCCTGTCCTTGCGCACATGGGAAGCCAGGCCAGGCACTCTTCAGGGTCCAATCACACATGAATGACAGAGGAGTGCAGGGCGCAAGAGCGGGCTTGGGCCCCAAGTCTCCTTCTGGCTCCTACTTTGTGTTTCTACACAGCAGGGAAGGAGGAGGGTCCCTGACCCCCTTTAGAATCCCTCAAAGATGTTATTATTGCCACTTCAGGTCTGTATTCAAGTCCAGCAGCCGCAAAAATTAAGCAGCTGCAAGGCTGCTTGTCCTCTCTGTTGCTTCTTTGCCTGCAATTAGTGCAGAAGGCCAACAGGGGGCAGCATCTAGCCTGGCTGTCTCATGGGGACATCTGAAGTGGAAAATAGCTCACTTCCATTTAATCTTCATCTAAAAACAATAAGCCGATGTGAAGTTCAGAGAACTAACTTAATTAGGAATCATTTGCGGGGTCTCTGGAGCACCAGTTTCCTGAACTCCACTCTTCCCCACATATGCAAAGACAGCATCACTTAATGAAAAGGCAATTGAGGAGGCAAGGACTGGAGGAGGCTCAGAATCAGCAAATGGAGATTCAGGGGTTGCTGAGACTTCAGTCCAACAGGGTCCATCTACAGGAGGGGGAAACTGGGGTCCATGAAGGGCAGAGGATGATCTCAGTGCCCTCTGAGGGGCAGCCCAGGCAGGGAAGAACCCACTCCCTGGCCAATACCTGTAGCATTCACATAGATGCTCTGACTGAATACAACTTTAAAGTGTAATTCCAAGATGAGGCTGCAATCGGCCCCCGACGGCAGCATCACTTCGGGGGAGCAGGCTCCTCTGGTCCACAGAGGCAGGACTTCCACCAGGAGGGGAGCTTCTTCAGGAGGAGCAGGGAGAGATTTTGCCTGCCTCTTATTCATTTAATGCCTGGGGAGGGGCCTCAGCCCTGCCCATCATCACAATTCCAACTCAAGTTCTCCAAAAACAACCCCAGCCTCCTGCCTTTACCGGGAGGCAGATGTATGGTTGCTGGGAGATACTGATGCCGTGAGTCTGCCAACAGCTGCCTGCAGCTCCGTCCTGGCTCCACAGGCTGCATGCGGGCCTCAGGCCTTAGTGCCACCCCCCCACCCCCAGGTTGGTAAATGCCAAGCCAAGCTCCGAGGCCCACTGTCTTTTTGATCCTCAGTTTTCTCATTGGAAAAATACACATAGTCACTTTGTAGTGAGGGTGACAGGAACCAAGACGATGACAGAGCCTTTCCCTCCCCTGCAGCAATGGGGCACAGGCCAGTGGTCCCAGACTGTCCGTGCTCCTCAGGCCCCTCCACCTCCGCACCCCACAGCTCACCCCCAACCCTTGAGGCTGTGCTGCAGCAACATGTTTCCCAGAGAGAGGAGGCCACCCCTTCCCCAGTACCAAAGGGAGAAGCCTGGGGCGGCCGGCCCTCCCAATGCAGACAGCGCGCCCAGCCTTGCTGCACCCAGCCCAGGAGGAACTGAATGCCCCAGATGCGTGCTGTGCCGGGTGCTGGGTACCAGGCGCTGGGTGCTGGGTGCCAGGTGCATGCTGTGCTGGGTGCCGGATGCCAGGTGACAGGTGACAGGTGTGTGTTGTGCTGAGTGCTGGGTGCTGGGTGCTGGGTGCCGGGTGCTGGGTGCTGGGCCAAATGCCCTCCCTACACAACCGGGCTGGATGCTCGGCGACCCCGACTGCTTCCAGGGCCTTTTCTTGGCCAAACTGATGCAAAATGATTGAAGCCAAAAACCTCCTGAAAGCAGGTGGAGAGCTGGCACTGAGAGATGTATGGGAGTCAGTCACCTCCCGGTTACCCAGCGCCTGGTCCTCATGGTCCCTTAGAGTCTGCCACCCGGCTCCACTGTGGAGGAAAATTGAGCCTGAGAAAAGAACGGGTTTGCCCCGATTTCCCAGTGCTGACGCCAAGCTGGGTGGGACCTCACAGCTACAAACCTGGCCTCTTCCCCTGCGCAGGGAGATCTGCACCTGCAAGAAGGGGACTGAGCAGGTGCCTGAGGGCCATGCGTGGAGTCTGCCTTTCCTCCAGGGGATTTCGTTTAGATCTCCAGGGGGATGCACTGTGCTGCACAGGAGTAAACGCGGTGGAGAAAAGGAAAAAATAAACCAGAAAGGCAAGGGCAGCAGGGGCCTTGGACTGCCACGCTCAGGGGCCACCCAGTAACTGTGCCCCGACCATGTGCTATCCCACCCCCACAGAAGTAGCTTCCTTTTGTTAAATTGCTACGAATTCTCTCCGCCCCTTGCCTCTCTGGGATCTCAAAGACCCTCCCCCAACTTCTCAGAAGGACGTTTGGCTGCTGCGCCAGGGCCCCATAAACCCCGACAAGACTCGGTCCTGAGCCGCTGCTGCACAAGGTTGGCGCAGGGAGGGAAATGGCAGGTGGCAGTGCCTGCCCCACAGGGCCCAGAACCTCCAGCACCCAGCAGTGATGTGCACCCTCGTTGAGCTTAGCTTCCCTTGAAATCCTCCACTGGGTCTAGTAAATGGTGGGGTCCCTCCCGCACTCATTCATTTATTCCTTCATTCCCAATCTGTCTGTGCTGGGCAAAGTTTGATGAGTGAGGCTTTAGCTGTGAACAAGTCAGTACAGTTTGCAGACGTCATACAAATAAGCAAATCAACGTGCAAGATCACGATCAATTGTGACAGGTAAACCTGGAGCCAGGCTCACACCCAGGCTTTGCCAGGAGAAAGCAGAGGTCCTGGGAGGTGGTGGCACTCACCCAGAGCCACCAACCAGAGGAGGCAGAGGCTGGATTTACTTTAGGGGTCTCTAAAACCATCCTAACAGCTCCCAGGGCCAGAAATCCTGTTTACTCCCCTTAAATGTAAATGTCCAGGGGCGGGGCGGGGCGCGGTGGCTCACGCCTGTAATCCCAGCACTTTGGGAGGCCGAGGCAGGCAGATCACGAGGTCAGGAGATCGAGACAATCCTTGCTAACACAGCGAAACCCTGTCTCTACTAAAAATACAAAAAAATTAGCCGGGCGTTGTGACAGGCGCCTGTAGTCCCAGCTACTCGGGAGGCTGAGGCAGGAGAATGGCGTGGACCCGGGAGGTAGAACTTGCAGTGAGCCGAGATCACGCCACTGCACTCCAGCCTGGGCGACAGAGCAAGACTCCATCTCAAAAAAAAAAAAAAAAAATGTCCAGGGTTATCCCCGGGGGAAGGAAGGGCTGAGGCCAAGAGGACAGGGTCATCCCCAAGCCAATTATCTTCCAAAATGGGTGGGGGGAGTGGATTTGTCAAACCCTGACACTCACCCCTGCCTGGCGCTGTCAGAGCGCTCTCAGACACAGCACCCCGCCTTGCTTTTCCCAAGCCTGGCTGCCCCATTTTACAGAAGCAGCTCAGGCAGGGCCAGGGAGCCCAGCGACAAGGGGATTATCTGTGCTCCAGGGGACTTAAACTGTCTTCATGTCACTGGATGGGGCTGCTGGGACCCAGAATTAGTGCGCCAATTCTGTATCTAATCGCTTGCAGCAGCAAACTAGGCAAACCTGACAGCTGCTCCAGCTGGGCAGAGGCTCTCCCAGGTGCCCCTGCAAGCTCCACTCCCCAGGACGTGAGCTGGCATTTTCACAAATTGAGGTAGGCCAGACAGTGCTCCCTGGAGAGTGGAGGAGGCATGGGGGGACTTGGTCTTCCTCTATCCAGCCCTGGCACCATCCCCCCAACCAGGTTGTTCTTTGGGTCTGGGGCATTGCTGCACTTCCTCCTCCTCTCCAGTCTCTGCCTGGCTGTGCCCGGGCAGCAGGGGCTTCTCAAGCTTGTTCAGCCTTGAATACAACCCACCGCTCTTTGAGCCAGTCCTGGCTCCAGGAGGGGTTCCATTTCTCCACTGTCCAGCTATCTCTTGGACTGGGAGGTGTGTCCCAAATGGCTGACTAGACTCCAAGTGAAGTGCACCCGTTTCACTGTGTTTAGTGTATTTTGCTGAGTGACCTGAGCCTCAGGTTTCTCCTCCAGAGAATGGGTGTAATGATGATGATCCCTAGCCGGGTCTGCTGGTGCGCACCTGTAGTCCCAGCTACTCGGGAGGCTGAGGTTGGAGGATCGCTTGAGCCCAGGAGGTCGAGGCTGCAGGGAGTTGTGATCAAACCACTGCAGTCTAGTCTGGGTGACCCAGCGAGGCCTCATCTTCAAAAAAAAAAAAAAATTACTAATGAGTTCTACCTCAGTGCTGTTGCTGGGACCAACACTGTCCTCCCCACCCACCCCAGGTCGTGGTGGGTCGCCGGCAAGGCCTGGCTGGCCCAGGCACAGCCTCAGCCCCGCAGGCATTTCTGAACCCCTCCCCTAGCTGGGAGTAGGGAAAGCAGGCCTGAGGAGGCCTCACAGGCCCTGCAGCCCCTGCACTGCCAGTTCCAGGCTTCGGCTCCCCTCCTAACGCTGGTCCCATGTGCACCAAGTCCCAATGCTGTCCCGTCGCTGGGGTCTCAGGGACCGCTGTCTCCTCGTCTCCTCTTAGGAGCTCTAACTCCAAACTCCGCTCCTAGACTCGGTCCTCCAAACTCCAGGCGCTGCCTTCAAGCGCAGGCAGCAGCGGTCACATCTCCACTGTTCCCAGCACCGGGGAAATGGCTTTCGTGTTGCTCACACCCAGCTCAGATGCCCAGTCCCCTTCCCTGACCTCAGACCATACAGCAGCGTTCTCTGTGTGCTTTACACCACCACACCCCTAAAAGCTCCCTGCGAGAGCCACTGTTTGCTTCACTGCTTCGCCCAAAACCGAGAACCCGCGGCTCACAGACGCTCCATCCTATCCGCGGACAGAAACGAATCCGAGCCGCAGCTGCACGTTTGAACCCCGCAAAGCCACTGTGAGCCGGTACTGAAACCCCAAGGAAAAGTCGGGGTTTGGGGGCGGGATCCTTGCCCCATGTGGGTTGGGAAAAGACGGTGGGAACCTTCGGGACTCTGGAGTGGTGAAATGACGGGAGAGGACACTCAACACTCCCGACTCATGCCCTTCAGAGCGGAGCTCTGACCTGGCCTCCTCCAGGCAGTCTTCCCGGCTGCGTCCTGCCCTATCTCCTCCTCCCCAGCTCGGCGTTTGCAGCCCCGCTGGGCCGCGCGCAACTGGAGCGCCAAGTTGCGTCACCTGAGCGCTGTTACCGTGGTGCCCGGTCTGACCGCGTGTGCGAACCCAGGCGTCTGCGACCGCGAAGCTGCGAGTTGTCTCGGGCCCTCCCGGAGCTGCGGGCGGCTCCTCGAGAAACTCAGAGAGCCCAGGCGCACCACGGGCCAGCCAGGACATCCCCAGGCGGCCCTGTTAGCCCCATTTTATGGAGGAAGACTGAGGCTTTGGGTTGCATGGGACCCGCGGTTACCCCGCAAACACAGACGCTTACGAAGACGCTATCGCGAGCCGAACAGTCTGGAGGAACTACACTCACAGTAGCTCCTCCACTGGGTCTCCGCGTCCTCGCTGGCCTAACTCCGCAAACACGCCCTCCCCGGACGCAGGCTGGGTTTGCCGAGAAGTCTTGGCGGCGAAAGAGCGCAGGCAGCCAGCCCAGCAGGGCCCGCCATCTGCCTCCCCAGCCATGCCATCCCCTCCCTCACTCCACATCACCCCTCCCCTCCCCCCACGCCACCCCCTCCCTCATCCCCACGCCACCCCTCCCCTCCCCCCACGCCCTTCCCCGGCTGCCGCCCTCTCGGAGGCGCCCGGGGCCCCGGGTTCCCGAGAGCGGCGGGGGGTCCAAAGGCGCGGGCACCGATGGCGGGCGGGGCCCTCCTGGGTCCTCTGCCCGCCGCCACCCCTCGGCCCACCCCGCCCGCAGCATCTGCGCGTTTTAAGCCGGATAAGACGCTTCCTTCCCTGTTTGTCTGGGTTTCTTTCTCGGTTGCTCAAGGCTCTGATGTGACCTCTCCAAGAAAGGACACCAATGGCCGCGCCCCCGCCCCACGACGCTGCGGACAGCAAGCCGACTCCCCCCACCCGGCCGCCTGCCCCCTCCCCGCGTCGGTGCGCGCCTTGGCTCCGGGAAACGCCTGCCTCCGGTCGGTCTAGCGCGGCGTGTGCGAGTGCAGCCCCCGCGGGGACGTGGGCACCAACAGCAGGCGAGTGACTACCGCGGCGCAGTTCCCGAGGACCCAGCGCCTCTCCCGAGGCCACCCTCCCGGGCAGGAATTACTGTCTGCCGGCCCGAAGCCGCCACCCCACCCGCCGCCCTGTTTCAAAGTTGGGGAGAGTCCATGCCGCGACGGAGCGAGCAGACTTGGACATGGTCGAGTGCCTGGTGCGCACGATTGGTCTTAAGAGTTTAGGGAAAAAAGCACGCGGGGAAACCACGCGGGGCCCGGCGCGCTCTCGTTTCCCACCACTGCCCCCTTCCCGGGCACCGTGGGCCGCCGCTGTTGCCCGTCCCGCTTTCTTCTCGCCTCGGAGCACCGGGTCCCCCGGAGTGACCTACTGCAGCCGAGCCCCGGCGGTCGGGGGCTTGCGCTGGGTTTTGGGACGCGGTCTCAGACGCTTGGCCCTGTGGCCCTACCCATCGGTTCCGGTCCCAAGAACGGTGCTCTCCTGTGCCTCGGGCCTTTCCCGGGGCGCCGGGCCGCGGCAGGAGCGACCTCCGCCCGCGCTACCTTCCTGCCCTGTGGCCTACCTGGGTCCCCCTTACACCTCTGCTCGGTGCAGCCCTGAGCCTCGGTTTCCCAGACGGCGCAGCTGAGGCTCTCGAGGTGACGAGAGGCTGTGGGGGTGAGGTCGCAGCCCTGCTCCCTCCTCAGTTCCGCCACCCACCCCTTCGGTAGTAACGCCGTTCTCAAAATGGGCCCAGGGCCCCTTCCGGCCAAACACAGCCTGGACTCCTGGGCAGAGACCGAGCGCGGCAGAGGTGGCCCGAAGGCCGGGTTGCGGGGGATCCCGGCCTCTGCCCAACTGCCCCGGAATCTGGCAGGCAGACACGCTGCGCCACTGGGGACAATGCGACCCCAATGAGCTGGCGCTCCCCTCTGGCGAAGGACCAGGTGGCGAGGTCGCCCCTGTCGTGTGGCCCAATGCGTTACCAGCAAGAACAAAGTCCCATCTTAACTGCTCTTCGCGCGGCTTTTGACCTTGGGTCGGGGCTGCGTCTCAGCGCTCAACAGCCCCGCTTCTCCCCACGGTTTTAAATTACCGGAACGAAGCCACTGCCAGCGGCGCCTGCACGGGGAGGGCAGGGAGCGCTCGGGGCGCATTGGGACCTCGAGTACCTTCACCCTAGGGAGTGCTCGTCCCCAGCCCGGCCTCTGCGGCCGCCCCCGGCCCAGCCCGTGCTGTCCTCATCTTATCGCGGCCCGCCCCGGCCCTGCGCTCCCGCCGCTCCGCAGCCAGGTTTCTCCGCTGCCGTCCTCTTCCAGGGCCAAGGGGCCGTGGCAGACCCGGAGCCTCCCGGAGGCGCTTCTGCCGGGGCGGATTATCTCCCCTCTCCCACCAGGCCCCGGCGGGGGGCACCAACTCGCCCCGAAAGCCGAGAAGCGCTGGAACTCCCCCTCCTGGCCCCCTCCTCCGCTTCTGTTTGTTTAACCTTCCGGCAGGGCGGTGACCCTGCGCCCTGCCAGGCGCTGCCATGGGGTCAGGCGGGGGTGGGGGGCGCCTCAGGGGTCCGGCGGCGGCTGGGAGTCCCCCGAGCAGCAGAGACCCTCCTCCTGTCTCCTGTTCTGCCCATCGTGGGAAGTGTCCCAGGCCTGGTTGTGCCAGAGGCCCTGGGCGACCTTCAGCAGTGTCTTAACTTCTCTGGGCTTTGACCTCTGGGGACAGAACACCCCGCCCTCAGTGAGAGGCCCTGCTCTAGGCAGGTGCGGCTACATGATCCATGTGGCCCAGTGCAAAATGAAAGATGGCCCTTGCTCAAAAACTCAAGAAATATTGTGACTTTGAAGGCAGCAAACACAGAGGAGGGGCCCTTCTGAACGGGGCCCTGCGGGACTGTACAGGTCCCTTGAGCCCATGGAGCTAGCCTTGACTTCTGGACTAAGACCCCCCACAGAGAGCCTCCACCTGCGCCAGCGGCAGGCCGTTCTTCCCTTGTGCACCCTGAGTGCTCAGTCCTGGGCCCTGGGCAAGGTGGGGCTGGTCTCAGAGGGGCTCAGGGAGATCCCTGCAAATTAGGGCCGCCCTTGTCCTGCTGCTGCTCCCCAGGCAGCTGCCTGTGGGCTGTCCTCTCCCCCTGCGTTGGGGACTCTAGGGGCACAGTTAGGGCTAATGGTGCAGTGTCACCCTTGGCCCAGCCCTCTGCAGGGATGTCGAAGGTCTACCCTGGAGATCTGACTTAACTACTCTCAGGAGGTAACAGGTAGGGGTGGGAGGAGGGCGGGGCGGGAAGAGGGCCAAGGTGGATGATGGTGACTGTGACTTAGAGGAGGCAGGGCCCAGGTTTCTGGAGCTGGGTCTGCCAAGGGCCTGGTCTCAGGGCCACATTCTGGGTGTGTTTCTCAGGCGCTAGTTTTGCCTCCTGAATGTTGGGGAGAATAACTCCCCCTCCCAGTGTGGGGCAGGGGAGGGGCAGGGAGGGGTGGGGTGCTGTGCGCACCTCGGGTGGGTTCCCCTTTGAGCCTCACAATGATGACGTCACCCCCATCTGGAGGACAAAAACTAGGAGGCCCAGGGCAGCTGGGTAAGGGGTCCAGAGTCACGCAGCCCACAGGCCCCAGGTCCACAGCAGCGCAGGGTGGGTGCCTGTGCATTCAGGCCAGAGAGAGCAGATTCTGGGCCTCGGGCTCAGGGCCTATGGGATGCAGGGTGGCCTCTGCCACCCAGAGTCCCACAGCCAGGCACCCTTACCAAGCCCAGGCAGAGTTCAAGAAGCTCAGGGACTCTAGGGGCACTGATGGGGCTAATGGCCCATATCCCCCTGGGCCCAGCCATGGGTCTTGGAGCTCTCCCAGTGACAAACCAGCCCCAAAAGCTGAGCAAATGGCCTGCGACAGCCGCCCGAGGAGGCCCTGGCTTGGACCCAAGACCTCTTGTTTCTCTGGCCCCAGAAAACGCTTCTGGGTTCTGAGGATTAGGTTCTGGGAGGAATCCAAGCTCTGTGGGAGAAACTTGGGCAAGGCGCTGGCCCCTGTGGGCCTCAGTTTACCTAGCTGTAAGGAGTGGATGGGGTCTGAGTAGGAGCAGACAGGCAGGTGGATCCACAAGATGAAGCTGACCTGGAGATAATTCCCCAGCCCCTCCTGGGAACGGTGGCCAGGCAAGCGCTCCTGGGCCTCCACACCCCATGCCCTGGCTTGGGCCCGCTCCCTCATACACAGCCGATGTATGACAAGTGTGTGGGCCCTGAAGAGGCCCCTGGGCTCTCAGGGGTTCCGGGAAGCACACTAGGACTTTGACGGTGGCATGTTCCATGCTAACAGGGTGTGGCGGGCCTTCCAGCTCAGTGGGCAGGTCCAGGAGTCTACCAGCTCAGCGTGGTGCCCCGGTCCCAGCCACCTGGAGCTGCACAACAAGCTGAGTCCTTGCTGGCCACCAACACTGACGCAGGCCCCATCCCTCCAGCCTGACCTCAGGAGGCTGGTGGGCAGGGAGCCTAGTCCCTAGGCCAGGTGGCCCTCCCCCCCAGCCACTGTGCCTGCTGTGTTCTAGGGATGGAGGCCTGGGGACCTGCAGGGTATGGCAGTGCCCAAGATCATGGTTCTTTCCACACTCTGGAGGTTGAGGAGGTGGGGAGTGCTGAGAAGAGGCGCTGTTGAGAGACAGACATCTCTGCTTCCTGGTGATTCCTTCAATAACCGGGTGAAATAACAGGCCAACCTCAGTTCACTGAAGAGGAAACAGAGGCCCAGAGAGGTTAGGGAACTCACTTAAGGGCACACAGCAGCAGGAAGAGGTAGATTTGAATTTGGGACATGGCTGCCCCCTGCCACCTAGCCTCTGCACACACAAGTGCATGCATACACACACATATATGCGCACACACACACGTGCACAGTGATTGAAACACAGATTTAGACCTTGGGCATGCAGGGCAGAAGGCCCATCCGAGAAGATGCAAACACAAATCCATTTCCTTCAAGTGTTGATTGATTTCTCTTCAAGAACGCCTGCATTATGCAAGGGGCTGAAGGTCAGCTGATTTAAATGGAAATGAGTTCGGGAAAAACAAATCAACACAGCTCCAGGTTCAATTCACTGGAAAAGCACATCGCCTTGAGTTACTCAAGGAATGACAGGGCCATTGTAGAGATAGCTGGACAGCCTGCTCACCGTGCTTCCGGGGGTCTCAGCCTTGGAAGATCACCGTGCTTCCGGGGGTCTCAGCCTTGGAAGATCACCGTGCTTCCGGGGGTCTCAGCCTTGGAAGATCACCGTGCTCCCGGGGGTCTCAGCTTTGGAAGATCACCTTGCTCCCGGGGGTCTCAGCTTTGGAAGATCACTGTTCTCCCAGGGGGCTCAGCTTTGGAAGATCATCCTGCTCCAGCTCCCAGGGGGTCTCAGGCTTGGAAGATGTCTCTGGAGTTGCTGGGTCCTCCATGAGTTCACTTATCCTGGCTGGAGCTGGGGGTTACCACGGAAACCTGGAGGGACTTTTCCCCTAACAAGTCTTTTTTTTTTTTTTTTCCCAAACAAACACTTTTTGGAAGAGTTTACCCCGAAGTGTGGCTTGGGTTTTGCATCTCAAGTGGTCTAAGCAGCTCTATAGTCTCTGCAAAAGAAAAACACATATTCCCTCCCTCTGTCCTTCCCACCTTCTCGCCCTCCCCTCCTCCTTCTCTCCTGTCTGCCTTCCTTCCTTTTCTCCTTCTTCCTCCTTCCTCCCTCTCTTCCTTTGACTGGCCAGTCATCAGGCTGGTTTCTGGAACGGGGCAGGGAGCAGACAGCCAGGGCCATTCCCATGTGGCACTCGTGGCCGTGACCTCACTCGTGTTCTTCAGCTGGCCTGTGAGGCCACCGTGCTGTCTTCATTTAGAAGTGCAGACGCAGAGTCCCAGAGAGGTGGAGTGATTTGCCCAAGATGGCCCAGCAAATGGGTTCCTGAACCTGGCAGCAGCCCCTCTGCCTCAGGCATTCCCTCCTCTCCAGCTCTTCTGGCAAGTCCCTCCCTACCTGCTTTGTGTCCTGCAGCTGGTCTGGGCTGACTCACAACCCCAAGCCTCGGTGCCTCCTCCCTGCCACGCTGGGACTTGCCTGCACCCTAGGGCACCGACTCTTTGTTAAATGATGTCTTAAACATTGTGGGCAGCGTTTACATCTCACTTGGAGATTCTCGGGCCTCCTTGGGCAAAATCTGCCACCTCTGCTCTGTCCCATCATGGTCCTTGGCACGAGTCCCCCTCGGATCACCAGTCCCTGGCTCCCACCTCCACTCACTTGGACTAGCCTGAAGGCTGACCTAATCCCATGCTGGGCCCCAGCCCCCAGAGCACAGAGCCAGGCACATGCAGTTGCTGTCATTCTAGATGGGCCCGGGGAAGTAAAAGCATTTCAAGCCAGAAGGGCTGGGGGAAGGAACGACAAGGGAGAGGAGCTACCTCTGCTGTATTGTGAAAGACGGAGGTGACCAGAGTGGAGGGACATTGGGGTCTCGAGAGAAGAGAATACCGGGAAGTTAGCTGAGGACCCCCTGAGGCAGGAAAGGTAACAGGCAGAGGAAGGAGGAAATCGAGGCAGGAGGAGCCAAACCCGGAGTTTGCCCAGAAGAGCGGAATTCCTCCCCATCCACATCATCTGTAGCCTGTGGTTTTGATTACCTTCTGGCAGTCCGTAGCGCCCCTTAGGAGCTGAAGCACTTGCGTTTCCATCTGCTGATCAGACATGGGAGGAAACCAAGACAAATAAGACGTCCACATTGTGGTGGGAGCATGTTTTTGGCTCTAGATTTGAAATTAGCATAATGTTTGTCTAAAGCTAACAACAGTACATTCTTCCTGTCTGGAAACGTGTTAATGATCTTAATATTTAGGAGAAAGTGTCTTCAGATGGAGAGAAAGCTGGCTCCCTGCACCAAGATTCAGTTTGCTTAGAGCGATTTTACTGTCATGTGTTTTCTTGGAGGAACCAGAGGGAGACATCTGGGTAGTTTATCATCATTTCTTTGAAATACCTTTATATCTTTAAAATATGTGCTTCCTGCCCCCAGAGCTGTTGGATCGTGAGGACATACAGGCCACACCTGAAGGCTGCTGGCATCCTTCTCAGGTGCTCTGTGGCTTAGCTCTTTGCTCTCTAACAGGTGAGGAATTATTCAGCCCATTTTACAGTCATGAAGACTGAGCCTGAGGCAGAGTGACCTGCAGACCCAGGGTTACATAGCCCTGGCAGGGACTCGGGTGCGGCCCAGCTCACCTTGAGTTTACTTTTTTTATTTTTTTTTTGAGACAGAGTCTTGCTGTGTCACCCAGGCTGCAGTGCAATGGCATGATCTCGGCTCACTGCAACCTGTCTCCCGGGTTCAAGCGACTCTCCTGCCTCAGCCTCCCGAGAAGCTGAGGTTACAGGCACACACTACCAGCCTGGCTAATTTTTGTATTTTTAGCAGAGACAGGGTTTCACCATGTTGGCCAGGATGGTCCCGAAATCCTGACCTCAGGTGATCTGCCCGCCTCGGCCTCCCAAAGTGCTGGGATTACATGCATAAGCCACCGCGCCTGGCCTGAGTTTGCTTTTGTAAGCAGCCTTGAGCATTTTCTGCTGTCCCTGGAAGGGGGCCCAGCTCTGCTCGGCAGTTGTCCAGGGCCGGCTGCGCTAACAAACACCAGATCCAGAGCTGGGGGTCTCATCTTCAGTGAAATCAGCCACAGCAAAAGGTGTTGGCAGGTGCAGGTTTCCTGAAAGCCTAGGGTTGATAGGGAAGCAATTGCCTCTTGCTGAAAGCATTTTCTCTTGGAAATCTCAACCTGTCCACTCTCCTCTGGAGAAGCGGGGAGCAGAGGCCATACGGCCATAACCAGACCTTGTCCTTCCCTGCTTCACCCCAGAAGGCACCCTGGGCTGGGATCCGAGCTTGGACTCCATCCCTTTCCCAGTTTCCATCTCGCCTCGAGGCAGCCCTCTGTGCTGGGCCGAGGCTTGCATAGCCGTCAAATGGAGCCTCAAAGTGGCTGAGGGTCACAAAAAACATCTGTGACGCTGCTGACCCCAGTGTGGGTTCAGTCATTCAGCCTTATGGGGTCCTCGTGGCCCCGGGTACAGCCTTCCTCACTTCAGAGAGAAAGGGCTTTGAAAGCTTCTCTGGCTCACAGATCGTCAGGGCCTCACTACTCGAGCAGAAAACGCTGAATGGATTCAAAGCTGAATATTTGGTGCTGTTCTAACCCATCTCTTCTTGATGATCTGAGTTCCAAGATGTTCTCTGGAACATCATTCCTGCAAGGCTTCTCTGAAAAAAGGACCCTGTGGCTGCTGAAGCCTGGGAGATGCCATACACTGGGCCCATCCCCACCACTAGAGATCTGTGTCGACCCTGAGCAAATTAACCGCCCTGACCTCCCTGCAGAGACGGCCTTCACTGCAGTGAGCCCAGCCTGGCATGTTCCGAACTCACGGGACTCAGACCCCTTTCCCCATCACTTTTCTTGTTCGGGGTCCCCTCAGGAGACAGAAACCACCCATCGTTCTAACAGAGAGTCCCGTGTAGAGAAGGGGTAGCTTGGTATTGAGGGATGGAAAGGCAGAGGGACTCTGAGACGCCATGGAGTAGCAACCTTGGGAAGCCGCTGCCACCCCAGGGCTGGGAAAACATGGCGAAGCAGAAGGAATTACTCCAACTAGGCAGCTCAGAAGAGGGGCGGTGGAGTTGGGCCCCCGATGACTGAGGGCCTGTGGGCTATGCCTGTTTCTGAAGGGCCAGGAGGTTGGCCCAGTGAGCGTAGGGATACCACTAACAGAAGGAGGAAGGAATTTCCCCTGCTGCGGTGAAGAGCATTGCCATGGTGACATTCCTGCCAGGCCAGCTCCCCCTAGCTCTGCCTGGGAGCAGAGCCCACTAAGTCAACGGTGGTTTTTCCTGCAGATATAAATTACTGCTATGACCCAATAGATTTACCTCTTAGAACTTGTTCTGCAGTGGGCAGGTCTATGCAAACCTCCCCCAAAAGTCTGGGAAAGCTGAGAGGCTGACATATCCCATTTCTGAGAAAGGAACATTTAACATAGCCTTAGGGACATAAGACGCATCTGTGTGTTGGATGGTGGTGATGCAAGATGGTGGCTCCCTACACCAGAACCCCCTGACCCAGCACTTAGATGCCATAGCGAAAGGTATGCAGCCCTTTGCTGGTTCCTTCTGAAGCTGCAAGGGAGAATCTGTTCCCAGCCTCGCTCCGGCTCCTGGGGCGGCTGGTGGTCCCCCATGTTCCTTGGCTTGAGGAGGCATCACCCCAACTTGTGTCTTCATCTTTACCTGGCATCTCCTGTGTGTGTCTGTAACCAGATTTCCCCCTTTTTAGGAAGACGCCAGTCATGCTGGATTAGGGCCCACCTGCGCCAGTGTGACCCCATCTTAACTACATTGACAGTGACCCTGTTTCCAAATAAGGTCCCATTCTGAGGTCCTGGGGGTTAGGATGTCAACATATGAATTTTGGAGAGACAAAATGCAACCCACAACACTTCCTGCTCAGGACACAGAGTAAGTGGGAAAACCTTCCCCAGAGGGAAAACCTTCCCCAGCCTTCGGTACTGTGGAGGCTGAAGGAACTCCGTCTTAGATGCTAATCTGCCACGTTGACTTCTCACTCACTCTGGTTCCAGGAAGGTCTCTAAGATCTCCAGTTTCTCTATTGTTCCTTGCGCTTACCATAAATCTTGCCCTTAGAGCAATTGTCCTACACATCCCTTCTGGAGCACGTCTACCCTCTCCCTGTGGCATATAACCCCTGGGTCTGAGGTCACGGTTCAGGGAGCCACCCTCTTGTCTTGCGGCCCCCACTGAGACACAGATGCAGCTTCTGTTGCCCAGTCTCTGTTAAATGTTCCTTTCTGAGAAACTGGGTATGTCAGCCTGTCTGCTTTCTTGGACTTTTGGGGTAGGTTTGCATAACTTGCCCACTGCAGAACAAGTTCCAAGAGGTAAATCTATAAGGTTAGGCAGTAATTTATTGCTGCAAAGTTTCTGACTTCTGGCATCCTGAACTGTGAGACAATCAAATTCTGTTGTTTGAGCCACCTAGTTGGTGGTGTTTGTTATGGCAGCCATAGGAGGCTAAAACAGGAAAATTACAGTGATTGAGGACAAATAAAGGCCTGGATTCTTGGTTTGCCTGTTTGGAGTTTCAACTATTGAAGAAACGGTTGTTAGACAAGAGTACGAGAGAGATTTCCATTCCAGCAGATTCACAGAGGAGCTATTCAGAGAAGGACCGTCATTGCAGAGTTCCCAATGGTAGATGAATTACAGTAGGTATGCTTTTAAATGCATTGCTGAATTTCCAGCAAAAGTACAAGTACACTCACCCTTTCACTCAGCAATGCCACTTCTAGGAATGTACTCCAAAGACACGCTGGCAAGGTCACAAAGCAATTTCTGCACAAGGCTACTCATGACAGGATTATTTGTCTGAGTTCCAGCATTGGGAATGATTGACACATCCTCCTGAGTAGATTCAGGTTTTCACATCATTGGCAGGAACATCACAGGCAGGATGCTGTGTTGTTCTCATTGCACCTGACCATGTGGCTCACCAATGGCATTTGTCCCATTACTGGGGATATTAACTTTGATCACTAGATTAATTAAGGTAGTGTCTGTCAGCCATCCCCACTATACTCTTTTTTTTTTCTTTTTGTAATTCACAAGTAATTTGTAGGGAAGTGCTCTGGGACTATGTGAATGTCCCATTCCTCATCCTGCTTACAGTTAACCATTCATTAATTTAGGAAAGTAGGGTCCCCTGGATTCCTATTTCACCTGTCGGTGCTAATCCATCACCAGCATCATTTTCCTGCTTAAGTCGTCCTCCATCTGGTCAGCAGGAGCCCCTTCACGGTGGCCCCTGTGTCCGTGCGGCACATCCCTCTCATTCCTTGAGCATGTCTTTATTATCTCTTTCTCTCTCTTTTTTTTTTTTTGAGATGGAGTTTTGCCCTTGTCACCCAGGCTGGAGTGCAATGGTGTTATCTCGGCTCACTGCAACCTCTGCCTCCTGGGTTCAACCGATTCTCCAGACTCAGCCTCCTGAGTAGCTGGGATTACAGGCATGCACCACCACACCCAGCTAATTTTGTATTTTTAGTAGAGGTGGGGTTTCTCCATGTTGGTCAGGCCGGTCTCCAACTCCTGACCTCAGGTGATCCACCCGCCTCAGCCTCCCAAAGTGCTGGGATGACAGGCATGAGCCACCGTGCCCGGCCTGTCTTTATTATCTTGATGGTTGTTGTTGTTGTTGAGACAGGGTCTCACTCTGTTGCCCAGGCTCGAGTGCAGTGGTACAATCTCTGCTCACTGCAGTTTCTACCTCCCAGGCTCAAGTGATCCTCCCATCTCAGCCTCCTGAGTAGCTGGGATCATAGGTGAACACCATCATGCCTGGCTAATTTTTCTATTTTTTGTGGAGTCATGGTTTTGCTATGTTGCCCAGGCTGGTCTCAAACTCCAGGGCCCAAGGGATCTACCTGCCTTGGCCTCCAAAAGTGCCGGGATCACAGGCATGAGCCGCCTCGCTGGGCCTGTGTCTTTACTTTCTAACACAGCAGGGTGAGTCCAATTTACCTTTGTCCTGTCCCTGGCCCAGTGTCAGGATCAGACATTTCTCCAAGGATCTTGGTTCTTTTTAAGGGAGGGCGGTGATTAGAAACCAAGATCTGGGGGCTAAACATGCTCATGGCTGTTGGGGTGTTGCTGCTCCGAGGCATCTCCATGAGCAGAGGTAGGAAATGTATGTGTGTTTACTTACATAGGTACAAGTACACATATACATGCGTTTATGTGCACACGCATCTCTGTGTATTTCAGCATCTATCTGTGTTACTACCGTGCCTTCACACCAAGGACCCTGTTCAAATCCAGCACTGCAGGGGTAGTTCTTGTTTTCTCCCTTTCTCTGTGTCTGTAACTTCCTTTCCAGCAAGAAACCTGGCTTTCATTGTCCTCAACATATTTATTTATTTGGTTATTCCCCCAAGGGAATTCAGTCTCCCTAGCTCCCGACTCTTGCCCCCATGCCGTGGGGGAAACCCGGCTCTGTGCTTGGGCTCTCAGACCCTGCGCTGGGCTGTCATTTGCACCACTCCATGGGCAGGCACCCTTCTCATCCAGCCAGAACCAACCCACTGCACTGGGCCAGAGCCTCCACCCTCGACCTGCTGCTTCTCCTCACCTGCCAGGCTGCCCACCAGCACCCATGAGTTACCCTCCTTGCCCCTCGGTGGCTTCCTACGCTGGGCCACTGCATCCACCTCACCTCTGAACTGAGGTGTTCAGGTGGGACAGGCAGGGAGAGGAAGAACAGCAAAGTCTTCTCAGGCTCTCCTTGGAAGCGAACAGTGCCTCCACCACTGGTCCAGGTCATAGCCAGCCGCGGCCACCCCCGCAACAAGGAGTGGGAAGATGGACCCTGCCTCTTGGTGAGACAAGCAGCAGAATCCTATGGCAGACTCTTGTCCTCTCCTTGGACAGGAGAGACAGAGAGAAAAGGGGCGGAGGCCATGTGGAGATGGAAGCAGAGATGAGTGATGTGGCCACGAGCTGAGGGATGCCCACAGCTACCAAGACCTGGAACCAGCAGGAAGGAGCCTCCTCTGAGCCTCAGGAGGGAGCACAGCCTTGCCACCCCTGGATTTTAGACTTCCGGCTGTCAGAACTGTGAGAATTGAGTTCTTGTTGAAAGTCCCCTGGTTTGTGATAATTTGCTGTGGCATCCACAGGGTACTAACACATCCTTAAACTTCTCCTCCCTGTTTCCCAGTCTGGGCCCCTCCCACATAGGGCCAGGGCGAGCAGAGGTCCTGTCTGGGACTGGGGCAGCAGAGACCCGGTGGTGAAGTGAGACATTAGGGTCAAGGGAGCTGGGTGAGCCCTTCATGTCGCTGAGCCTCGGTTTTCTCTCCTGTATAATGGACACACTCCTTCTTCTCTCAGCCTGGACAGACGCTGTGAGGCCATGGCTGTGGCAGCCCCTGTGCACCCCCAAGAAGGGGTCAAGTTGCCATCTGTGGAGTTCAGATCCTACCTCCCTGTATTCCAAGGCTTTCCTGGCCCTCGGGCCTTCCTGGGTGGAACTGCAGTCTCCCTGGGAAGGTCTGCACTCTGTCTCTTCCAGGTCCTATTCTGCTCCCCACTCCCTAACCCCACTCCTAGACTTCCAGATGCCCCAGCTGTGTTGTAGGGAAACAGACTGCAAAAGAAAACCAGAGCATGTTTCCCAGAACAACGGGAAGGCCAGAGAAAGGAGCTTCCTTAGACAAACCTGCACGACTGTTTCAATTCCCAGTTAATTCCAGCGTGGAGACAGCTCGGAGCTGCTGGGTGTCGCTGCCTGACTCTAAGTGTGTTGCTTCAGTGGCCTCCTCCGTGCAGCGGTGGGTCGGGGGTTGTCTGGATGCAGCCTGCACGGTGCTGGCAGGATGACATCTCCCCCGTCAGGTACGTAACACATATCTGTTCCGGTCCCTGCCACATAGCCTTTGAGCTTTGGTTTTGGCTCACGAATTGCAGAGGTGGTAATGCCCATGGGCAGCGGGTGGCTGGGATGATGGAATGAAATGAAGAGGGTTTGTGTAGCGGAAGCTGTCAGCAAATCAGCCATTCACGGCAACGGTGTTGACCCCCACTGTGGAGTGGACGCTTCGTACGTTGCTCAAGATTCTACAGGGATTTGTTTAATTCTTATGGCAAACTCCTGGGGGTGGATGCTGTCATGATTCCCACTGTATAGACAAGGAAACTGAGGCACAGAGAGGGCAAGCCGCTTGCCCAAGGCCACACAGCCAGCGAGTGGCCCAGGCTGAATGCAAGCCAGGCAGCCTGGCCACAAAGCTCGTGCTCAGGACCCACCGTGCTTGTCACGGAGATGTGCAGAGGGAGGACTGCAGAGTGGGGTTTCGCACAGCTGCCCCCGGCCACAGGCACCCAAGACCCCCCGTAACGCAGCACCTACTTGTCCTCTCAAAGGCAGCGGTCAGACCTTCCAGCAGAAAGAGCATCAAGCACCTCAGCCGCCACACCTCCCACCGGCTTTCCCCTCCTGGCATCTCTGAGAGCCCCGCCTTGCCAGGACTTGTGGGCTGGTGCAAGCTTTGGAGACAGGTAGAGGGGATTTGCCACTGGGTCACTGTCCGGAACCCTGGGGACCACAGAGGCCAAGGAAGCAAGGCTCAGGTGGTCTGGAGGTCAGGCCCCTCACAGCTGCAGCCCCCCAACACAGCTTTGTGCTCTGACCCACCCTCTGTGGTCTCCAGCCCGGCCCCTCCCCAGGGCACCCGGAGTGCCGGGGATGCTGTCACCAGAGGTAGAGCCCTCAGGTGCGGCGGGGACGAGAGACAGCCTGGCCCTCTGCCCACGCTTCCAGGACCTTCCAGGATCCTGCAGCTCCTCAGACAGGTGGGCCCATCTTGCGCCAATCTGTGCCTGGCCGCCCTCGGGGCCCACCTGCGTCTTTGAAGGCCTCTATCCTCGGGCGGGTCACGGCCCAGGCCGACGCTCTCTGAAGCACCTGGGGTTCTGCGGTGTGTCTCTGGTGGGCTGCGTTTGTTCTTTGATGCTGAGAGGAGTTTGGGGTGAGGGGCCGGGGCCACCTGATGCACGGTGGACACCTGAGGGCTGACTGCTAATCATTCCCACATCCCTGCATTCCAAGTCAGAGAGTCCAAAAGCCCAGCCCACAGGGGTTCGAAAGGAACCTGCTAGAACTGGACAGGTCCACACTTGGCAGCAGTCTCTCCCCTCACCCTGGACAGATGCCGGCCAGGCACCCTCAGGCCCCGTGCCTCTGCTCCCGGCCATGGTCATGCGGATTCGCAGCAGCCTCCATCCCGTGCATCCCCCCAAATGTGCAACACACCCGCTTTCTTCTCTCCCATCCCCCTTCCTTCTTGCCTCCCTCCCTCCCTTCCTCTCTTCCTTCCTTCCTTCCTGTTTTGCTTTAAATACTGTATCTGTATCAAAGGATTGCATGTGCCTGGTTCAATATTGGTATTAAGGCTCATAACGAAACACAGGCACGTGGCCCTGCCCCTGCCCCGCACATCTGTGGTGGGCTTCCCGCTGGAATATTCCCCCTCATGGCTCTTCTCACCTTAGTCCTACAATCCTTCCGACTTCTGCTCAGGGGTCACTGCCTCCAGGAAGCCTTCCTGCACCCTTCTCCTAGCCCCGAGAGCACTTGCCCCGATGCAGCTTCATATCCCAATGGCTGGGGAGGGGTGAGGGCACAGAGCCTGGTGATGGCTGGGCCGTCTGGATAACCCAGGGCCATGTCCTCACCTCATGTCCGAATTCGCTTCGCAAAGTTCCTTTTGCCACGGGAGGTACGAGGTTCCAGGGATTAGGACATGGACGTCATTACAGGGAGGGCTTTATTCAGCTACATGAATAGACAAGGGGTTGAGCGAATGAGGGATGAAAGGCGACATTTGGGGCCTGTTTTCTCCCTCCTTCCCATCTTCCCATTCTGGAGCCTGGCTTTGTGACGGGGGCTGCCGAGGAACCCTCCCCGCGGACAGGGCTGGGAGACAGACAGAGAGCATCTTCCAGCTACGGCCTCCCCAGGCTTAAATTTCCAACCGGTAGATGACCTGCAGTCAGATGTCTTGAGGCTACTGGATTCTCCCCAGGGTGGCAGGCCTGGCCCTCGGGCCATGAAGGTGGGGTTGTGTCCAGCCCTGCCCTGCCTTCCCCCTTGTGTCCAGGGAACAGCCAAGCCAAGGGAGGCCAGGGGCACAGGGTGGACTCACCCCAGGTGTTGGTCCCGTGCCTCGGTGCTCCTGAGAAGCCCAGCAGAGCTGCGGATTGTGGCATCTTCACGCACTTACGGGTGAGGAACGGAGCCGCTGGTCCCAGCCCCGCCGGGCTGCCAGGAGGGCAGCTGCTTCATGTGGTCCCCAGACCTGGGCTGGAGGGCAGGCTGCACCATTTGGGTGGAAGGCAAGGAACCAGCCAGTGCTCTGTGATCTGTGCTAGGATTCTGGGACCCAAAACAGCAGCCTCTGGTTTGCAGCCAAGCCTGCAGGAGCGCCAGCCACTGGACCCGCCTCCTAACCCGGGCTGCACCTTGCCAGCTCATGCTCTGAGCTGCACTTCACACCAGAGGATGATAAGAACAGAGAGGCAAGGGGAGCTGCCTGGGGTGACCAGGCTGGGTGGCAGTATGGCTGGGATTAGCACCCACGCCTGTTCTCCTCATGCCCATGTTCCTTCATCATGCCAGGGACGTCTCCCTTCTTCTTCCTCAGAGATCCCCAGTTCAGGCTGTGTCCCGCCCCCAGCGTGTTCCTGCAGGAGGGGGGCTCCTGCCTGAGATCCCTTCCGGTGGCAGAAATGTAACCGCCAGTCCCTCCACCCAGGGAGCAGGGTGCCCATGTACCCCAGTTTTTCCTCCTGGGAAGGGGGCCAGACCCCTGCCTGATGCCTGGAAGACCTTGTCACCTGGGTGGGACCGACACGGACGGGGCAGTGACAGTTACTGTGTGCCGCTGTGCTGCAGAAAGTGTGAGTGTCCATGCCCTGCCGATGAAAACCATCGGATTTATTCAGCAAAGTGAAGCTGTCGAGGTCGGGCAGGTGGCTGTGGACAGAGGTGAGGACCGAGGCTGTACCCTCCCGAGAAACCGCCGCAGTGAGGAGAGGAGCCCGGCCCCGGGGAGGCTGCCAGCCGCTCTGGACCAGGCCCTGTGCTGGGCGGGGGCCTGGACCCGGCTCCTGCCGACCTGCTGTCCCACATGGTGGAGCACTTAGCCAACTCGGGTTCTTCTAGAAGACTTGACGGATGGGCTGGGACGCCCCACTCCCCACAGAGCTGCTCAGGCCGCGATGCTCCACGTGCCAGAGCTCCTCGGTAGACGCTCCGACACCTGGGCGCCACAGACAGACGGACAGGATGAGGCAAGAGGCTTCACACAGCAGGTAGCGCTCCAGCGTGCCCTCTGCACTCTAATTTGCCCAGACAGTTTGGAGTGTTTCAGTGACTCAGGTGAGGAATCACAGACCCGCGGCTTCAGTTCACATCAAAGGGGCTCTATTGTCAGCTTTAAATTTATCTCTTAAAGAGCCAAGAAAAAAGTCAGATAAAATGGCAAGAATGCGCAAGAAAGGCAAGAAAAGGTGATCAAGGAAGCTGAAAGAAGCCATTCCCGCTCAGAGAAGGGAACGGTCACGGAAAGAACGCACTCAGATGGCACTTGGAGCGGCCGTTCTTCAGTGGACGGTTTTGTTTTGTTTTGTTTCTGTTTTTGTTTTTTTTGAGATGGAGTTTCACTCGTCACCCAGGCTGGAGTGCGGTGGTGTGATCTTGGCTCACTGCAACCTCTGCCTCCTGGGTCCAAGCGATTCTCCTGCCTCAGCCTCCCGAGTAGCTGGGATTATAGGCACACACCGCCACGCCCGGCTAATTTTTGTATTTTTAGTAGAGATGGGGTTTCACTATGTTGGCCAGGCTGGTCTTGAACTCCCGACCTCAGGTGATCTGCCCATCTTGGCCTCCCAAAGTGCTGGGATGACAGGCGTGAGCCACCGCTCTGGGCCCAGGGGACAGGTTTTGAATAGAAGCAAAGAACAGCTCTTGGCTTATGGAGGGAAGCCATTAGTAGGCAGGATGAACCGGGTGAATACACTGGAAAACACAGAACAGCTTTCGTGCCATTATTAGTAATGAGTTGTGAAGTCAAAACGAAAAGAAAACAGCTTTAAAAAACCATCAGGAGTCAAAAACAGCTTTCAGCCTCACCGTAAGGGAAGCTGGAACTAATAATATCTTTCCAGTGTTTACTTAGAGAATGATGTCACGGCACCGTCTCGTGGGGGCAGACAGAGGCACACAGGGCAGAGCCCTGAGAAATCCACTTTACCACTTGCCAGGCAGGTAAGAAGTAGCACGTCGCATTTTCAATATGCACACTGTTTGTTAATTTTTATAAATGTGTGACATTTTGTGATTCTTTCTACTTGTAAGTAAATGTTCACCTTTGTTCTCAATTCTGCACTCATAATTTTGCATTGTTTTCTTAAGGAGTGACCCGAATGATATCTGAGTCGGTCTGCATGATGCCCCACCAGCCTCTGTCTGCACTCTGGGTGTTGGTGTTGGTGGGGGCAGAATGGAAAGGACCCCTAGGAAGCATGGCCGAGATGCCCACGCGAGGGGAGCGGAATGGAAAGGACCCCTGGGAAGCGTGGCTGAGATGCCCACGCGAGGCATCCACTGCCTTCCATGATGGTTGCTTTCCTCACGCTTGTGATACGGCCCCAGGCAACGGGACCTGACTGCTGCTCATGCCCTTGGCGTCGACTTCTGCCGCGGCCTGGCCGGGAGTGCTCTGCTGCCTGGGACCGTCTGGCTCACTCCAAGGGACTCGGCCAACAACACTCCTATCTTAGTGCCTTGTAGAGACAAGAAAAGGGGCACGGAAAGGAGAAACGGCCCTTGTGGGCCACACAGCAGGGTGGGCCCCGGGCTGTGCATGGTGATTCCCTGCCCGAGAGTGGGCAGCCTGCCAGCACAGGCAGTGGCAGGGGTGGGGGGGCGGGGGTGCTGCATGGAGACCAGGTCTCTGAACTCTTCCGTGCTGGCTGTAAGCTGGCTGTGCCACGCTCATCCCTTCACCCTTCTCTTCTCCAGAGCTTACCGGGCACCTGCTGCGGCCGTGTTGGGACTCGGCATTGGGGAGACAGCCCCTCCCTGCAGGGGGCTTGTCATCTGAAAAATGGTTCCCCTAAAGACATGCCCAGCAGAATCCCTGGAACTTGCAAATCCTGCCTGGTGTGGAGAGAGAATGTTTGCGATTAAGTGAAGGTTGTTGAGATGGGGAGATTATCCGGGATTATCCAGAAGCACCCAAAAATGCAATCTCCAGTGTCCCTGTGAGAGGGAGACAGAGGAAGAGGGACTCCTACAGGAGAGGAGGCCGTGTGGCCACAGAGGCAGAGATGAGTGATTTTCCACTGGAGCCTCCGGAGGGGGCGCGGCCCAGAGGTTTCAGCCCAGTGATGCCTACGTCAGACCTCGGGCTCGAGAACGGTGGGAGGACACACTTCTGTTGTTTGAAGCCATCCAGGAATAGGTCTGTCACAGCATTCACGGGAAACCAATACATCCCTAGTTGCCTGGGCTCCCAGTCGGGGAGGGAGCCTATTGCCTGCTGTTCCTCAAACACATCCCAGGCCTCCTGCTGCGGGGCCTTGGCATCAGCTGTGCCCTCTGCCCAAGACTCTTGGCTCAGCCCCCACAGCGGGCTCCACCTCTCGCTTAGGCCTTTGTCCCGACGTCCCCCTACCTTGATCACCCTCCACACCCCCCCATCTTCTCCTTAGCACTTTTCTCCTGCCTCTGTCCCACACCGCCTGCTTGTTCCTCACGGTGGCCCGCTGTGACAGGGAGAAAGGAGAAAGGAAGCTGCTGCCAGATGCCTGGGAACCCCGGCTGGGCATCGGTTCCTCCAGTCCAGCCAGGACGGGGCATGGCCAGGCCTTGCATTTCGGGAGCTGCATCACCGAGTCAGGGTGTCAGGGTGTCAGGGTCTGAGCCGGCACGTGTCGCCAGGAGAAAAGTGTCTAAGGGCCACTAGAGCAGCGTGTGCCGGCCTTACACCCCCTGGAAGTGAGCGTGACTGTGCCCTCTCTCCTAGCATCTGCGTGCTGGCCAGCTGCCTGGCCTCTCCAAAAGCCTGGTCCCTGGTCTACAATGGAGACGTCATTCCCCTTGCTAGGCTCCTGTGGAGGCCCTGCAGGGAGTTGGCACATGGAAGCTTCCAGTAGCTGGCAGAATCGTCTTGCGTAAGGATCCATGTTCACCCACAGGTGCCCGTGGGCAGCTGAGCTGGGCGGCTGCAGCCACATGCGCTCCCACTTGGGCCCCTGGGGACCATCTGTTCCCCATTATATCTGGGGAGCTGACAGGACGTATGGATGAGCCTCATGATCTCACCACCGCTGGGAGGGTGGAGTCCGGCAACCAATCAGCAGCCCTGGCCCATCCGCCCCGTGGCACTGGGAGGAACAGAGCGGGCGGGAGCGCAGTCAGGCTTTGCGGTCCAGACAGACTGAAACAATCATCATTCCCGGGATTTTTACACCTGGCCTCCCACAGACCTTGGCATCCCACTGCTGGCTGGGCTGGCCTGGCCACAGGCCTGGCGGGGGAGGCCATGTGGGCATCTCTGGCCTCTGAGTTCCTGCCCAGTCTCTCTGACTGGGGAGACAGAAGGCAGGAGTGGACAGGGTGCTGGGCATCCCAACAGGGCCTTTGCCCAGTGCTCCCAGGAACGGAGCTTTCTCTTCCATGAAATAGGAGAAGTGATGCCTGCCAGGCTGGGGTACGTGGCTGTGAACCTCCGGTGGGGGAATGAAGGGAGCAGTGTGGTCACAGGGCTGAGCTTCCCCGAGGGGGCTCAGAGCAACAGACCCCCAGCAGCTGGCCCCCTCAGCCTTGTACCATTTGGCTGTGACTTTACATGGTCCCAAATCCAACTTTGCTCCCATTGGTGCTTTACACAAATTCCTAGTTGTTGGCTGATCAGACTGAACTTACACGCCTCTAGGGATGGGGTGCTCACTACCTCCTGAGGACTCTCTTCCACACTTGCACGGCTCTGACTGTTGTCTGCCTTCCCAGGACATCCATGCACCAGTCCTGGCTGTGTCCAGAGAGCCACAGGTGATGTCCTGGGGCCCCCATCCCCACATGGCCGCTCTTCAGCTATGTGCAGGCAGCAGCCTGGCCCCCAGACCTTCTTTCTCCCATCCCTCTGGTGATGGGCATTTGGGCCTCTTCACTATCACTTCCCTCTGGCTGTGCTCTGGTCCCACAGAAGATGTTGCTGGAAATGGCAGAACACGGGGTCCAGCACTTCCCGTGGTGCTAGTGCAAAGGTGCAGCGAGTCCCCACCCTCCCCCACCCTGGCCCCCCCCCCTCCCCCATGCCAGCCCCCACCGTCCCCCACGCCGGCCCCCACCCTCCCCCATGCCGGTCCTCCACCCTCCCCCATGCCGGTCCTCCACCCTCCCCCACGCCGGTCCTCCACCCTTCCCCACGCAGGTCCTCCACCCTCCCCCACGCAGGTCCTCCACCCTCCCCCATGCCAGCCCCCACCCTCCCCCACACTGCTGTTGTCCAGTGTGCCAGAACCCTCTGGCTCCCAGAACGAACCACGTGGGAGCCGAGCCTCTTTGCACCTCATATCTTCATTCATTCATTCATACCTTCATTCATTCATTCATGCAACAAATGTTGTTCAGAGTCCTACTACAGGCCAGGCACAGCCTGTCCTGGGTGTCATTCTCGACATGACAAAATGCCGTGGGGAGACCCGGCTGGAATTGCATTCTTGGTGGCGTGTTGTCATCTCAGCTGAGTGGGCGGGCCTGAGCAGGAAACGCCATGAAAATCATTTTTCTATTTCTGAGCATACTTGTCAGCTTAATGGGAATTTTAAGTGGTTTGCTGAACTTGCACTGTGTGAAGAACAGAACTTAAAAAGCCACATGTTCACTCTACATCGATTCTTTATCTCTCTCTTCTGTGTTTTCCCCCCAAAAGAAATCCATTGCTCACCGCACCGTTTACCAAGCTTCCCGCTAAGACCCTTTCCCCTCACGCGCTGGTGCGTCTTGGGGGCCCTCCCTACCGCTGGCAGTAGTCGCCAGGAAGACCCACGGGCTTTGCTTGGACAGCTTCAGGTCCCGGAGTGCCCCAAGGATGCCGGGCGTGTGTGGACCTGTCGCTTACAGGCGGCACTGCTTCCCCCTATAATGCATACATTGAAGCCCTAATCCCCAGGACCTTAGAATGTGACCTGACTTGGAAGTAGGGTCATTGCAGGGGTAATTAGTTCAGATGAGGTCCATCAGAGTCAGGCAGGCCCTTAATCCAACATGACCGGTGTCCCCATAAAAGGTGGATGTTTGGACCCAGCCATGTCCACAGAGAGAACGTGGTGGGAAGGTTACAGTCACGCTCCCCCAAGCCAAGGGACCACCAGGGCTGAGAGAGAGGCCTGGAACAGACCATGCCCTTGTGCCTGCAGGGGAGCCTGGCTCTGCCAACACCTCGATTTCAGACTTCCAGCCTTCAGGGCGAGGGAGAGCACGTGTCTGCTGCTCAACACCCCCGCCTGTGGGGCTGGGCATGGCAGCCCTGGGAATCCACCATAGCCACTCATAAAACAAACAAATGCCTGGAAAATGGAGCTGTCTGATGAAGGTTTACATTCCAGAGCGTCCACCAGGTAGACTATTATGGGGTGCCTCAATGGCGATTACCGACGATCACCTTAGAACCCATGAAGGCATGTGCTGCATGATGGGGGAAAGGCGTGAAGGCTGGCAGGTGCGCTGTGGACACAGGGCCCCAGCCTAACCCGGAGACTCCTTAGACAACGGGAATGAAACATGCTAAAGATCATCTCACAGAAAACTAGCCCCAGATGTGGCTCTCCACCCACTGCTTCTTTAGGAAGGCAGATTCCCCCTGGGGCAGGCCCCAGCCTCGTCCCCAGGACTGACGGGAACCGCGGGGTGTGGGACAGGGGCAGCCTCAGGGCGGCTCCTGGTTCCACCTAGCACAAGCTCACCAGACCCTAACCTCGTTTGCTTTTAGGCTTCCCAAGTGCCAGGGTCCTAGACCCCTCGTCCGTGCCCCGGCCACCGCCTGTCGAGGCCTCCGAGGTCAGCTTCAAGGTGTGTGTGTGGATGACCGGGCCCCCAGCGGTTGACCGGACCCCCAGTGGGCTCCAGAGCCATTCTGCCTTCTTCACCCTCACCCTCGTTTATGTTCCAAGAGTCCTGGGTTTCCTCAGGTGCAGCTTCAGGGGGCTCTGCCATGGGAGGCCGGTGTGCCGTGGGCTGTGGGCCATGGGAGGCCAGTGTGCTGTGGGAGGCTGTGTGCCATGTGCCATGGGCCTCCCCTGAGAGCAGCTGTTGTTTGTAACAAAATCGCCCTGTGTTGACGTCTTCGGCACAGCTCACGCTCACCTGCAGCTTCATGGGAAGCAGGCATCGCCTCGGTGACGCCTCACCGGGTCCAGGTTCGGGAGCCCCAGAGTCCTGAGAAGCAGAATCGTCAGTGCCCATGCATCCAGGGGTAGGCAAGGGCCCAAATCTCTGCCCGGCCACTTCCTGGCTCTGTGACCTCAGGAAAGGCACCCAGTGCTCTGGGCCTCAGCTTCCTGCACCTGTAACACGAGGACGATCATGCCCGCCTTACCAAGCATAGGATTGGGTGAGATTATGTGAGGGGTGGTCCAGTGCCAGGGTTCCAGGCAGTCACCACCACCACAGGCAAAGCCATGGTGCCCTCCTTGCTGCCCCGGAGGGTGTCAGGGGCCAGAGGATGGGCTGCAGCAGCGCCAGCTCAGGGGCTGGACAGAGACAAGGCGGGCTGGGGGCTACTGTTGCTGCCATACAGAGTCTTCCTCTGTCTGCTCGCAGAATCTCATGGCCGTTGCTGTTACAGGACACTGACTCGAGAGACGAGAGAGACACCAGAACGACACCCACAATTGCTCCTTCCATCTGTTCAGAGAACTTGGGGGTGCCTGCTGAGTGCTGGGCCCTAGTGGGGTGCTGGAGACGCTGTGACGAGGACTCCCCCCAGGAGGGGCAGGGATGCAGCCGTGGGCAGAAGTCATCCCAAGGAGGCAGGTGGTCACCCCTACACAGCCTGGGGCTGGCAGAGGAGGGGAGACCAGGGTCCACGGGGAAGGAAGTTGAAGGCTCAGCAGGCTTCGTGACCTTGCCTGGTGAGTGGGATTTGGACACCCAGGACGGGAAGGTATGGAGGGTGGGGGACGGGAGAAGGAGGACTAGGCTGGGAAGCAGTGAGCAGAACCACTGGGTGCACAGAGCCAGCTGTCGTGTGCACACCTGGTGCTATCAGGGAACCGTCGGGTGCACAGAGCCAGCTGTCAGGTGCCCACCTGGCGCTACCAGGGTCCCCACTTGGATTATGTCTGGTGGGTGGACTCTGGAGATGGCAGCTGCTGCTGTCTACAGCGCCCTGTGTCCTAAGACCTGCAGCTAGCCGACAAGGCTCCGGTGATGTCCTAGAGTGTCTCAGGACAGAGGGGGCCTGTGGAGCTCACTCCCTCCCCTCCAGCCGAGGCCTCGCCATGCCAATCTTCATGCCACCTTGCTGTTTCTTGGGCAACACCTGTGTCTCTGCCCAAGCTGTGACCAGGTGCAGGCCCCCGGCTATCGGCGTGGGAAGAGCAGCTTCTGGGGGGTCTTCTTAGGACCTGGAGAGCTGTGGCTGTGTGGGAGGGTGCAGGGAGCAAGTGTCCTCTTAGGGTCAGGAGCCCCCTCTGACCCTGGTCACTGTCCAGTCATCAAGTGGGTTGCCTGGGGTGGTGAGCAGCCTGTCCTTGAAGGTGTGAGCCGGGACCGTGTGCTCGGCTCAGCCAGACAAGTTTTCTCAAGCCAGAACTGCCCTGAGCGCTCGTCCAAGCGGCCCCCACCCCCTGTGCCAGCCTCGCTGTGCTGTGCAGTTCCAGTTCCATCACAGCAGTTCTTCCTCTGGATGGGGACAGACAGCCCAGCCCTGAATTATTCATGCTGACTCTTGCAGTCTCCGAGCTTGACACCCCATCAAGGAAATGCGTGGTAAATGCAGTGATTTATGCAGGTACTTAAGGCCACAGTGGCTCTGCCCAACCGCCTGGAGGTGATCCAGGCCCCATCTCTCCCCATGCAGGCTTCCTGGAGGTTCCTGGAGGTCTGGCAGTGCAGGTGGGCAGGACCCTTCCAGTTGGGTACCAGGAAGGGATGTGGCCTCTGCGGGGTGCCCCAAAGGGATCCCTCACCTGGAGTGCACTCAGAGCCCCCCTCCCCTGCTATCTGGGCCTGGGCTGAGCTCAAGGGTCCCAAGCAGAGGGAAGGCCAAAGGGGAACACTGCAGAGGGATGCTGGGAAACCCTCTTGCCAGCTCCTGTTCACTGCACTTCACAGTGACTGAGCCTGGGAAACAGCTCAGCTCACTGCAGTTGGGCAGAGAGGGAAACTGAGTCATGGGGTCATTTACCCAGGCCACATGATCAGTCTTTCCCCCATGATCTCTAGGATCTAGGCTAGTGGGGATCATATCTATATCTGGGCATCTCTCTGCCCAGGTTGAGCAATATGGACAAATCATTCATTCATTCATTCATTCATTCATTCATCTGTTCCCAGCTCAGCCACCTACTGGCCTGAGGCCTTGGGTTAGGGACTCAGCTCCCACATGCCTGGTTTCATATGCAGAATGGAGACGACAGCTCCTGCCTCACATCTGTGGTGGGAACGACATGAGTTAGTGCAGGTAAAGGGTTCAGAACAATGAGGTGCACAGAGCCAGCTGTTGGGTTCACACCTGGCACTATCAGGGTCCCCACTCGGATTATGCCTGGTGGCTGGACTCTGGAGATGGCAGCTGCCGCTGTCTACAAGGCCCTGTGTCCTAAGATGTACAGCTCGCTGACAAGGCTGCGGCAATGCCCCAGAGCTTCTCAGGACAGTGGGGACCTGTGGAACATCAGGCAGTACGCACTGGTCGGTACTTTTAGCAGGGCCTTTGGATGGAGCGAGAGGCCTCCCTGCCACACTCCAGCTCCTGACCCTTGTGCCTCAGGCCCAGACCCAGTCCTACCGACGAACATTCACAGAGTATTGCTGTGTGCAGGCCCCCAGGCTCAGGGCTGGGCTAAGCCACTGCAAGAAAGCCATCAGCAGCCCCTCCGCTGGACGCTCTTCTGGGATCCCTTGAATGGGGAGGGACCAGGACTGCTCCAGCCACAGCCTGGGAGAGCCACAGGGCAGGTGCCAGGCGGACTGAGGCTGAATGGAGAGAGAGAGAGAGAGAGAGAGAGAGAGAGAGAGAGAGAGAGAGAGAGAGAGACAGAGAGAAACCCCCCAGGCAGGCCGACCTGGGGATAGCTGAGCAGGGGCACAGAAAGGCAGGGACAGATGAGGAGGAAGGCAGAGACTGTGCCCTCCCTCAGCTCCTCAGCGGCGTGGGTTCCTCTGGCACTGACCTGACCCGGGAGGAGATGACGTCTGCCCCAGGAGGGCCCCCTGCTCAGATGAGGTGCCCTGTGGCAGGGAAGCCCAGGCGGCTGTGCAGAAGAAGGCTGGGAGCCCAGCCCACCCATCCGCAGTGCCCAGAGAAGCAGGCAGGGCCTGTCTGTGGCACAATGGTGCCACCCAGTGGCCATACCCCCAAATCGCACCTGTGCCAGGACCAAAGCTGGGCAGGCAACCCGCGAGAGGTGGAGGTACCCTGCGACCTGAATATTTAGTAAATACAAACTCCACGGGACACTCAGTTAAAGGAAGATTTCAGACGAACGTTGAGTAATTTCTTTAGAATGTGTCCTAAATATTGCACCGGACAAACTCACACTAAACAGTGTTTGTTTATCTGAAATTCATCTTTACCTGGGCTTCCTGTATTTTATCTGTACTTATTTACCTTAGCCTCAAGTGACTTTTAGGACAACAAAGGTTTACTTGGGGTAAACACCATTGGGCTGTTGGGCCTTGGGGTATAAAGGGGCGGTTCTGCTGCCTCCTGCTTATTTCCTGGGGCTTAGAGCAAACTGAAATAGACAGGGGCGCTTCCTTCGGGGCAGGCACCCTGCTAAGCAGTCAGGTATTTAATCCTCACGCACAACCCATGTGGGTAACACCACTGTGTCTTCACTTTACAGATGGGGAAACTGAGGCTCAGAGAAGCAAATCGACTTGCTCCTAACTAGAAGGTGACCTGCTGTGCACTGAATGTTTGTGGCCCCCCAGTTCCTTCCTTCCTTCTTTCCTTCCTTCATTCCTTTATTCTTTCTTTTTCTTTCTTTCTTTCCTTCCTTCCTTCCTTCCTTCCTTCCTTCCTTCCTTCCTTCCTTCCTTCCTTCCTTTCTTTCTTTCTTTCTTTCTTTCTTTCTTTCTTTCTTTCTTTCTTCTTTCTTTCTTTCCTTCCGTCCCTTCCTTTCTCATTCTTCTTTTTCTTTCTTTCTCTTTCTTTCTTTCTTGCTTGCTTGCTTGCTTTCTTTCTTCTTTCTTTCCCTCCCTCCCTTCCTTCCTTTCTCTTTCTTCTCTTTCTTTCTTTCTTTCTTTCTTTCTTTCTTTCTTCTTTCTTTCTTTCCTTCTTTCTTTTTCTTTCTTCCTTCTTTCTTTCTTCTTTCTTTCTTTCTTTCTTTCTTTCTTTCTTTCTTTCTTTCTTTCTTTCTTTCTTTCTTTCTTTCCCTCTCTCTCTCTTTCATTCTTTCTTTCTCTCTCTTTCTTTCGAGATGGAGTCTTGCTCTGTCACCCAGGCAGATTGTGCAGTGGTGCAATCTCCACTCACTGCAACCTCCGCCTCCTGGATTCAAGTGATTCTCCCGTCTCAGCCTCCTGAGTAGCTGAGATTACAGGCACACAGCACCACATCCGGCTAATTTTTGTATTTTTAATAGAGACGGGGTTTTGCCATGTTGGTCAGGCTGGTCTCAAACGCCTGATCTCAAGTGATACCCCCGCCTCAGCCTCCCAAAGTGCTGGGACTATAGGTGTGAGCCACCACACCCGGCCTGCTGCCCACCCCCCATTTCTATGTTGAAGCCCTGATCCCCAGTGTTAGGAGGGGACTGCAGGAAGTGATTATCTCATCCCACGGAAGGCCTCATAGAAGGATCGGTGCCTTTATAAGAAGAGACCAGAGTGTGTGCTCTCTCCCTGGCCTCCCACCACGTGGGGACACAGCATGGACCAAGCAAGACAGCAGAGAGCCTCATCAGACACCACTGTGTGAGCACCTTGACCTGGGCCTTCCAGCCTCCGGAGCTGTGAGGATGTCCACGTCTGTTGCTTCAGCCCCACAGTCTGTGTTACTTTTATTACAGCAGCTCGAACACACAAAGACACTCTCTAAGGGCTCCGCTTCGAGACACTGCCCCTCCCCTGCACAGACACCATTGGGGGTGACTGGTACATTGTACCGATCGGGAGCCTGGGAGAGTGGGATGATACCACGGACAGTGCCAGAGCTGAGACTGGCACCAACATCAGATGGGCCCTGCCTGAGGTTGGCAGAGAACTCTGCCTGTCTCTTTCAGGGGAGAAGAAGCCATGGAGGAGAAGTGGGGGGCATGCAGCTCCTGGGCCACCGAGCCCGGGCCGGGCCACTGCACTTCCCAGCAATGCTGTTCCCAGGAGGGCGTGCTGTGAAGTCCCCCAAAGAGCAGAGAGCGGCTGCAGCTGGCCTGGCTGCAGAGAGCCCACGGCCATCACAAGGGCAGGTGCAGCCCAGGGCCGAGTCCCAGCTCCAGGCTGGCTCCAAGGATGTGGGGACAGGCCATCTGGGGCTTGGGCTCCCTTGTCCTTCCCACCGTTCCAAGAGGGCTAGGTGAACACCCACTGTTCCAGGTGCCAGGGCTATGGAAGGGTCCAGGCAGGCACAGCTCCAGCCCCGTGAGCCAGCCTTCAGACCATGGGGACTGGGGACAGATGATTCTGTGGTTCTCGCAAGTTGGTTCTGGGGATTCTTAGGGGAAGGGGCTCCAGCTCTCTGTGGGGGTCAGAGGAGACCTTGGGTTGAAGCACACAGGAAGGCGGGAGTCTGCCGGGCTGGGGAGGAGAGCTCTGGGACAAACAGCACAGTGAGCACCAAGATCCAGGGGTAGAAGTGAGCTTGGGTATTCTAGGAACAGCGAGGTGGCCCGGGCAGCTGAGTGGCGTCGGGGAGGGGACACACCATGGAGAGATGAGTCAGAGGGGTCCAGACAGATGTCACCAGCAAGACCACCAGGAGCCGCAGGTGGGGAGCTGTGCAACCTCATGTATTTATGGGCAGGGAGACACCGTGACGTGGCTCCTGTAGGCGTCCAGGCCTGAGGGGTGGGGCCCGGGCCTGAGTGGGAGGGCTGGAGGGGGAGGATGCCCCAGATTTGGGGTTTGTGCTGAACATGGTGCCATCAGGATTTTCTGAGGGATTGATGTGGGGCACAAGAGAAACTGAGCCACAAGGACAATTGGAAAGCTCTGGACGGGGGAGATGCAGAAGACCGAGTGGGCTTCTATGCGTACTGAGTGGGACACCCCAGTGAAGGTGGCAGGGATCCCTTGGACACGTGATTGGGTGCACGCTCCAGTTGCATAGGCCGGAGGTCTGGGCTGGAGGCATGAACTTGGGAGTCGGCAGCCTGGGAGTGAGCCTGGGGACCTCCCCGGGGGAGGTCCTGCTCACTGCAGAGGCCCCGGCCCCAACTGCAGTCACAAGTACCTGCAAGTGTCACCACCTCACTGAGGCCTGGAGAGAGTTGTCCTGGCAGCCAAGGCAGACCTGTTGAGCCAAGTGATGTCCACCACCCCTGACAGCATCCTGCTCGCTGGTGACTCCCAGGAGAGTAAAGGGAAAGGCAAAGGGAAATCAGACTTTAAATGGGTGGGCCCCCTTCTCTCTCAGTATAGATGGGAAAATTGAGCCCCAGGAGGCTAAGGGAGATGCCTGAAGGACAGAGTGTTCTTTCCGGTTCTCTAGAACCGGAAAGAAAGTGTAATAGCTTCCCTGGCTGCCCTAACAAACCACCACAAACTTAGTGGCATAAAACAACACAGATGTGTTTTCTCACATACTGGAGGTCAGAACTCCAACAAGAGTCTCACTGTGTTAAAGTCAAGCTGTCAGCAGGCCCATATCCCTTCCGGAGGCTCCTGAGCAGAGAAGCTGTTTCCCTGCCTTGTCCAGCTCCCAGAGGCCACCTGCCTTCCTTGGCTCATGGTCCTTCATCCATCCTCAAAGTCAGCACCAGTGGGTTGAGTCCTCACATCACATCACTCTGGCCTCTGTTCCTGCATCCCTCTTTTACAGTGAAGGACCCTGTGATGACACTGGGCCACCTGCAAGTACAGAATAACCTCCCAATGGTAAGAATGGCTGATTCTCAGCCTGAATTCCACTGCAGCCTGAATTCCCCTTTGCCTTGCAGCCCAAGCTGTTCACAGCTTCAGGATCAGGACTCCTGCTCTCTGGGGACCCTTATTCTGCTGACCACAATCTCCAAGCTCAGACCAAGTCAGGGCCTTTCACCAGCTGCACCCTTCACCTGGAGTGCTCTTTCCCATGAACTTCCCCAGGCTTTCTTCCCCCATGCAAATCTCCGTGCTCAGACATCACCTTCTCCAAAAGGCCTCTGGCTAGGTCACCCCATCCCTGTTGTCCTCTCCCTTGCCTGGTTTTCCTCTTAGCACTGATCACTGCCTGGAATTGGGAAATGCTTGCATATTACAGGTGACATCATTAAGGTAGTGGAACATAGGTAACCTGCTCATATCCCCCCCAAAATAATTCTGTACCCAACCACAGTCAAAAGCTTCTCTTTGAGAACCTCAGGATTCAAGTAGGAGTTTGTGAAACCCCAGTGGAGCCCAAGACTGGGAGGGTTGTTTTGAGAGTGCAGACCCTCACCTAGGTGGCTGATCTGCCAAGCCTGCTCCCAGGTTCAAGCTCACAAATGGCCCAGTCTTCCAACGTGTTTAGCTACAGGTCCATTTGGCCTTGAGCCTACAACCAAAACCATAGGCCAAGGGCTCCAGGTGGAATCACACACATTAGTGCCTTGGCAGAAAGGCTTGTCTGCTCACTGACATCTGTTTTGGCAGTGAACCTGAATGTTGCCCTGTGGCTCAGATCCAGCCCCCTTCAGCTGAGGTCCCAGCTCAGGGATGCTTATACAAGGACCCAGAGGGGACTCACCCATATCTTGTAGCCTAGGAGTATGAACCTCCCTGATGGGGTCACCAACCTCCAACCCACAGTGGATCCTGAACGTGGCCAGTCTCAGCTTCAGCTCCTCTTGCTGCAGTCAGGCACCCATTCCACCTGTGCAGAGACCTGCTGGGAGGCATGCCAATCTGGGCCACCAGGAAAGTCTTCTGGATTCAGGTTCCTGGTCAGTATTCCCAGGTAGCCTCAGTACTTTCCTTGGCCTTCCCCAAGTCAATCTGGGCTGAAAAACCATGTCAACCCCAATTCCTTCACAAAACTTGGGGCAAGCCTGGGCTTAGCGCATCCTCCAGCTGAGATGGCTGCAGTGGTCATAACACTCAGGGGAATCAACAGTCAGTCTGCTTAGAATCCCTGGAAGGCCCTCTGAAGAAGAATAGGCACAGACAAAGCCAGACTGCAAATTAAAATAAATACCTAATCCTTCAATGCACAGACATCATCCCATGTCAACAAGCATCAAGAACATACAGGGAAATAGGAAACCAACATAAAATAGTACCAAAGACCAACGCTAAAGTGATTAAGATGTGTGATCTCTCAGACAAAGAATTCAAGATAGATGTTTTAAGGAAGCTCATTGAACTTCAAGAAAAATCAGAGAATCAATTGTGAAACTTATCACAGAATTTGACAGAGACATTGAAATAATTTTAAAAACCAAACAGAAATCCTGGAGGTGAAAAATGCAATGAATGAAATGAAGAATGAAATAGAGAATATCAACAGCCAGATTAATCAGCGCCTATTTGAAAATACACAAAAAAGGAGAAAAAATAAAAAGAATGAAGACTGCTTACAGAATCTATGGGACAATATGAAAAGAGCAAGTATCTGGGTTATTGTAGTTAAAGAGGGAACTGAGATAGAAAAAGGGGTAGACAACTTATTTCATTATTTCAAAGAAACAATAAAAAAGCTTTCCAAACCTGAAGAAATATATAGATATTCAGGTGCAGGAAAGTTAAAAATCACCAATCAGATGCAACTCAAATAGCAGTACCCCAAGACATATTATAATCAAACTTACAAAGGTCAAAGACAAAGAAGAGAGGATCCTGAAAGCAGTGATAAAAAGTAAGCAAATAACACAGGGAGATCCAATATACTTGGCAGCAGACTTCTCAGGAGAAACCTTATAGGCCAGGGTGGAGTGAGATAATATATTCAGAGTGGAGTGCTGAAGGAATAGAACTGTCAGCCAAGAGTACTGTACCCAACAAAACTTTCCTTCAGAAATGGAGGAGAGACACTTTCCCAGACAAATAAAAACTGACGTAATTTTTTGCTACCAAATCTTTCCTATGCGAAATGCTAAAAGGAGTTCTTCAAACCAAAAGAAAGAATTCTAACGTGATTGTGTCACTAATTTTGTAATCATAATGTGTAAAGCACTTATATTTTTACTAAAGATTAAAAGACAAAACTATTAAGAAACTGCAATAACTGTGATTTGCTAAGATATAGCAGTAGACATCAGAATTTTTTTTGTGACATCAAAAATTCAGATGTGGGGAGAGAAGGAAATTAATGTGTAGAGTTTTTTGTTGTTGTTTATTTTGCAATCAAAGTTAGGTTGGTATCCGTTTTAAATAGCTTGTTATAGCTATAAACTGTTTTTTATAAACCTCATGATAACCACAAAGCAAAGACCTATAACAGATACACTAAAAATAAAAGGCAATAAATTAAAACATACTACCAGAGTAAATTACTTGAGCACAAAGGAAGACAGTAGGAAAGGAAGAAAGGAAGAGAGAAGTTACAAAACAGTTAAAAAACAAGCAACAAAATGACAGCACTAAGTCCTTAGCTATCAATCATAATGTTGAATGTAATGGACTAAATTCTCCAATTAAAAGACATAGAGTGGCTGAATAGGTTTAAAAACAAGACCCAACTATATGCTGCCTACAAAAACTCACTTCATGTCTTCATGTATAAAGACACACAGACACTGAAAATGAAGGGATGGAAAAATATATTTCATGCAACTGAAAATAAAAAAGAGCAAGAACAGCTATAGTTTTATCAGATAAAATAGACTTTAAGCCAAAAAAATTGTCAAAAGAGACAAAGAGGGTCATTAAATAATAATAAAGGGGTAAATTCAGTAAGAGGATATAACAATAGTAAATATATCTGCACCCAACACCACACCACAATTTATAAAGTGAATATTAATAGATCTAAGGGGAGAAACAGTGCACAGTATAATAGTAGAGGACTTCAACACCCCACTTTTGGCAACAGGTGGATCGATCATCCAGGCAGAAAATAAACAAAGAAACATTGGAGTTAAACTATACATTAGACCAAATGGGCCTAATAGACATTTGCAGAACATTTCATCCAACTGCTACAGAATACGCATTTTTCTCATCAATACATGGAACATTCCCCAGGACAGACCATATGTTAGGCCACAGAACAAATCTCAACAAATTCAAAAATGTTGAAATCATATCAAGTATTTTTTTCTGACCACAATGGAATAAAATTAGGAAACAATAACAAGTGGAACTTTAGAAATTGTATGAATAGATGGAAATTAGCATGCTCTTGAATGACCAATGGGTCAATAAAGAAATTAAGAAGAAAAATTTTAAATTTCTTAAAACAAATGAAAATGAAAATGCAACATGCCAGAACCTATGGGCTACAGCAAAAGCAGTACCAAGAGGGAAGTTTATAGTAATAAACACCTGCGTTAAATATAACAGAGGCCAGTGGTAGTGGCTCACACCTGTAATCCCAGCACTTTGGGAGTCCGAGGTGGGCAGATCATGAGGTCAGGGATTTGAGACCAGCCTGGCAAACATGGTAAGACCCTGACTCTTCTAAAACTACAAAAAAAATTAGCCTGGTGGGGGCAGGCGCATGTAATCCCAGCTACTCAGGAGGCTGAGGCAGGAGAATCGCTTGAACCTAGGAGGGTGAGGTTGCAGTGAGCCGAGATCGCACCACTGCACTACAGCCTGGGCAACAGAGGAGATTTCATCTCAAAAAAAAAAAAAAAATAGACTTCAAATGAGCAATCTAATGATATACCTCAAGGAAATAGAAACTCAAGAACAAATCAAACCCAAAATTAGTCAAAGGAAAGAAATAATAAAGATTAGAGCAGAAATAAATTGAGACAAAAAAATACAAAAGATTAATGAAACAAAAAGTTGGGTTTTTTTGAAAAGATAAAATCAACAAATCTTTAACTGGACTATGAAAAACAGACAGAAAACCCAAATAAATAAAATCAGAGGCAAAAAAGGAAACATTACAACTGATACCATGAAAGAATCATTAGAGCGTACTGTGAACAACTATACACCAAAAAATTGGAAAACCTATGTGGAAGGAAAATAAATCTTGGGGCCCCCAAATCACTAAGGTAAAGGGAGAAGTCAAGCTGGGAACTGCTTAGGGCAAACCTGACTCCCATTCTATTCAAAGTCACCCCTCTGCTCACTGAGATAAATGCATCTCTGATCGCCTCCTTTGGAGAGGCTCATCAGAAACTCAAAAGAATGCACCCATTTCTCTCTTATCTACCTATGACCCGGAAGCCCCCTCCTGCTTAGAGTTGTCCTGCCTTTGCTTCAGTTGTCTCCTCTTTGTGGACCAAATCCATGTTCATCTTACATAAGTTGATGGATGTCTCATGTCTCCCTAAAATGTATAAAAACCAAACTACGCTCTGACCATCTTGGGCGCGTGTTGTCAGGACCTCCTGATGCTGTGTCATGGATGGGCATCCTCAACCTTGGCAAAACAGACTTTCTAAATTAACTGAGACCTGTCTCAAATATTCGGGGTTCACATTTTGGTAACCATGAAGGGATTTTGAGTGGAGATGCTCCTGACCATTGACAAATCTCCTATCAGTGCTTGTTACCAGCATATGCTAACTTTAGGCCTCAAGCCAGTAGGACAATTTGCTGAGGTCTGAGAGCACCCTCTTCGGAGAATCCCTGATCTCCCTAAATTTGGTCAAGATCTAAAGCTTATTTTGCTCTACAACTCCCCTTTTTTTTGGAGTTTTACTTGCTTCCAACAAGGAAGGCAAGATTTCCTGCTTCCATGATGATGGAAGGCAGGTAACTCCCTTATGGAGTTTCAGCTCACTCCCAGCAGGGAAGATGATTTTGAGTTTTTTTTTTTTTTATTTTAATGCTTTTAGGATGGTAGAAAGCAATCTTCAGTTTGAGACCCATCCTTAGGTAAGTAGTTGAATTAGAGTTCTGCCTTCGCTAAAGTTTAACAACAAACTGGTCTTAATTTCTCCTTACTTTTTTTTCTTTTTTTTTTTTTGGACGGAGTCTCATTCTGTTGCCCAGGGTGCGGTCTTGGCTCACTGCAACCTCTGCCTCCCCAGTTCAAGTGATTCTCCTGCCTCAGCCTCCCAAGTAGCTGGGATTACAGGCACCCACCACCACCCCTGGCTAATTTTTTTTTTTTTTGTATTTTTAGTAGAGACGAGGTTTCACCATGTTGGCCAGACTGGTCTGGAACTCCTGACCATAGGCAATCTGCCCACCTTGACCTCCCAAAATGCTGGGATTACAGGCGTGAGCCACCGCACCCCTCCTGTTTCTCCTTTTACTATTACAGCGCTCATTGATCATATTGTTGAGTTTTTGTTGTTGTTGTTTGTTCCGGTCTTTCTCCCATCAGATTTGACCAACTCTAATTGACTTGGTCAAATCTGAGTGAGAATTCCAAATTATGGGTAACAAACCCTCTCTAATTTGGCTGAAATTCCTTGCAGCTGCAAAAGAGGAAAAAAACAAAAAACAAAAGCCCAAAACAAAAAAAAACATGGGCTTGGTTTCTGTGTTTGCTTCCTGTCTTAAAAAACAACAACAACAACAACACACACACACACACACAGACACACACACACACACACAAACAAATGTTCTTTTGTTTACTTCTCTTCCACCCTATACCTCCTTCCCCCTTTGCCATCTGCAGTACCAAAAAACCTAGAGAAGGCTTCTAATGACTCAAACCCCTTTAAAGAATTCAGAACAAAGCCACCACTCACCCCTTTTGGAGTGTTCTGTTTCCTTTATGAAGCTTCCAAAGTCATGGGCAGATTCTTCTTAGGTCTAAAGCTCTGTTTTCCTGTATTGCATGACTGCCCTCTTTGGCTTTGGGGATACCAGAGATGACCTTGTACTGTGAGAGGACTTGACCTTGGCCTGTGTAATGGTGGATAAGGGCTACAAACTTCGGGGTGGCTGAGCACAGTTTACAGGAATGGTCTTGGTTATTTTTTATTTTATTTTTTTTCTCCTAGGAAGTGGTTGTTTAAGGATCCTAATTCTAGTTTGGAGATGCATTCTAAAGGGTCTTCTCTTTTGCCTTTTCTCCCCAAGTTAATCTTAATTCAGCTTGTCTGTGCACATTTGCATGAGGAACTGAACTGTTGTTTTCATAGGTAGATGAGAGGCCGAGTTTTCTCAGCTATAAAGAGAAAGGGCATTTGCTTTTGGCAAGCAAAAGACACCCCTGGGTGATCAGGGGCCTCATGGGAGTGTCTGGGGTGATTACCCCCTATGACTTGCAGTGGCCTTATGGGGAAATCCCCAATACAAATTAATTTTTTAAAAGGCTCATCCAGGAAATGCATGTAAGGGCTGATCACCCAGCTTTTTAAGCCCTCTTAGAGGTCATAGACCTCTGGAAACACAAACTGAGACACATAAGAGGGTGGCAGTGAGTTGGTGGTGAAACACTGTGGAATCCGGCCCACAAGCAGCACACATCGATTTACCACACAAGAACCTGGGCCACAGCTCAGCTCCTCCTTTAAAGAAAAAAAAAGCAGGAAACAATATAAGAATGAGGAGAAAACAAGGAGAATTTGAGATGGAGTCTCGCTCTGTTGCCCAGGCTGGAGTGCAGTGGTACGACCTTGGCTCACTGCAACCTCTGCCTTCTGGGTTCAAGTGATTCTGCTGCCTCAGCCTCCTGAGTAGCTGGGATTACAGGCATGCGCCACCACGCCTGGCTAATTTTCTATTTTTTGGTAGAGATGTGTTTCTCCATGTTGGTCAGGTTGGTCTCGAACTCCCGACCTCCGGTGATCCACCTGCCTTGGCCTCCCAAAGTGCTGGGATTACAGGTGTGAGCCACTGCACCCAACCACTCCATAGGTTTTATGTCACCTCTACTTGTCAGAGTCTAGGGAAATGAAAGTAATATGGTCTTTGTGCACTTTTACATTAAGAAAAAGGGGCCCTAAGGTTGAGCTGCAAACTATAGCGTTCCAAAGTTCCCTTTTTTCTCTATTTTCTTTTCTGCCTGCTGTTACTTTTTTACCGAGATAAAACTTGTTTGGATCTAACAGGTTTTTTGTTTGCAGGCTGGTGAATTTGTATTTATCTCATGGTTAAAGTTCTGAAGTAAAAGCTATAGGATCTTTGTGTGTGTGTGTGTGTGTGTGTGTATTTAAAACACCTTTATAATTTCTATAATTTTATGTTTAATTGGCAGTTAAATCCATTTTTTATTTCCCTCTAGCACACCAGACATTTTCTCTCTGTACCTTATGATGTAAATTTTGCTATTTGATTTTCACCTGAGTTGTTTCCTTTAATATGCAAATTTAAGGCTATTTAGCTGACAACTGCCTAGCATAGTGAAACAGGTTATCAAGAATTTGAAAGTCTAAGATAGGAAAAAAAAAGCTTTTTATGAATCTGTAAGATCTACTTCTATTGGCATGCCTAATACATGTGTGTATTTATGTGTTTTGTACACAATGCTTCACCACTGAAAATATATAAAAGAGCTCTAGTTAATTGGCTTAAGAAAATAAAAGTGCTTGAATCAAATACTTTATCAGGAAAAAAGAAAAGACTGGTCAAATGCTGTTTCAAGTTTATGTAACTTAAATCTTTAATAAATAAACTAGCTATAAATTTATTGGTAAAGTAATATTAAAAATGCCTTAAGAATTTCCAGTATACATTTTTGTTTGCATTTATTAATCAAGCAATTTCATACTTATCCCTGCCAAATACTATAAGGTGTCAAAATTTGGCATAGAGGCTACACAACCATAAACCCAGCCCAAGACAGAATGATCTTTGTTTATGTAATTTTTAGTAACTAGGCATTGGTATTGGTTTGATGAAGATAGTAGTAAGATTACCATAACTTCTAATCTAGCGGCCTTAGGTGGTCTAGTCCACAGGCAATAAGGTTTGTTTTGGGCAAGGAATGTTATCATCTTTGTTTCAAAGCTGAACTATAAGTTCCTCCCAAAGTTAGTTCAGCCTTCACCCAGGAATGAACAAGGACAGCTTGGAGTTAGAAGCAAGATGAAGTCAGTTAGGTGAGATCTTTTTCACTGTCTCAGTTATAGTTTTGCAATAGCAGTTCCATAACTTTAAATAATGACTATTGCAGTTTTCATAAATAATCTAGGCAAATGATTAAAATAATTTGGTGAATGTAATGGGATAAATACTTGTAGACAAACTTGTCATAATTTAGAATCTAAAGTTATATTAAATAACAGATATTTCATTATTTGTACATTTTCCAATAAAAATATATTGTAGGAAAACATTCTTTCTATTTTAAAGTGTGCCCTTTCTAAAAAGGTGAACAATTTTTGTTGAATTCAAAGTTTATTTAGAGGTTATGTATAAAGGTAAAAGGAACCAGGAAAAGGAACCAGGAAATAAGAGAGATGTAAAGAAAGTTAGAAAAATAAAGAGGTTTTTTGGTTAAAAAAAACTTAAAGAAAAATAATTTTACATGGGAAAGAATCTTTTGTGGTAAATTTAATCCTATAATAAAATGACTGGTTGTTTAAGAAACAGCGTTGTTCAGGACAAACCAGAAAGTCCAAGCATATCATGAACAGGTTGTTTAAGTCACTATAAGAGGATTTATTTAAAAAATACTTTATATGATCAAGTCATCTATAATTAAAGGGAAATTATAATGGTTTTTCTAGAGATTGGGTTTGATGTAAAAAAAACTACTTTTACACTAAATAATTGGTTAGAACAATAAAATTTTCTTAAGAGAATGATAAATTATGAAATTTTAATAAATTATGAGATTTTAATTTTTTTGACCCAAAGTTCAACTTTTATTGCATCTCGCCATTTTCAGTTTTCTCTACCCTTTTAAAGGATGCAAAGTACTAACAATCTCCTTCAATTCATTTTTGGCTCATGTAAGATTTTTCCTCAAGTTCTGTTTGTTGTGGCCTGATGCTAACAATGTTTTCTTAAAGGTCAAAAGAAAATGTTTTCTTTCAACATAATATTCTGTGCAGTGCAGGTATTTTCTTTTGCCTTTTGGTAACTGGTCTAACAGATTTTATGGTTTATCAAAACAATTCCTGTGCCATTATGATTAAGTTTTGGTTTGCTTAGAAAAAAATGAGATTAAAAAATTTTTTTTTAAATTAAGGTCATTACATTTCTACATCTTTCTGTATAGGCTTTTAAAGTCCTTCTGACATTGAGTTACAGGGCCTTGATTCCTGGATCTAAAAAGGACACCAAGTCCTGCTAAATCTTAAATACTGACAACAATTAAAGCCTCATCTTTGGCCAGGCATGGTAGCTCACGCCTGTAATCCCAGCACTTTGGGAGGCTGAGGCAGGTGGATCACGAGGTCAGGAGATCAAGACCATCCTGGCTAACCTGGTGAAACCCCATCTCTACTAAAAATACAAAAAATTAGCCGGGCTTAGTGGCAGGCACCTGTAGTCCCAGCTACTTGGGAGGCTGAGGCAGGAGAATGGTTTGAACCCGGCAGGTGGAGCTTGCAGTGAGCAGAGATTATGCCACTGCACTCCAGCCTGGGTGACAGAGCAAGACTCCATCTCAAAAAAAAAAAAAAAAAAAAGCCTCATCTTCAGGCCCAGTAGAAGATGCCAATCAAAATAAACTGCATTCCTGAGACACAGAAATTAAAGCTATTCAGCTCCTCAGGGCCCAGGGACTATCACAAAAGAGGTGGACATGTGAGATTGTAAGGGCCAATTTTGAGAGAGAAAATAAGTTGAGTTTCTCTATAATCATTAATCTCAAAGTCACACTGATGCAAGACCAGCATATGGGCCCCTGTGTCAGATTAACAAGGTTTTCTTGAAGCATTAACTGACTCCTTAATAAAGGTTATAAAGGTTACAAAAGGCTTACAGAAGTCATATCTTATGGTCAAGATTAAAATTTTATAGACTGTTTATAAAATTTTGAAAAACAAATGTAATTGGCTTCATGCTGTTTTATTAGGTCTTATTGTTTGGAAAATTAAGTCTCCTCTCCCAAAGAATGAAGGTTTTCACCTTTTTTTTGAAATCCTTGAGTTATCACTTTGGTCAAATTGATGACTTATTTTATAGTAACCTGTGATATCAAGTGTCTTAAAACTTTGATATTTGACAAAACTTTCCAAAATCAAATTGTGAGTTATGTATTTTTCTGACCTAATTAATCCTTTAATATATTAGTTTCCCTGAAGTCCAAAATTGATGTAATTTGGTTTATTTTGTATAAAAATTATAAAGGAAGTATTGTCAAATATGAAATGTTTGGTTTTCTTTGGGCTGAATTTGTTTAACTATGTTATTGGTATGTGTTCCAAAATTATGGGATACTTCTATAATTCTGATATGACTTAGTGTACATTATCAGTAATAATTATAATTGTTACATAAAATTATTGTATTCCACAGAGGTAACAAATTTCCTTGTCAATTGTGTTTTTGACTATGGCTGCCCTAAAATTTTTTGTCATCCACAGACAATTGTTGTCTTTTTTTGGTCCTCTTTAGAAGGTGGTTTTTGTTTTAGTTTGTTTTTTGAGATGGAGTTTCACTCTTGTCTCCCAGGCTGGAATGCAGTGGCACAATCTTGGCTCACTGCAACCTCCGCCTCCTGGGTTCAAGCAATTCTCCTACCTCAGCCTCCTGGGTAGCTGAGATTACAGGCACATGCCACATCACCTGGCTAATTTTTGAATTTTTAGTAGAGATGGTGTTTCACCATGTTGGCCAGGCTGGTCTCAAACTTCTGACCTCAGGTGATCCACCCACCTTGTCCTCCCAAAGTGCTGAGATTAAAGGTGTGAGCCATCATGCCCAGCCAGAAGATGGTTTTACAATAAGCTATAAAACTCTAACAGATGCTCTTAAACGCAGGTTTCTGATAACTCTGGAAATGGTGACATCAGAATATAGGAAAAACTTTCAGGACTCATGGACAGTTGAAATGTTCATGAATATCAAGCAGAACAGAAATTAACTGCATGGACTGAACTAATAGAAGACTGAAGTAATCCTTTTGACTTTTTGCATAAAACATTGCCAATCCTTTGTTTTGTTTTTCAGAGTCAAGAAAACTTTTATTTTGTGCTATTGACAGCTTTTACCAATTTAGTATACTCTATGAACAAAACTTGGAGCATATTTGTTTCTCTCTACCTGATTTCTCCAGAATTTGGAAACTATCTGTGAGTATTCTTACCTTATGCCAATAGTATTATTTGCATAAATTCAATAAGAATGTGTTTTCATTTGTAACAAGACACAATTGGGGAAACTGGTTATTTTACCAAGACTTTGACTGGAATGGTGTGGTTTCCTTTAAGGAATCAAACTTGACTTATGGAGCCAATAAAAGCCCCTTGGGAAAACTGGCCTTACACATTGTCTACACAGTCCGTGTACAGGGTTCCTGACCTGTGGTAAAGAATTCCTCTAGCCCCAAGCGTAAAGGAATTCACCCAACTCGTAGGTATTTGATGGTACAAATCCATGGCTGGGCTGAGCTTTAAAAAATCTTATCTAAGATTCCTTCTTCAGAACAAAGTTCCATCAAAGCCAATTTAAAAGTCTGTGTAAAAAAATAATTATTCTTGTTGCACTGCATACAAATAATCAGGCCAAGTATAATAAAGCAAATCAATCCTACAATGATTTGTCTTTAGTAAAAATGGGAAACTGGAGAGAGAAGAATTATATTTCAAAAACTATAGGACACCTGTTTTTAGTGTCTAGTCTTGCCTAATGTTTTTTGATTTTTATTATTTTCTACAATTTGGACCAAATTCTAATTTTTCTTGGTTACAAGTCTTCAAAATAGTGTTTTAAATTTTGTTTCCATCTTTTTTCCCGTGTTTCCTAATTTGGAGTCACTGAAAACTACACTGTGCTTTTGTAAAGCCCTGGGAACTGAAACTAGACAACTTAAACTTCAGAAGAAAATAACAGCAACCTGTTTACATACAGAAGTGACTTACATATCTGCCTGCTGATGTATGAACTTCAGAGTAATATGGGCCTATATTAATTTTCCAGCATTGTTCTTTTGTTTGTTGTTGTTTTTCTCCCTTCCTCCTCCTATTTTCTCTTCATGGGACATGAGACCTCACAACCTGCTAAAAATGAGCTTTCCTAATAACTTGGGACCCACCTGTCTAGGAATAAACTGTCCCAGCCATGAGAGACCAGATGAAACCTGAGACCAGAGACTTATTGTCTTCTAAAATGTTTTCTCCAAAAAATTTTTAAAAGAAAAGGGGAGAAGACCGGGTGCAGTGGCTCACACTTGTAATCCCAGCACTTTGGGAGGCCAAGGTGGGCAGATCACCTGAAGTCAGGAGTTCAAGACCAGCCTGGCTGACGTGGTGAAACCCCATCTCTACTAAAAACACAAAAATTAGCCAGGTGCAGTGGCATATGACTGTAATCCCAGCTACTCAGGAGGCTGAGGCATGGGAATTGCTTGAACCCGGGAGGTGGAGGTTGTGATGAGCCAAGATCACGCCACTGCACTCTAGCCTGGGTGACAGAGTGAGACTCCATCTCAGAAAAAAAAAAAAAAAAAAAAAAAGAAGGAATGAAAGAAAAGCAGGCTATGTGTAAGGAAAATAAATCTTGGGGCCCCCAAATCAGTAAGCTAAAGGGAAGAGTCAAGCTGGGAACTACTTAGGGTAAACCTGCCTCCCATTCTATTCCTAGTCACCTCTCTGTTCACTGAGATAAATGCAGATCTGATTGCTTCCTTTGGAGAGGCCAATTAGAAGCTCAAATGAAGGCAACAATTTGTCTCTTATCTACCTATGACCTGGAAGCCCCTGCCCACTTCAACTTGTCCCAGCTTTCATTCTAGTTGTCCTGCCTTTCCAGACCAAACCAATGTTCATCTTACATATGTTGATTGATGTCTCGTGTCTCCTTAAAATGTATAAAACCAAACTGTGCTCTGACCACCTTGGACACATATCATCAGGGCCTCCTGAGGCTGTCTCATGGGCATGCATCCTCATCCTTGGTAAAATAAACTTTCTAAATCAACCGAGACATGTCTCAGATATTTGGGGTTCACATCTAGAAGAAATGGATAAATTCCTACACACATACAACCTACCAAGATTGAACCATGAAGAAACAGAGAACCCGAACAGACCAAAAATGAGTAATGAGGTGAAATGAGTAATAAAAAGTTTATCTTGAAAGAAAAGCCCAGGACCTGATGGATTCACTGCTGAATTCTACCAAACATTTAAGTAGAACTAACACCAATTCTACCCAAACTATTTCAAAAACTTGAAGAGAAAAGAATATTTCCAAACTCATTCTACAAGGTCAGCATTACCCTGACACCAAAACTAGACATGGATGCAACAGAAAAAGAAAATTACAGGCCTGTATTCCTGATGAAAATAGATGCAAAAATCCTCAACAAAGTATTAAGAAACTGAATTCAACAATACATTTAAAAATGCATTCACCACAATAAAGTGGGATTTATTCAATGGATGCAAGGATGGTTCAACATATGTGAGTCAGTGAACATGATACATCACATTAACAGAACAAATACCATATGATCATTTCAATAAATGCTAGAAAAACATTTGATAAAATTCAGCATCACTTCATGATATAAAAACTCTCAACTATTTGGGTATATAAGGAACATACCTCAAGATGATAAAGACCATATATGACAAACTGCAGCTAATGTCATACTGAATAGGGAAAAACTGAAAGCCTTTATACTAAGGTCTGGAACAAGACAAGGCCTTTCCACTTTCACCACTTCTATTCAACGTAGTACTGGACATCCTAGCCAGGGCAATCAGGCAAGAGAAAGAAATAATGGACATCCAAATTAGAAAGGAAGAAGTCAAATTTTCCTTGTTTGCACATGACATTATCTTAATTCGCCAAAAAACTTAGAACTTATAGACAAATTCAGTGAAGGTGCAGGATACAACATCAACATGCAATAACCAATAGCCTTTATATATGCTAATGGCGATCAATCTGAAAAAGAAGTCAAGAAAGAAATCCCATTTACAATAGCTACAAAAAATATTTAGGAATAAATTTAGCTAACAAAGTGAAAGATCTCTACAAGAAAAACTATAAAATATCAATGAAAGAAATTGAAGAAAACACCAAAAAAAGGAAAGGTATACCATGCTCATGGATTGGAAAAATTGATATTGTTAAAATGTCTATACTACTCAAAGTGATCTACAGACTCAATGCAATTACTATCAAAATACCAATGATATTCTTCATATAAATAGAAAAAAACCATAATTCATATAGAGTCACAAAAGACCTTAAATAGCTAATGCAATCCTGAGCAAAAATAACAAAACCAGAAGCATTATACTACAAAGTGCTAGTAATGAAAACAGCATGATGCTGGCATAGAAACAGGCACATAAACCAATGGAACAGAATAGAGAACCCAGAAATAAATCCACGTACTTGCAGTCAACTTATTTTTGATGAAGATGCCAAGAAAAATACAGTGAAGAAAGAATTGTCTATTTAAATAAAGAACTCAAACAATAGCAAACAAATAATTCGATTAAATAAATGGGCAAAAGACCTGAATAGACGTTTCTCAAAAGAAGACATAAAAATGGCCAACAGATATATGAAAAAATACTCAACATTACTAATTATCAGGGAAATACAAATAAGAAGCACAATGAAATATCATCTCACCCTAGTTAGAATGGCTATTATCAAAGAGATAGAAATAACAAATGCTGATAAGGATGCAGAGAAAGGGGAATGCTCGCACACTGTTGCTGGAAATGTGAAGTCATTACGGAAAACAGTGTGGAGGTACCTCAAAAAACTAAAACTAGAACTACCACATGATCCAGCAATCCCACTGCTGGGTATATACCACCACCCCAAAAGGAAATCAGTACATCAGAGAGATATCTTCACTTCTATATTTATTGCAGCACCATTTCCAATAGCCAAGATATGGAATCAACCCAAGTGTCCATCAATGATGAATGGATAAAATGGAAATGTACCTGTACACGATGGAATATATTATTCAGCCTTAAAAAAGAATAAAATCCTGTCATTTGCAGCAACATGGATGGAACTGGAGAATATTATGTTATGTGAAATAAGCCAGGCATAGGAAGACAAATATGTGTTCTCATTCATATGTGGGAGCTAGAAAAGTGGATGTCATGGATGGAGAGAGGAGAACGGTGGTTACCAGAGAATGGGAAGGGAAGGGGGAAAGGAGATGAAGAGAAGTTGGTTAAGGGGTCAGTACAAAATTTCAGCTAGATAGAAGGAATATGTTCTAGTATTCAATAGTGCAGTAAGGAAATTGGAGTTAACAATAATTTATTGTATATTTCAAAATAGCTAGAAGAGAAGAATTGTAATGTTTCTAACTCAAAGAAAAGACAAATGTTTGAGGTAACAGACATCTCAATTATCCTGATTTGATCATTCCACATTGTAGCAAAATATCACATGGACTCTCAACAGATGTAGAAAAAATTAAGTTGCAAAAAAAAAAAAAAAAAAGAGAGAGAGACAGAAAAAAACATATTTGCATATTGCATTATATTTCTTTACGGTTGATCTCCGGCCCAGAGTGCAGGTACCATAAAGATGAGATTTTCTGTTTTGTGCACTGCTATATCCCAAGCATCCAGAATCATGTCTGGTGCATCAAATGATCCCGTGGACGAATGCGCTGATATGAGTGATGTGAACATGACTCTCGAACACGAAGGAAATTCTTCAGCAGGCAGAGGGGTGAAGCTTTGGGCCCTGTTAGATGTTGTCTGAACTGAAATATGGGCTGTGAATGTGACATTGAGCTGCAGCCCCTGATGGAGAGATTGGCCTGTGCAGGGTTACAAGGGGATGTGCTTGTTATCCACATCCCGGGAAGGCAGGGAGGAAACCAGAGAGAAACTGGAACTGCAATGAAGTCCCAACGAAGCCCCCACTGACCCCATGGCAACTCTGGAGCAGGGCAGCACTTCTGAGTTGAATGGAATCAGGCTGAGTGGAGTTGGCCTGTTGTACTTCCAGCTCACCAGCCATCACCTGTCCCTGGGGTGAGCAGTGACCATGAGAGGCAAAGAAGGCAGACAGTGAGGGTGTATTCCTGCAGCACTTTGGTGCCCTGGGAGAAAGACCTCACTCCTAAAGGGGGATTTGGGCAGCATAGTGGGTGGTCCACACAGTGTCCAAATCCACAGAAGGGCAGAGGGGCAGGAAAGGATTCCAGGAACCTGTTTGGAAGCACTTGGGGTGGAGAAGGGGCATGCGGCAGGACAGGGTGAGCGGCACCCCTCCAATGCCCCTCCCAGCTGTGCCTGGCCAGGGCGCAGGTGACGTGCCCAGCTCCGACCGGCTCCCTGGATGGCCGAGGGCAAGTTGCCATGCGTCTTTGGGTCTCAGTTTGACTACATCTGAGGCACAGAATCTGTTGTTTCTAAAATGTGTCACAAAATGTCCAGATGTCCCCCTAAAATGTGTCACAAAATGTCACAGATGTCCCCCTACATCTGTTGTTTCTAAAATATGTCACAAAACCCCAAAATATTTGCTGTTCCCACCCATTTTGGCATTTGTGTCTTGAAATGTATTTTTATTCTCTTGTTGAATTGTGATGATTTGATCAATCCCAAAGGCACCTTGGGCATCTGCCCCGAGGGACAGGACGCAGCCATGGCTCCCCCACCCCATGAGAAGCTCAGGTGTCCAGAAACAGGCAGACATGGAGCAGAGGGGAGCAGGTATGTGGGGGGCAGCAGTAGAGGGGGTAAGTCCGGGGGCTTCCTGAGGAGGGCCAGGAGGAATTAGCAGTTTCAGGGGTGCTGTTCTTCATGGGGGTAAAAGTCCCATTTCCTTGGGGCTTCTGCAATATGGCCCCAGCTGGGACCCCTCCCTCTAGCCTCTGGATTCTGTCTTGGGGTGGCACAGATGGAAGGCAGGGCCCGGACGGCACCTGCAGCTGTCACCTGACCTCTCACTGCTCATCTGTAGGATGGGCCAGCGACACCCACCTGTGAGCCCCCTCCCACCTTCCTGACGGTCCTGTCCTCTAAGGGAACTCTGCCAGGCAGAGAAGGGTGGCTGCTGACAGTCCTGTCCTCTAAGGGAACTCTGCCAGGCAGAGAAGGGTGGCTGCACCTCCACCCCACCCAGGTCCCCCAAGGCGTGCCATATCCCTCTTCTCTCACCAGCTGCTCTGTCTCCTCCCTGCTGGCCTGGGCGAGACAGAACCTAGGGGCTGCCTTTCTGTCCCACACAGGCCCTCAGCCCCCTGGTCCCCAAAGCTCAGCTGGACACAGGCTACAGCAATGAGACAAAACTCAAAGGGCCCAGAAATAACACCAGGAAAATAGCACAGAGAGACTGGTGGCCTCCCCACCACGCCCTAGCCCAAGAACCCTGCTGTGGCGGGGCGGTCCCTGGCTCTCAGCCTTGGTGGCTGCCCTTCCTCCAACATCCCCAAAGAGAAGCAGGTCCCTTTTCATTATGGGCATGCCCTGGGACCCGCCTCTCCTGGGGGCTGTCCAAGGGCCTCACCCCGCCAGCCCACACTGCCCAGCTTCCTCGCGAGGGTTACACAGACGGAGCACCGACCCGAGGTGTGCGGAAGAGGGGTCCGTGATGCTCCAGAGCAGCCCCCACACACCTGCAGCTCCCTTCCCAGTCTCACCCTCCCCATCCCCTGAATCCTAAGGATTGTTCAGCACAGAGCTGTGAGCCGAACATTGTGCTGGTGCTTGGGGCCTCCCTGCTGGACAAGACAATCACTCCTCCACTCATTCACTCTCTGGGCTACAGTGTCTTTGCGCAGGGAGTGCGTGTGGCCCCAGCCCTGAAGGAAACAGCTGTCCTGAAAGAAATACCCAGCTCCCTCCTGTGGAAGCTCGGGGCCTCCAAGAAGCCAGGACAGCATCTGTTGGATTTCCTGGGGCCCTGGGGAGGGCACAGGAGAGAACCGGAGTGGGGAGGGGCGTCAGGGAGGGTGGGGTGGGCAGAGGCACAGTTCCTGAGCAGCGCTGTGGAAGCTTCCACTGGCCCCCAGGCCACTAGGAAGTCCTGGAGCTGGAATCCCCTCCCCCGGGAGCCTCCCGCTGTAGTCAGCCATCCCGGTGTGGGGTGTGGGCGCAGCGACGGAAGGCTCTGCAGACAGCCGATCCCGGGGGCCCAAGTCCATGGCCCAGAAACAACTTTTGAAATGTATTTGGGCAACTGTCCAACCTGGAAACCTTGTAGGAGGAAGGGCCTTGTGTTATTCTCCAAACAGCTGCACCGGGTTTGATGGGCACCCGGACTACTGCAGGCCTCACGACTGCAGTGTGACCGCGCGGCCGTGCACACCGTGAAGCTGGCACCATGTAGGGTACTGATCATGTCCTCCCGGAGAACCAGGGGGCTGCCAGACCCGAACTCTGTGGGTGCAGCAGATGCTGCGGCTGCACCCACCCCGTGTGGCCTCGGCAGACCCAGGGCCCTGGGAGTTCTCGGTTTACCCATCTGTGAAATGGGCTGCTCCCAGCATCACTGCTCTGTCTCTGACCCTCCTGGTGACGCTGGGGTCACATTGGTCTCCATCTGCCCTCATGTCATCCTCAGATGTGACTAGCTCAGGCAGAAGAGCTGGCGAGCATCTAACTCTGGCTGTCTCCGGGGAGCAGTCGTCTCATCTCCTTACCCCTTGCAGATACTAAGGACCCACGTGGCCCCATCAGCTGGGACCAGGAGGAGAGCCCTGGCCTGTGCACGAGCTGACTTTCTATCTGACACAGAGAGCCTGTGGTGCCGTCTTTGGTTCAATGTAACGCCAGGGTGAGAAACGGACAACTTCTAGCCTCCAAGGAGACCCTGGGGCATGGCGGCAGACCCTCGCTGCACTGAAGGGTCTCCGGGGCTCCAGGACCCAGGCAGCGAGCGGTGCGGCCCCACCTCTCCACCGTCCGCCTCTGGGAGCCTCGGTTTCCTCAGCAGGGATCATGACACTTCATGGCTACTCTCATTCAGGGGGAGGCTGTGTCATCGCCACTTTGTAGATAAAGGAAATGAGGCCCAGAGACGTTGATTAACCACCCAAGGTCACACAGCCAGAATCTAAGCCCAGGTCTGTCCAAGGCCTATCCAGATTTTTCTTCCAGGAAGGCCCTCCCTCTTCTTTCCCGTCTTCCCATCACCCATCTCTTTCCTCTTCCTGTCCTCTTCTCACCTCTTCTTGCCTCCCCTCCCCCTTTCCCCCCTTCTTCCCCTCTCCTCCCTCAATTTCTCCTTCCTTCCTCTCTCCTCCCCAAGCTCTCAGGTGAACTTGCGTCCCACCTCTTATGGCGAATGGTCAGCAGGTGGCAGCAAACCCCGCCTTCCTGCGCTGTAGGAGGCGGTGGTCAACCTCTCCTGCAAACTCTCCACCTTTGAATATTAAGAACAATATCTCCTGCAACATCTCCACCTTTGAATATTAAGAACAATATCACAGACTGGTTGTACACCCCCTGCGATATTGGGAGTCATATCAGCCTCTCCTCTCCATGGATATTAGGAATAATATCCCAGGATGGGTGTACACCTCCTGCTGTATGGGGAGTCATATCGTCCTCTCCCTTCTTGGCTGCTAGGAACAATGTCAGAGGGTGGGTGTACACAGCCTGCGATATTGCGAGTAATATCACCCTCTCCCTCTCTGGATATTAGGAGCAATGTCACAGAAGGGGTGTACACCTCCTGCGATACTGGGAGTAATAGCATTCTCTTCTTCCGTGAATATCAGGAGCAAAATCACCGGGTGGATGCACACCTAGTGCTATATTGGGAGTAACGTCATACTCCACCCCTGGAGATTATCTTTGGATCAATATCACCGGCTGGGTGTACACCTACTGCGATATTGAAAGTAATATCATGCTCTCTCCCTCCCTGGACATTAGGAGCAATAGCACAGGTGGGTGTACACCCACTGAGGTATTAGGCGTAATATTAGTATGAATTATTCCTCATTTATTATTAACATGAATATGAATGACCGGTATTAATATTAATATTAAGAAATAATTGCTAATAAAAAGTTTTCAGATTATTAATATTAATATTAATTATTAGGAGCTAATATTACTGTTTTCTAATGAATAAGATCAATATCAGTTATTAATATCAGGCATCATTAATCATTAATATTCATCATTTATTGTTATAATGAGTAAAACTCTTTAATATGAATTATCATTATTATCGGTATTGATTTTAAAAATTATATTATCAGTTATTAATATTGATAATTATTAGTGTCAATTAATAATTGGGATTATTAATTGCGGTAAGTCGCATTGCGCCATTCCACCCCTCCCTCGGCAGCTCGTTTACGACCCAAAACGGGGACACAAATGCCCCTGAGAGAGCAGCGGTATACTGGGATAGATGTGGATGGTCACGTGGTGGAGAAGCGTGTTTTTGGGTACCAGCCCTTCACCTGCGTCGACCTTCTCTACTGGAAAAACAATACACCGCCCTATACCAAAAAGCCACAAGCCCTAATTGATTTGCTCCAAATTGTTATCCAGACCCACAACCACACCTGGGCTGATTGGCAACAGTTGCTCACATTCCCTTTAACAGAGAAGAAAGGCGGAGAGTCCTCCAAGCAGCAACTAAGTGGCTAGAGGAGCATGCACCAGCTGATTATCAAAACCCCCAAGAGTATGGAAGGACCCAGTCACCAGGAACCGACCCCCAGTTGGACCCACATGAAAGAGAGGATATGCAAAGGCTAAACCGAGACAGGGAAGCTCTCTTGGAAGGATTAATGAGGGGAGCGCAGAAGGCCACAAACGTTAACAAGGTCTCTGAGGTCATTCAGGGAAAACAGGAAAGTCCAGCACAATTCTACGAGAGACTGTGTGAGGCCTATCGTATGTATACTCCCTTTGATTCCGATAGCCTTGAAAATCAGCCCATGATTAACATGGCTTTAGTCCGTCAAAGCGAAGAAGACATGAGAGGAAAACTGCAGAAACAGGCTGGGCTTGCAGGGATGAATCCATCCCAATTACTAGAAATAGCTAGCCAGGTGTTTGTAAACAGGGATGCAGTAAGCCCTAAGGAAAACGGCAAAGAGAATGGAGGTCAGGCCCGGAGACACGCCGCCCTGTTTGTCAGCTGCAGCAATCAGAGGGACCCCCCCAAAGAGGCAAGGGAAGGGGGGCCCTGGGAAAGAAACTCAGCTTGGCTGTCAGAGTTTGCAGCGTAACCAGCGTGCTCATTGTAAAGAAATAGGACAGTGGAAGAACAAATGCCCTCAGCTCAAAAGAAAACAAGGTGACTCAGAGCAGGAGGCCCCAGACAAGGAGGAAGCGGCCCTGCTCAACCTGGCAGAAGGGTTCTTGGACTGAGGGAGACCGGACTCAAGCGTCCCCAAAGAGCCTGTGGTCAGAATGACAGTTGGGGGTGGAGACATTGACTTTCTTGTAGATAGCGGTGCTGAACATTCGCTAGTAACCGCCCCGGTCACCCACTTATCCAAAAAGACTATTGACGTCATCGGAGCCACGGGGGTTTCAGGAAAGCAAGCTTTCTGCTTGCCTCGGACTTGTACTGTAGGAGGACATCAAGTCATTCATCAGTTTTGGTACATGCCTGACTGTCCCTTGACCTTTTTGGGAAAGGATTTGCTCAGCAAGCTGAGAGCCACTATCTCTTTGACAGAGCACAGCTCTTTGATGCTAAAGTTACCTTTAACGGGAGACATTATGAGGCTTTTGCTCCCCCGAGAGGAGGAATGGAGACTTTTCTGAATTGAGCCGGGCCAAGAGAGAAGACCAGCTCTGGCTAAGAGGTGGCCAAGAGTACAGGCAGAAGACAACCCTCCAGGATTTGCCAGTTAAGACTGGGGCCCAGCCAGTGAGGCAAAAACAGGACCCGGTCCCCACAGAAGCCCTTCAAGGTATCCAAGTCCGTCTCAAGCACCTAAGAAGTTTTGGAATTATTGTTCCTTGTCAGTCTCCATGGAACACTCCCCTCCTGCCTGTTCCCAAGCCACGGACCAAGGACTACCGGCCGGTACAGGATTTGCACTTGCTTCATCAAGCTACACTGACTTTCCCTCCAACAGTACCTAACCTGTCCACATTGTTGGGGTTGTTGCCAGCTGAGGACAGCTGGTTCACCTGCTTGGACCTGAAAGATGCTTTCTTTCCTATCAGATTAGCCCCTGAGAGGCAGAAGCTGTTTGCTTTTCAGTGGGAAGATCCGGAGTCAGGTGTCACTACTCAGTACACTTGGACCGGGCTTCCCTAAGGGTTCAAGCACTACCCCACCATCTTCGGGGAGGCGTTGGCTCAAGACCTCCAGAAGTTTCCCAGCAGAGACCTAGGCTGCGTGTTCCTCCAGTAGGTTGATGGCCTTCCGCTGGGACACCCCACGGCACTCGGGTGTGCCAAGGGAACAGATGCCCTACACCGGCACCTGGAGGACTGTGGGTAGAAGGTGTCCAAGAAGAAAGCTCAGATCTGCCGACAGCAGGTACGTTACTTGGGATTTACTATCCAACAGGGGTCCGAACACAGCCTGGGATCAGAAAGAAAGCAGGTCGTTTGCAATCTAGCAGAGCCTAAGAGCAGAAGGCAGGTGAGAGAATTCTTGGGAGCTGTGGGGTTTTGTAGACTGTGCATCCCAAACTTTGCAGTATTAGCCAAGCCTTTGTATGAGGTCACAAAGGGGGCGGGGAACGGGAACCTTTGGAATGGGGATCCCAACAACAGCAAGTCTTTCATGAGTTAAAGGAAAAACTTCTGGCATCCCCAGCCCTGGGGCTACCCGATCTGACAAAGCCTTTTCCATTGTATGCATCAGAGAGAGAAAAGATGGCAGCTGGACTTTGAACCCAAACTATGCGGCCCTGGCCGAGGCCGGTGGCCTACCTCTCTCAACAACTAGACGGGGTTTCTAAAGGATGGCCCCCCTGTTGGAGGGCTTTGGCAGCAACTGCCCTGCTAGTACAAGAAGCAAATAAGCTGACTCTTGGGCGAAACCTGAACATAAAGGCCTCCCGTGCTGTGGTGGCTTTAATGAATACTAAAGGACATCATTGGCTAACGAATGCCAGACTCACTAAGTACCAGACTTGGCTCTGTGAAAATTCCCGTATAACCATTGAAGTTTGTAACAGCCTACACCCCTCTACCTTGTGTCCCGTATCAGAGAGCCCTGTTGAGCCTTATTGTGTAGAAGTGTTGGACTCAGTTGACTCTAGCAGACCTGACCTCCGGGACCAGGCTTGGGCATCAGTAGAGTGGGAACTATACGTGGACGGGAGCAGCTTCTTCAACCTCCAAGGAGAGAGAGGTGCAGGGTATGCAGTGATAACCCTGGGCACTGTTGTTGAAGCCAGATCGTTGCCCCAGGCCACTTCAGCCCAGAAAGCTGAACTCATTGCTTTCATTCTGGCCTTAGAGCTCAGTGAGGGTGAGACTGTCAACATTTACACTGATTCTCGGTATGTCTTTTCAACCCTTCAAGTGCATGGAGCGTGATAGAAAGAAAAGCGCCTATTGAACTCTGGGGGAAAAGACAGAAAATATCCACAAGAAATCTTGCAATGATTAGAAGCAGTATGGAAACCCCACAAGGTGGCAGTTAGGCATTGCAAGGGACACCAGCGAGCTTCCACCTTGCTGGGTTTGGGGAATTCCCGTGCTGACTCAGAGGCTGGAAAAGCAGCATCTGCCCCCTTCCGGGCATCAGTGCTCCCTCAAGCACCTGATCTTGGACCTACTTCTTCTAAAGAAGAAAAGGACTTTCTCCAGGTAGAGGAAGGACAAGTGATGGAGGAAGGATGGATTCAGTTACCAGATGGGAGAGTAGCTGTGCCACAGCTGCTAGGAGCTGCAGTTGTACTGGCTGTGCAAGAAACCACCCATCGAGGTCAGGAGTCACTGGAAAAGTTGTTAGGCCGGTATTTCTACATCTCACCTTTGTCAGCCCTTGCAAAAACGGTGAGGCAGCGGTGTGTTACCTGCCGACAGCATGATGCGAGGCAAGGTCTAGCCGTTCCGCCCGGCATACGAGCTTATGGAGCAGCCCCATTTGAAGGTCTCCAGATGGACTTCACCGAGATGCAAAAGTGTGGAGGTAACAAGTATGTACTAGTTCTTGGGCGCACCTACTCTGGGTGGGTGGAGGCCTATCCAACACGAACTGAGAAAGCTTGTGAAGTAACCCCTGTGCTTCTTCGAGATCTGATTCCTAGATTTCGACCGCCCTTACGGATCGGCTGAGACAACGGGTCTGCGTTTTTGGCTGCCTTGGTACAGAAGACGGCAAAGGTATTGGGGATCACGCGGAAACTGCATGCCGCCTCCCGGCCTCAGAGTTCCGGAAAGGTGGAGTGGATGAATCGGACTATCAAAAATAGTACTATTGTCTTCCCCGCTGGATATTTAAAACAATACCACAAGTTGCGTCAAACCACCTGCTAAATTTGAGGGAAAGTTATCCTCTCCCCCAATCCCCCGGCCCCGGATATTAGAGACAATAACACAGGGGTGATGTGCACCCACTACTTTATTGGGAGTAATATCATCCTCTCCCTTCTTGGATATTAGGAATAATATCACACTGTGTGTGTACGCCTGTCGCGAAACCTCCCTGGATATGACGAACAATATCATGGGGGATGTACAACTTCTGAGATATTGGGAGTGATATCATCCTCTCCCCTCTGGAAGTTAGGGACAATATCACAGGGGTAGTGTACACCCTCTGGGATGTTGGGACTAATATCATCCTCCCGCCCACTGGATATTAAAAAGCATATCACAAGGGGGGTGTACACACACTTCGATATTGGTTGGAATACCATCCTCTCCCTCTTTGGATATTCGGTGCCATATTTCAGGTGGGGTATACAGCACCTGCAATATTGGAAGTAATATGATTTTCTCTCCCCCTGGATATCAGAAACAATATTACAGGGGGTTGTGAACAACCCCAGCGATATTTGCAGTCATATCATCGTCTCCCCTCACGATTTTTAAGAACAATATCGTAGGGGTGGGGGATGTACACCCCCTTTCATATTTGATATCATCCTCTTCCCCCCTGGATATTAGGAGCAATATCAGGAAGGGATGTACAGACCCTGCGACCTTTGCTGTCATATAATTGCCTCTCCCCTAGATATTAGGAAAAAATGTCACTGGGGATGTGAACAGCCCTGCGATATTGAGAGTAGTATCATCCTCTCCCCCCTTGCATATGGGGAACAACATCACAGGTGGGGTGTACTGCCTCCGTGATATTGGGAGTGAAATTTTCCTCTCTTCCCCTGGACATGAGGAAGGGTATCAGAGGGGGAGGGTGTACATTCCCTGCGATATTCAACGTAACCTTATCCTCTCCCTCCCAGGGTATTCAGAACAATATTACAGGAGGGGTGTACACCCTCTGCGATATTGAGAGTCATATCATCCTCTTTCGCTCTGGATGTTAGGAACAATATCACAGGGTTGTGTACACCCCCTGCGATATTGGGAGTAAGATTATCCTCTCCACCCGGGAAATGACTAACAAGGTCACGGGGGGGTATACTCCCCCTGCGATATTGGGAGTAATGTCGTCCTCCCCAAACCTGGATCTTAGCAATGAGATCACAGAGGGGGTGTACACACCCTGCGACATTGGAAGTAATATGATCCTCTCCCCACCTGGATACTGGGAAAGATAGCACAGCGCGGGTATACATTTCCTACGCTGTTGGGAGTAATATCATTCTTTTCCTTTCTGGATATTAGGAAGAATATCACAGGGGTGCTGTACAATTACTTCGGTCTTGGGAGTAATATCATCCTCTATTTTCCTGGATATTGGGCACAAAAACACAAAAGGGTGTACAACCCCTGCGATATTGGGAGTAATAGCATGCTCTCCTTCACTGGATGTTAGAAAACAATATCATCAGGGCTGAACACCCCCTGCGATAATGGGAGTCATGTTTACTCTTTCACAGGCCATTTGGAACAATATCACGGGGGGTGTTTACAAACAGGGGTGGTGTACACCCCCTGTGATATTGGGAGTGACATCATTCTCTCCACCTCTGGATATTGAGAACAATATCCCGGCGGGAGGTGGTACACCCCCAGTGATATTGCGAATAATGTCATCCTCTCCTTCCCTGGATATTAGGAACACTATCACAGGGGGGTGTACACCTTCTGTGATATTGGAAGCAATAACATCCTCTCCCCCACATGATATTAGAAAAAAATATCACTCACGGTTTACATACACCCACTGTGATATGAGGAGTAATATCTTCCTAGGGTATTACGAATAATTTCACAGTCTGTACACACATGGTGTACACTCACTGTGATATTAGGAGTAATATCTACCTGGTAGATAACAAAAAACATCGCAGGATGTACACCCACTTTGATATTAGCTGTAATATTTTTCTAAGTTGTTACAAATATCACAGGGTGTACAAACATGGTGTACACTCACTGTGATATCAGGAGTCGTATCTCTGTAATATATTATGAATAATATCACAGGGTGTACACCCACTGTATTATTAGGAGTAAGATCTCTGTAGGATATTACAATTAAGATCACAGGGTGTAGAGCCACCGTGATATTAGGAGCAATATCTTTCTAGGATATTACAAATAATATCACAGGGTGTACGCCCACTCTGCTATCAGGAGCACTATCTCCCTAGGATATCAAAAATCCTATCACAGGGTGTCCAATCTCTGCCTTCCATGTTCTAAGGGATTCTCCCGCTTCAGCCTCCTGAGTACCTAGAGTTACCCGCCACAACGTCCGGCTAATTTTTTTTTACTTTCACTGGAGATGGGGTTTCACCACGTTGGCCAGGCTGGTCTGGAACTCCTGACCTCAGGTGATCCATCAGCCTCGGCTGCCCAAAGTGCTGGGATTACAGGTGTGAACCATGGTGCTGGACCAAGAGTTATATATTCAATTCATTTGGAAACACAGCTCCCATTTTAGAGTGTGCATGTACTTTTATGAAGAAATGATGTCAGAAAACAGAAGGATGATAATAAATATGAAAAGTAACAGGCATGTGAAAAGCTCTTCCGATTGAGAACGATAAGGTTCGATTTCATTTTCAGATAATGGGGTCCTAGCTCTTGTGTCATCCTTTTACATATTCTACATCAATGGAAGTTGTAGCACGGTGTCAGAATAAAGTAGAGTGTATTTCATGGCTTCTTAATTTCTTTCAATTAGACTGAGATCTTTTTCTTCAAGAGAGAAGGACATTGTCATTGCATTGCATTTTTTCTGAAAAGAGTAGGCCGTATTTTACTGAGATCACGGATTTGTGATATATGACGTTTTGGTCTTCTAATATTCTTCAGTGGATTTTCTCTAAAATAGTATGTACAGAAAGCCTTGTATAGCAAAAAAGTAAATCACGTAATAATTCTGAGATTGTTGGAATTGTCACAACTGAGAAACATTGCTGGCGGCGTATGGTCCGCAAGTGTGAAGACGTTCCTTGTGAATTGCTTGCATCTAGCATTAACGGCTGGTTTTTATCTTTTATTTTTCCAATCCTCTTTCCTTCTCAAGGTGTCCAAGACACACAGAGCCACGGAATCTCACAGGTGTCTGAGAATTCCTCCTCCTGGGACTCTCAGAGGATCCAGAACTGCAGCCGGTCCTCGCTTTGCTGTCCCTGTCCCTGTCCATGTATCTGGTCACGGTGCTGAGGAACCTCCTCAGTATCCTGGCTGTCAGCTCTGACTCCCCCCTCCACACCCCCATGTACTTCTTCCTCTCCAACCTGTGCTGGGCTGACATCGGTTTCACCTCGGCCATGGTTCCCAAGATGATTGTGGACATGCAGTCGCATAGCAGAGTCATCTCTCATGAGGGCTGCCTGACACAGATGTTTTTCTTGGTCCTTTTTGCATGTATAGAAGGCATGATCCTGACTGTGATGGCCTATGACTGCTTTGTAGCCATCTGTCGCCCTCTGAATTACCCAGTCATCGTGAATCCTCACCTCTGTGTCTTCTTCATTTTGATGTCCTTTTTCCTTAGCCTGTTGGATTCCCAGCTGCACAGTTGGATTGTGTTACAATTCACAATCATCAAGAATGTGGAAATCTCTAATTTTGTCTGTGACCCCTCTCAACTTCTCAAACTTGCCTGTTCTGACAGCGTCATCAATAGCATATTCACATATTTCCATAGTACTATGTTTGCTTTTCTTCCCATTTCAGCAATCCTTTTATCTTACTATAAAATCGTCACCTCCATTCTCAGGATTTCATCTTCAGATGGGAAGTATAAAGCCTTCTCCACCTGTGACTCTCACCTAGCAGTTGTTTGCTGATTTTATGGAACAGACATTGGGATGTACCTGACTTCAGCTGTGTCACCACCTCCCAGGAATGGTGTAGTGGCGTCAATGATGTACGCTGTGGTCACCCCCATGCTGAACCTTTTCATCTACAGCCTGAGAAACAGGGACATACAAAGTGCCTTGCGGAGGCTGCGCAGCAGAACAGTCGAATCTCATGATCTGTTCCATCCTTTTTCTTGTGTGGATGAGAAAGGGCAACCACAGTAAATCTCTACATCTGCAAATCCTGCCCCTTAGTCACATTCTTTTTGTGGCTTGATGGCTTTTATTCCTTTCCGCATTTCCTTTGTGAATATTGCTTTCTTCATTATGCCTTGAACTGGAATGGGTGAGGATTCTGGGACCCTTTGTTTAGCAGAAACCTCATGACAGAATCCTCTATACCTAGGCAGCCTCTTTTAGTTTCTGAGCAATAACCCTGTCATCCAGGTGGAATCACAACCATCTTTTTATATACACGAAGTCCTCACTTCGTTTTGGAATTCCCTGAAAACTGACTTAATGGAAACAATGTACAGGAGGTCCTCCAACACAATTGGTTGTTCAAAGTTGTGTAGTTGTACTGTTGATGAAAAATAGGTGGTTTCACTGTACATAATTTTGCTTCAAGGTGAAGTTTCCAAGAGACTTTCAAAGATGTTAAGTGAGGACATACTGTACATCAAATTCATATCCTCTTCCACAGTTCATGTGGAGTTTTTTTATGAACTGCTTCTAGAGAATCTATTTAGGCAGGTTAAGTGTAGAGATCCATGTCGCCGTTCCTCAATCTTGGCTTTGAGTCAAATCACCTGGGGAGCTTACAAATGATGAGGCCTGGGTCTCAATACCTGAGATTCTGATTTCCTTGCACCTGTGTGAGTATGTGGATTTTTTTTTTCTTTTAAAGCACCAGAGGTGGTTCCAATGACGAAGTTTTTAGAGGCATCAAGCTCCAATGAGGAAGAACAGAAATTAATTGTAATATGATTTCTTCAAATATTATCTTCAAATGCATTGTCCATCAACACCATACAAATGTTTATTATGCTGTTTTTTCTTACCATTTCGCATTTTCTATTTCTTTCTTTTCCTTTTTTTTTTTTTTTTTGAGTCAGAGTTTCACTCTTGTTGCCCAGGCTGGAGTTCAATGTCACGGTCTCGGCTCACTGCAACCTCTGCCTCCCATATTCAAGCAATTCTCCTGTCTCAGCCTTCCAAGTAGCTGGGATTACAGGCATGCGCTACCATGTCTGACTAATTTTTTTTTTTTTTGTATTGTTAATAGAGACAGTGTTTCTCCATTTTGGTCAGGCTGGTCTTGAACTCCCGACCTCAGGTGATCCGCCCGCTTCCGCCTCCCAAAGTGCTGGGATTGCAGGCATGAGCGACCTTGCCCAGCCACCACTTAGCATTTACATTTTACCTTTCTTCAAGTTATAGATTTATACACACATTGGTTGCTACTTTATTATACACTTGCATATACATAAGATGGGAAATAGAAAAGAATAAAATGGGCACAGTATCCCTGAAGTTTCATATTCCGAGACATTTTAAAATTATTTGCTCTTCAGAAATTTGTTTCAATGAAGAAACTGTGGTATACACACCCAGTGAAGTATTATTCAGCCTAAAAAGGAAGAAACTCCTCTCCGCTACAGACAAAATGGATGAGATTGCAGGTCTTTATATTAAATGAAATAAGCCAGGCAGAGAATGACAAATATTTCATGTCCTCACTTCTATGTAGGAAGAAAGAAGGAAACCTTGGCCAGGTGTGGTGGCTCAGGCCTGTCATCCCAGCACTCTGGAAGGCCGAGTCGCACAGATCACTTGAGTCCAGGAGTTTGAGACCCGCCTGGCCAACATGGTGAAACCCCGTCTCTACGGAAAACACAAACAATGAGTCAGGCGTGGTGACGCGTGCCTGTAGTCTCAGCTACTCGGAGGGCTGAGGCCCAAGAAGCACTTGAACTCGGGGGGCGGAGCTTGCAGTGAACCCGGATTGTGCCTGCGTACTCCAACCTGGGCAACAGAAAGAGACTCCATCACACACCTACACACAAAAGGAATCTCAGGAAGGTGGAAAGTATAAAGGTGGTTAGCAGACGCTAGGAAGAAAACAGGTGGCATAGGGAATGAAGACAAGTGGATAATTGGGTCCCAAAATACAGAAAGATAGAATAAGTGAGTTCTAGTATTTGATAGTACAGTATGAAAATTTTAGTTCACCAGAATTGCTTGCATATTTCCAGATGCTTTGGTAAGAAGCTTCCTAACTTTCTCATTATGCTGGTTTTTAAGCTATTCTCTTTCTGTTCTTGAAATCATGCTGGTTTTTTTTTTGTTTGTTTGTTTTGAGATGGAGTTTCACTCTTGTTGCCCAGGCTGGAGTGTCATGGTGCAAACTTTACTCACCGCAACCTCTGCCTCCTGGGTTCAAGCGATTCTCCTGCCTCCACCTCCCGAGTAGCTGGGATTACAGGCATGCGTCAGCACGCCCAGCTAATGTTGTATTTCTAGAAGAGACTGGGGTTTCTCCCTGTCGGTCAGGCTGGTCTTCAACTCCTGACCTCAGGTGATCCGCAAGCCTTGGACTCCCAGAGGGCTGGGATTACAGGCGTGAGCGACTCCGCCCGGCCCATGCTGTATCCTTATCTGTTGTCTGTTGTTGTTTGTTTGTTTTGGAGACCAGAAATAACTTCTCACCTATATGTTCAAATGATTTTTCACGAGTGCTAAGAAAGCTCATTGGTGGAAAAGCAGCCTTTTCAAGAAATGGTGTTGGAGAAACTTGATTTCCACATGCAGAAGAATGAAGGTGGACCCTATGTCACACCAGGTGCAAAAATTAACACAAACTGGATCAAAGACCTCACCCCAAGTGCTAAAAGTATCATACGCCTAAAAGAAAACATTGGCCCTACTTTCATGACATCAGATTGGACAATGTTCTCTGGGATATGACACCAAAAGCATAGGCAACAAAAGAAAATTAGATTCCTTGGATTACATCTAAATGACAGATACTTTTGTGCAGCAAAAAACACTGCGAACTGAGTGAAAAGATAACCCATGGATTAGGAAAAATATTTGGAAAGCATATATCTGAAAAGAGGCTGATAGCCATCATATATAAAGAACAGCTAGAACTAAACAACAAGAAACCCAAAGCATCCCATCAACAATGGTCAGAAGACTCGAGTAGACATGTTCCTAAAGAAGATATAGCAATGGCCAATAAGCATCTAAAATGATGTTCAAAATCACTCATCATAGGGAAGCACAAATCAAACCAAGAATGTGATACCACACATTAGGATGGATATGATAAACAAACAGGCATTGGTGAGACTAGAGGGAAGTAGCAATGCTCGAATATGATCGGAGGGAATGTAAAACCGTGAAGGAATGGGGAAAATAGTATGGCGTGTACTGAAAAAATTAGAAACAGAATGATCAGATGTTCCCGCAGTTGCATTTGTGGGTACCTACCAAAAAGAATTAGAAGCCAGGAGAGGAAGAGAGACTTGTGTACACCCATATTCATAGCAGCATTATTCACAACAGCCAAAATGTGGAAGCAAACCAAGGGTTCGTGGACAGATGAATGAAAAAGCACACTGCAGTTCCTTCATACAGTGGAAGACTATTCAGCCTTCAAAAGGCAGGCACTTCTGGCCGGTGCGGTGGCTCACGCCTGTAATCGTAGCGTCTTGGAAGACCGAGGTGGGCGGATCACCTGAGGTCAGGAATTCAAGACCAGCCTGGCCATCTTTGTGAAACCCTGTCTCTACTGAAAATGCAAAAAATGAGAGGAGCGCGGTGTCGTGTGCCTATAGTTCCAAGTACTCAGGAGGCTGAGGCACAAGAATGGCTGGAACCCGGGAGGCGGAGGTTGCAGTGAGCCCAGATTGTGGCGCTGCACTCCAGCCTGTGCGACAGAGTGAGACTCCATGGAAACACAAAACAAAACAAAGTCAAACGAACAAACAAAACCAAAAAACAAACAAACAAAAAAACAACAGAGAGGCACTTCTGACGCAGGCTGCAACATGGATGAACCTTGAAAACATTATCGTCACTGAAATAAATAAATCCCAAAAGGATAAACACGCCCAGGCTCGGTGGCTCGCACCTGTAGCCCCAGCACTTGGGGAGGCTGAGCCAGGCGGATCACTTCAGGTCAGGATTTCGAGACAAGCCTGGCCAATATGGTCTCTATTAAAAATACAAAAATTATCTGGGCGTGGTGACGCACGCCTGTAATCCCAGCTACTCGGGAGACTGAGACACAGGAATCGCTTGAACCCACAATGTGGAGGTTGCAGTGAGGCGACATCACGTCACTACACTCCAGCCGGGGTGACAGAGAAAGACTCTGTTTCCAAAACAAGAAAATTAAACACGGTATGATTCCACTTATCTATCAAGTGTCTAGAGTAGTTAAACTCATAGAGTTGCAAACTAGAAAGGTGGCCCCCAGGGGCGGGCGAGAGAGAGGAGTGGAGAGCTTGGTGAAAGGGTGCAATTTCCATTTTGAAAGATAAAACTGTTCCAGAGACGATGACGGTGATGGTTGCTAAACAATGTGAACGTACTTAATGTCATGAAACTGTAAACTGAAAAAGCGTGGAAACAGTAAATGTTTATACTGGCCATTCTATATGAACTAATATATATTTATAATTTTTCATATTTATACGTGGTATATTTTCCCATAATAAAAGATGAAAATTAAAGCAGTTGGATGTTTAAAAAGAAAAGAAAGAAGTGAAGAATACACACCAGCTTTCTCCTGATTAGAGGAAGAGCCCCAAAACTTCTATGGACACTCACTTTTCTCTTCTACTTCTTGCATTATTATGAGGAAATCCTTAGAGGTTGGGGAACTTGGGTGACTTTGGCTAATAAGGAGCTCTGTGCCTTGAGCCCCCCAGGCCACAGAATAGTAAATAGTCAGTCTGTGCCTCCAGCCCTGCAGTGTGAGGTTGCAGTCCTGTGGGCTCCACTCCCGTCACCTGTATCAGGAGGCTCATGTCTCACCCTGTCTTCTTGCCAGCCTTGAGGACGGAGCCTGAGCCTCCATGGTGCACCACAAAGGGAAGACAGTGGACATGTTCTCCGTGGTCATGGCCCAGCAGATGGGAAGGGCAGTTCAGTGAGTGTAGGCAAAAGAGAGAGAGATCAGACTCTTACTGTGTCTATGTAGAAAGGAAAGACATAAGAGACTCCATTTTGAGAAAGACCTATACTTTCAACAATTGCTTTGCTGAGATGTTGTTAATGTGTAGCTTTGCCCCAGCCACTTTGACCCAACCTGAAGCTCACAAAAACATGTGTTGTATAAAATCAAGGTTTAAGGGATCTAGTGCTGTGCAGGACGTGCCTTGTTAACAAGATGTTTCCAAGCAGTATACTTGGTAAAAGTCATCGCCATTCTCTAGTCTCAATAAACCAGGGGCACAATACACTGTGGAAAGCCACAGGGAGCCCTGCCCTTGAAAGCGGAGTATTGTCCAAGGTTTCTCCCCATGTGATAGTCTGAGAAGTGGCCTCGTGGGAGAAGAAAGACCTGACCGTCCCCGAGCCCGACACCAGTAAAGGGTCTGGCTGAGATGGATTAGTCAAAGAGGAAAGCCTCTTGCAGTTGAGAGAGAGGAAGGCCACTGTCTCCTGCCTGCCCATGGGAACTGAATGTCTTGGTATAACACCCGATTGTACATTTGTTCAATTCTGAGATGGGGGTAAAACCGCCCTATTGTGGGAGGTGAGACACGTTTTCAGCAATGCTGTCTTGTTATTCTTTACTCCACTGAGATGTTTGGGTGGAGAGAAACATCAATCTGGCTTGCGTACGAGTCCAGTCATAGTACCTTCCCGTGAACTTCATTATGACATAGATTCTATTGCTCACATGTTCGTTGCTGACCTTCTCCTTATTATCACCCTGCCCTCCTACTACATTCCTTTTTGCTGAAATAATAAAAATAATAACCAATAAAAACCGAGGGAACTCAGAGGCTTGTGTCAGTGCAGCTCCTTGGTATGCTGAGCGCCGGTCCTCTAGGCTCACTGTTGTTTCTCCATACTTTGTCTCTGTGTCTTATTTCTTTTCTCAGTCTCTCATCCCACCCGACTAGAAATACGCACAGGTGTGGAGGGACGGGCCCCCCCTTCAAGTGAGTGCTGAGGGACGGTCAGGAACCTTGTTTTGTTTCCTCCTCAGGACAGACAGCAGAGTGAGCTGGGCAGATGGGAGGAGACCAATGTGCAAACTATCCGCTCAGCAGAGTGTGGAGTTTCTGTTCTTGATTGTGCTGGGGTCTCAGAAATCTACTTCAAAATTTTGCTACCCTCCCCCACTGGTTGTCCTTTTCATAGATATCTCACCCACGATAGCAGGGAATGAGTCCCTCTAAACTATTCCCTCAGGAATAGTGAGAGCCAGCCCCTCTTCCCACCCTGGATTTTAGGACCCCCATCGCAGGGGGGTGAGGCACCCCCCGCGATGCGGGGAGTAAGAGCCAGCCCCTCATCCCCCCCCGGCTCTTAGGACCCCCATCGCAGGGGGGGTTAGGCACCCCCCGCGATGCGGGGAGTAAGAGCCAGCCCCTCTTCCCCCTCTGGGTTTTTAGGATCCGCAGTGGACTCACAGTCTGTTTACCACATTGTGAGTAATATCATCTCCCCTCTGGAAATTATGAACTATTTCACAGACGGGTGTACACCGTCTGTATTGGGAACAATATCATCCTCGTCCTCCCTGAATATTAAGAACAGTAACACAGGGGTGTTTCTACTCCCTGCGGTACTGGGTGTCATATCCTTCTCTCCCACGTTGCAATTAGAGACAATATCATTGGGGGCATGTCCACCTTCTGTTATATTTAAAGTAAGATCATCCTCTTCCCTCCAGGATCATGGGAACAATATACCTGGGGGGTGTACACTTTCTGCCATATATGTAGTCATATCAACCCCTCCGCCTTGGAATATTACGAAGGACCATCTCACACGGGGGTGTACACTTCCTGCGATATTGGAAGTAATATCAACCTCTCGGCCTCTTAATATGAGGAAGAATATCACAGGGTGGGTGTACACCTCCTGCTCTATTATGGGGAGGCATATCTATCTATTATGGGGAGTAATATCATCCTCTCCCTTTCAGGATATTAATAACAATATCACAGGCTGGGTGAACACAGCCTATGATGCTGGAATTATTGTCACCCTCTCCTCTTCGGGATACTAGGAACAATATCACAGAAGAGGTGTACACTCCCTGCGATATTGGGAGTAATATACGCTTCTTCCCTGAATATTAGGAGCAATATCACCGGGTGGCTGTACATTCATTGCTATGTTGGCAGTCATGTCATACTCCACCCGCTGGATATTAGGATCAGTGTCACAGGGTGAGTGTACACCTACTGCGATATTAAAACTAATATCAAGTTCTCCATCCCTGGATATTAGGAACAATATCACAGGTAGGTGTACACCCCCTGCGGTATTAGGAGTAATAATATTATGAATTATTAAACATCAGTCTCATTAATGATTATAAATGGTAATATTAATTAATAGTATAACTTTATTAGTCATTAATGATTATTTTAAAGATATGATTATGCATGATTAAAATTAATTCTTACTATTAATGCCATTTTTAATAATATTAGTTATTAATATTAACATTAATCATTGTTTTATTACCAACATCACTTATGATGGATTTAAGTAACATTAATTACTGATATTATTATTTTACTATTAATATTGATATTGCTATTATTAATTGTAATCATGAATATTTTTAATCCACATTAAGTTTTACTGTCTCCACTGTAGTTATTAATATCAATGATTACTGTTAATTGTTATTATATTTATTAATATTAATAATTAATAAAACTGTTCCCGATATCCGTGGGGGAGAGGATATGACTCCCAATATCGCAGAAAGTGTACAACCCTCTATGATGTTACTCCTAATAGCCAGGGGGTAGAGGATGACATTATGGAAAATATCGCAGTGGGTGTACATCCCTTCGATTATGTTGTTCCTAATATCCTGGGTGGGAGAGGATGTTACGACTCCCAAAATCGCAGTGGGCGGAGACATCTCCTGTGATACTGTTCCGAACATCCAAAGGTGGAGAGGATGATATTTCTTCCAATTTCGCCGGGGGTGCACACCACTCCTGTGATATTGATCCTAATATCCGGGGGGCGAGAGGATGATATTAGTCTGAATATTGCAGGAGGTGTACAATCCCTAGGGTTATTGTTCCTAATATCCAGGGACAGAGAGGATGATATCACTCCCATTATAGCAGGAGGTGTACACCCCTTGTGTGACATTGTTCCTAATAGGCAGCGGGGGAGAGGAAGATATCACCACGAGTATCGCAGGGGGTGTACACCCCCTTGTGACATTGTTCCTTCTATCCTGGGAGGGAGAGGAAGATACTAGCGGCAATGTCGCAAGGGCTGTACACACCCACTGTGATATTTTTCCGAATATCTGGAGGGGGAGAAAATGATGTTACTTCCAATATCGCAGGGGGCTTACATGCTCCTGAGATATTATTTCTCAGGTTCAGGGGGAGAGGATGATATTACTGCCAATATCGCAGGGGTTGTACACACCTCCCGTGATGCGAGGAGTAAGAGCCAGCCCCTCTTCCCACCCTGGCTCTTAGGACTTCCATCGCAGGGGAGTGAGGCATCCCTCGCGATGCGGGGAGTAAGAGCCAGCCCCTCTTCCCCTCCTAGCTCTTAGGACCCCCATCCCAGGGGGCTGAGGCACCCCCCGCCATGCGGGGAGTAAGAGACAGTCCCTCTTCCCCCACTGGCTCTTAGGACCCCCATCGCAGTGGGGTGAGGCACCCCCGCAATGCGGGGAGTAAGAGCCAGCCCCTCTTTCCCTCCCTGGCTCTTAGGACCCACATCGCAGGGGGGTGATTCACCCCCCGCGATGCGGGGAGTACAAGCCAGCCCCTCACCCCCCATGGCTCTTAGGACACACATCGCAGGGGGGTGAGGCACCCCCCGCGATGCGGGGAGTACAAGCCAGCCCCTCACCCCCCATGGCTCTTAGGACACCCATCGCAGGGGGGTGAGGCACCCCCCGCGATGCGGGGAGGGCTGAGACTGGGGTCTGGGCTGTTCCGGACTTCAACACTCACCCCTTGTCCCCACGCAGGGCTATGGTGTGTGCTCGGCGGGGCTGGAGCGGCTGGCTTACCTCCTTGTGGCTTACAGCCTGGACGCCTCAGTCGCCTCACTACTGGGCCTGCTGGGCTTGTGGCTGTCACGCCCGGTTTCCCTCGTGGCTGGAGCAGGGGTGCACCTGCTGCTCACCTTCATCCTCTTTTTCTGGGCCCCTGTGCCTTGGGTCCTTCAACACAGCTGGATCCTCTGTGTGGCAGCCGCCCTTTGGGGTGTGGGCAGCACCCTGAACAAAACTGGACTCAGCAGTGAGTATAGCTGTGGGCACTGGGAGGGCAGGGCAGGGGGCTTTATGGCTATCTGTGGGTGGTTGGCTAGACATAGACATCCCAGGGACAGATATGGGGTCCCATGGTCACATAGCATCCTGTGGACATGACAGAGTCCAGTGGGTCTTCCTGTGGACACTCCAGGGGTGGAAGGGAAGTCTCATGGACACACTGGGGGCAGATGGGTAGGGCGTGGACACCCTGGAGACAGGTGTGGGGGTTCCACGCCATGGACATTCCATTAATACCCCATGGTGGGCACAGGGCCCCATCAACACTGGAGCATCAGTGTGAAATCTCGTGGCTACAGGGGGCAGGTGTGGGGCTCTGTGGACACCCCTTAGGGACGGTATGAAAAACACATCAGGGATTCTTCCTTTTCATACCAGGGGACAGGGCTTACCCTGGCATATTTTTCATGACACTTGGAGCAGATGTTTTGGTCTCTGCCTCACAGAGCATGTGGTAGGAGCAAGTGGCCTGTTGTACATCCACGGCATAGATACAGACATGGGCCTTTGTATAGAGAGGAGCAGGCCTGCAGCCCCAACCCAGTCTGCTCAGTACCAGAGTCCAGGCCCCAGGTCTGGGCTGCTGGGGAACAGGGCCCTGTTTGCAGAAGGCAGCGGGTGGGCCCATGTTCAGCTCCAGGATGCTCCCTGCCCACAGATGGGCACATGCAGTGACACACAGCTAGCACACATGGGCACAGTCCTGCAGGGCATCCATGTCAGTGTCTGTTCTGATGGGCCGAAACTAAGAACAGTTTTGAACGTCATCCTTGGGGGTGTGGAGTGGCAGAGGTCATGCCTGCTCCTGGCAGGGCAGAGGGTGGCTCGGTGTCTCTGTCTGTAGCAGGGGCTGGAGCCTCATACTGCACCACAGTCTCTTGGCCGTTTTGCCCAAGGATAGTCAATTCTGGGCAGAGTCCATCCTGGGTATCTTGGACCCATGTTGTGCCCTGTCTGGTCATGGCATCCCCTCTGCCCAGCTCCATATCCCATCTCCTCCGGTGAACCCTGGGGGATCCTTGTCTCTTCATAGCAGCACTGTGGGGGTAAAGTCACCCTGCAGGGCCCCAAGACAGGAGTGTTCATGTCCTGAGTGCCTGGTGAAGGTGTTAATAGTGGCCCCTATGATTTGGCAGGTGCCATGCCCACTTTCTCACTTTAGAACTTCAGAACACAGCACACAATAGGCATAGGCTCATCTCACCATTGGGAAAAGCAGCTCTGGGGAGTTAAGTACCCAAATCACCCACAGAGCCAACGTTACAGTCCTGAGAACGAGTGTGCATCTTCTGACTCCCAATGCATTACTCTTGTTGCCCACCCTGGGAGGACTCACTGGAAAGGAAGCCCCCTCTCCATGCTTAGCTTCAGGTTTGATTTGCAGAGTTGGCAGCTGCAAACAGTTCGATCTCTCTAGTCCAGGCTGAGAAAGAGAAACAGCGCCTGCAAGCTTGGTACTGCACACCTGGGGTTGGGGACAGGACATGACTAAGCACAGAGCTTTCTTCTTTTGAGGCCACGCATGTGGTGCGGAGCGGGACCACCTGCATCCACACAACCCGGCACACCTGCTCCTACTTCTGCTTAGCGTGTGAGCAGCGTGGTGACCAGGGTCTCCACCAGGGGGCAGGCCAGGACCAGCTTACAGCACTTTCTAGGCGCTCTCTGGTCCCGGGCTGGGACACATACAGGGCTTAGTAAAGTTCGTAGATGGTAGCTAGGCAGCCCCAGGCCCCAGGTGACACCTCTCCCCTGACTGCCCTGTACTGCCTGCCTGCAGCACTCCTGGGAATCTTGTACGAAGACAAGGAGAGACAGGACTTCATCTTCACCATCTACCACTGGTGGCAGGCTGTGGCCATCTTCACCGTGTACCTGGGCTCGAGCCTGCACATGAAGGTGAGACTGGGCAGGGTTGGGGGCCCCATGCCCAATGACAGGTATTTCCTTAGCCCCTGCCCTGGCTTCACAGCTTCCTAAACGCCACCCCTTCCCAAGCCAGTCTCTGGGCCAAGGCCCCATTCCTGCAGCCCACTGGGTGGCCCCCAACTCAGCACCCCACTTACTGGCCCACCTCCAGCCAGTCTCAGTTTGCCCACCTCTGAGGGGATTTGTGGGTGCATCACAGCCATCCTGTGGGCTGTTTGGTACCCTGTTGTCCAGATGTTGCGTCTGTCTCCCTTCATGTCCTGAACGGGAGCAGGCTTCTCATGCTCTGCTCCCAAAAGATGGTGGCTCGGTCTAGCAAGTCCCAGTTGCTAAACATTTTTTAAAAATAGAACTAAAGGCCGGGCACGGTGGCTCACGCCTGTAATCCCAGCACTTTGGGAGGCCGAGGCAAGTAGATTGCCTGAGGTAGGGAGTTTGAAACCAGCCTGACCGACATGGTGAAACCTCGTCTCTTCTAAAAATACAAAAATTAGCTGGGCGTGGTGGCAGGTGGCTGTAATCACAGCTACTCAGGAGGCTGAGGCAGGAGAATCGCTTGAACTGGGAGGCGGAGGTTGCAGTTAGCCGAGACGGGGCCTTGGCACTCCATCCAGCCTAAGCAACAAGAGCGAAAATCCATCTCAAAATAAAAATAAAAATAAAAATAAAAATAAAAATAGAACTAAAAATAGCAGGGAGTGGGCTGGGAGCAGTGGCTCATGCCTATAATCCCAGCATTTTGAGACGCTGAGGTGGGGGTATCACCTGAGATCTGGAGTTCGAGACCGGCCTGTGTAACAGGCTGTGAAACCCTGTCTCTACTAAAAACACAAAAATTAGTTGGGCATGGTGGCACGTCCCTGTGATCCCAGCTACTCTGGAGGCTGAGGCACAAGAATGGCCTGAACCTGGGAGATGGAGGTTGCAGTGAGCCAAGATTGCGCCACCGCACTTCAGCCTGGAGGACAGAGCGAGACTCTGTCTCCCAAAAAAAAAGGAAAAAAAGAAAAAAGAAAAGCAGTGAGTGGGCTGGGCATGGTGGCTCACGCCTGTAATCCCAACACTTTGGGAGGCTGAGGCGGGAGGATTGCTTGAGGCCAGGAGTTCAAGACCAGCCTGGGCAACATAGGAGACCCTGTCTCTACAAGAAATTTAAAAATTAGCTGGGCGTGATGGCGCGTGCCTGTAGTTCCAGCTGCTTGGGAGACTGAGGTGGGAGGATGGCTTGAGCCTGGAAGATTGAGGCTGAAGTGAGCGTGCCACTGCGCTCCAGCAGTGGGTGGGGGAAGGGAGGGAGGGGGCGCGGTGGGGAAACGGAGCGACCGTGTCTGGAAAAAAGAAAAGAGCAGGAAGTATGCATACAGAGGTGTGTGTGTGTGCTGAGCTATGGTGTGAAATCATTCCTGACTGCGGGTTATAGTCAAATCCCCATGAAGAGCATCACTGCAGCCCACGGGTGTGTCAGGGACACAGTGTTGTGAGCCCTGGGAAGGCAGGGCCTGTGGCCAGCACTTTATCAACACTGGCACATGCACCCTATGAGGCAAAGGGATTTGCATTGTCCCCTTACAGCGTGGGACACTGAGGTCGCCAGGGGCATGGCGACTGTAAGGGACAGTGCTGGATGTGAGCCTCGCCTGCAGGAGGCGGTCCAGGAAGCGTGGGTGGAGCGGCTGGAGAAGTTGAGGGTCGCGTGGCCCGGGAGGCTCCCGGAGGAGGGAAGGGCCTATCTCAGAGAGGGGCATAGGCGAGGAAGGTGCGGGGCAAGGCGGCCGCGGGTCCCTGGCATCCCTCTCCTTACGCCCAGGCTAAGCTGGCGGTGCTGCTGGTGACGCTGGTGGCCGCCGCGGTCTCCTACCTGCGGATGGAGCAGAAGCTGCGGCGGGGCATGGCCCCGCGCCAGCCCTGCATCCCGCGGCCCCAGCACAAGGTGCGAGGTTACTTCTACTTGGAGGAGGACAACTCGGACGAGAGAGACGCGGAAGGCGAGCATGGGGACGCCGCGGAGGAGGAGGCGCCGCCCGCGGGGCCCAGGCCTGGCCCCGAGCCCGCTGGACTCGGCCGCCGGCCCTGCCCGTACGAACAGGCGCAGGGGGGCGACGGGCCGGAGGAGCAGTGAGGGGCCGCCTGGTCCCCGGACTCAGCCTCCCTCCTCGCCGGCCTCAGTTTACCACGTCTTAGGTCGGGGGCACCCCCTCCTAGTCCCGCGCTGTCTTCAAAGGCCCCTGTCACCCCTCCCCCACGTTGGGGACGCCCCTTCCAGAGCCCGTGTCACCTCCGGGCTTCCGCAGCCCCCCTCCAAGGCGGAGTGGAGCCTTGGGAACCCCTCGGCCAAGCACAGGGGTTCGAAAATACAGCTGAAACCCCGCGGGCCCCTAGCACGCGCCCCAGCCCCGGAGCAGGGTCAGGGTCTTCTTGCGACCCGGCCCCGCTCCAGATCCCCCCAGCTCTCGGCCGCGGACCCGGGCCGCGTGTGAGCGCGCTTTGCACCTCCTATCTCCAGGGTCCTCCGAGAGCCACGATTTTTTACAGAAAATGAGCAATAAAGAGATTTTGTACTGTCCTGACTGGGGAGTCCCAGGCCGCCGGGGATGGAGCGCCCCTGGGGTACACACCCGGCTGGCCCGGCGTCTGGGCGCGGTGGTGGGAGGCCCTGACCTAGGGGGACCACGGGGTGTGGGGAGTGCGGAGCCCCACTGGGGGCGGGGCGAGGTGTCCGTAGGCCCCGCCCACCAGCCCTTCCTCCCTCCTGAGGCCCCGCCCCCCATATCTGCCTGCCTTTGCCAGCCCCAGCCAGGAGAAGGGAGTGGCGGAGCGGCTGGCAGATACAGAGGAGGGTGTGACGGCGTTGCTGGTCCCCCATGGGTCCAGAGGGCAAGACAGACTCCCGAGGCACACCCTCCAGGGGCCTGTGTAGGCATCCTCGGCCCTCCAGCGACCATCCCCGCGTCGGACAGGGTCCACTTCCGAGCCACGGTGGGGTCACCCTGTGCCCAGTAGGGGCCTTGGAAGTGGTGGTTGGAGGCCAGGTACGCTCGGTTACTACCCTTTCCCGGCTACAGCCTCAGCTGCGATGCCCACGAGAAACAGGCTGGTGGAGGGGCAGACCCCCTACAAGGCCTGAAGTTGCCGTTCCTCCACCCACTCCTCTTGTGGGCACAGGAGAGGGACAACCCCGCCATGAAGAGCTCTGAACGGTTGGGTGAGGACAAGTAGGGGCCGTGGGAGGGCCATGGAGCCCCCAGCTGCACCCCAGCAGGCCCGGGGCTGGCCCACACCATTCCTCACTCCCCACAGCCTCTCCACCCCTGATTTTGGCGAGACCCTCGTCCGTACCTCCAGGCTCCATGTCTGCCTCAGCATCGCTCTATGGATTCTCCCAGCCCTAAACTGGCCCCATCTCTCCTCTCTGCCCTCATGTGAGTTTGGTTTTTGAAGCCTCTAGTGGTCCCTGGGGCCAGACTCTGTGGCCTTGGACAGGGAGTCTCCCATGTAAGCCACAGGTTCCTTCTCTGTTGAGTGTGTGAGGGAACATGTTGGAGCCCTTAGTGTGGCGGCAGCAAGTGCCCCAGGTCCTGTAAGAAACACAAAAGGGTGCGGCGGGAGACTTGACATTTTCTAAATCTGGGAGGGAACGCTGCCTTCCTCACGCCGAACTTCAGTGAAAAGCAGACTCAGAAGCGGTCCCAAGGTGCCACTGTAAGCTGGGTGAAGGCCAGCGCTGTGTGCTTCCAGTTCCCCCTCGGCATCTGTAGACTGAGTGTTCTCTGGAGGTGGCTGGCTGTCGACATCCTCCAGGCAGCCTCCAGCAAAACCAGTCGGAGTTGGGCAACCTGACGCTCAGATGATTCACCTCTGAATGGAGGGCAAGGTGATATTTGGAAGGGTGTGGGCCCCTGGGATGCTGGGCAAACGGGCAGCGGGTGCCTGGATAGTGGGCCTACAGCTCTTCCCAGTTTCGAGTCAATTCCAATGTCCATGATGCCAAGGAACAGAGGCTCTGATGTTGAGCAGACTTGAAGGTGATCCAGGCACATGGAGTGGCCACTCAGGGGCGTGGCTCCTGGCTGTGCTCTTCCTATATGGGCATTTCCCATGAGAAGGCTTCACAGGCCACCTGGCTGCTCCTGGCACACGGAGAATGCCCAGATGCTGACATGTGCCAGACAACACACGTACACCTGATAGGCCACACACATGCAACATGCAAACACACGTGACGGGTAACACCTGTGACAGACACTACATGACAACACACGTGCACACATGATGGGAAACACATATCACAGGCCGTGCGACGTGAAACACACATCACAGGCTGTGCGATGGGAAACACAGCGCAGGCAGTGCGACGGGCCCTGGCAGCAAGCTCAGCAGGCTGGCTCTTTTCGAGCAGGAGAAGAGCTCATTGCAAGAGATGACACTGGCGTAGGTGGCACCTCCCCTGTCTCCATCAACCCCAGATAAGGTGACTGGGTGGAGGTTCTGGACCCCTGAGTGGACGAGAAGCTTGTGTAATGGCCTCCGTGTCTGATTGCACCCTCGCTCCTAAAGCACCTCTGATTTTGGCCATGTGCACTGTGGGGATTTTTCTTTTTCTTTTCTTTTTCTTTCTTTTTTTTTTTTTTGCAAAGGAGTTTCATTCTTGTTGCCTAAGCTGGAGTGCAATGGCGTGATCTCAGCTCACTGCAACCTCCGTCTCCTGGGTTCAAGCGATTCTCCTACCTCAGCCTCCCGAGTAGCGGGGATTACAGGCGCCCACCACCAAGCCAGGCTAATTTTTTTGTATTTTCAGCAGAGACGAAGTTTCACCATGTTGGCCAAGCTGGTCTCAAACTCCTGACCTCAGGTGATCCACCTGCCTCGGCATCCCAAAGTGCTGGGATTACAGACGTGAGCCATCACACCCGGCTGGGATTTTTCAATTATGTGATTCCAAGAATCTCCAGTCCAAGATTTTCCCTATCTTTAAGTTCTCAGTAGCAGGTTAGATAACCTGAGAAGTCTCCCTCTTCAAAACACCTAGGAATGCTGGGTAAGAAACAAATGTCCTTTTAACTATAGAGCTGAGGCCGGGCATGGTAGTTCACGCCTGTAATTCCACAACATTGGGAGGCTGAGGTGGGCGGATCACCTGAGGCCAGGAGTTCGAGACCAGCCTGGCCAACGGTGAAACCCCATCTCTACTAAAAATACAAAAATCAGCCAGGAGTGGTGGCAGGGGCTTGTAGTCTCAGCTACTTAGGAGGCTGAAGCAGAAGAATCGCTTAAACCCGGAAGGCAGAAGTTGCAGTGAGCCAAGATCACGCCATTACACTCCAGCCTGGGCAAAAGAGCGAAACTCCATCTCAAAAAATATATAAATAAAATAAAATAAAATAAAATAAATATATAGCTGAGTTCTTCAGAAAATAAGTTAAGTCCCCTAAGGCCAGAAGTGAAGACGGGAGTGAGAACCAAGGTGGGGACAGAGGAGCTGGTGCTGCAACTGCCTGAGGGCAGGGCTGGGTTGAGCGTTGGAAGTCCTTACAAGGCAGGGGGTCAGGGTTACAGTCAAGCATGATGAAGTTGGGGCCACAGAAATGCAACACCTTTAGAGAAAGGAACAGAAACATTTCCACCCAGGGGAACAGAGAGAGGTGAGAAAATTTGAGCTTTAGGTGTTGAACAAGTTTCCCATGAGATCGTTGCGTTTTCAGGCCTCTCTTATGTAAATGTGGAACTCCTACAATGAAGTCATGCTACCTGTGTGGTCTAGGAATGCAAGAGTTGAGAAATTAACACTAAAAAGTTGCTTTGGGCCGGGCGTGGTGGCTCACGCCTGTAATCCCAGGTCTTCGGGAAGCTGAGGCAGGTGAATCACCTGAGGTCAGGAGTTCGAGACCAGCCTGGCCAACACGGTGAAACCCCGTCTCCACTAAAAATACAAAAAATTAGCCACGCCTCGTGTGCGTGTAATCCCAGCTTCTCGGGAGGCTGAGGCAGGAGAATAGCTTGAACCTGGGAGGCAGAGGTTGCAGTGAGCTGAGATTGCGCCACTGCACTCCAGCCTGGGCAACAAGAGTGAAACTCTGTCTCAAAAAAAAAAAGTTGCCTTGGCTTAGTGGTACCCTGGGGCTCCTGGAAAGGCCAAATAGAAAACCTCTCTAGGTGGCTCCCTCAAACCTGGCCACCCAGGATTCCCCACATAAAGCCCCTCTGAAGCTGAGCTCACGATCCAAAATTACAGAACGCACAGGAAACACGTCACCGCCAGAAAAGGCAACAGAAATACAAAAGAGCAGGATTCGACACCCGCTCCAAATACCCCCAGCTAGGAGAGAGAAGCTGTCCAACAGGTATGTGAGATAGGTAGCTTCTATAAGGGCTGCCAGCGATCTCCCACCCTTGACTCTTCACAGCTTTGTGTAATTTCCATCCCTTGATTGTGGGCTGGACCTAGTGAGTTTCTTTTAACCAACTGAATTCTTATTTTACTTATTTTATTTTATTTTATTTTATTTTATTTTATTTTATTTTATTTTATTTTATTTTACTTAGAGATAGAGTTGCACTGTACTGTCCATTCTAGGCTGAAACTCCTGGCCTTAAGCAGTCTTTCTGCCTCGGCCTCCCAAAGTGCCAGGATTATAAGCATGAGCCACTGCGCTCAGCAGCCTTCGCATTTATTTATTTTTGAGACTCGCTGTATCGCCCAGGCTGGAGTGCAATGGCACGATCTCGGCTCACTGCAACCTCCACCTCCCAGGTTCAAGCGATTCTCCTACCTCAGGCTTCCAAGTAGCTGAGATTACAGGCGCCTACCACCACGCCTGGCTAATTTTTGTATTTTTAGTAGAGACTGGGTTTCAGCATGTTGGCCAGGCTGGTCTCGAACTCCTGGCCTCAGGTGATCTGCCCGCCTCGGCCTCCCAAAGTGCTGGGATTACAGGCGTGAGCCACTGAACCTGGCCAACCAACTGAATGCTAAACTGGCCTGAGAGATTCTCACTCCCTGGTGTCCACACCCCGCTAATGCCCTCCTGTGAGTGAATGTGATGGGCTACAGTACTTTTGAGCTAATCAAATGGGACGATACCTAATGGACCTGAACCAGTCAGGCAAGTCTTTTAAAAGAAAGGGACATGGCAGAGAGGCGCTCTTCTGCAGGCTTGGAGTAGGGCAAGTGGCCATGGTGCCACCTACAAGGGGGCCCCTGGAAGCCGAGAGTGGTCCCCGATGGCAGCTTGCAAGAAAACAGGGACCTCAGTGCCCCAACGTAGGGAACAGCCCCTCTCCCCCGCCGGCTCTTAGGACCCCCATCGCAGGGGGTGAGGCATCCCCCGCAATGCGGGGAGTAAGAGCCAGCCCCTTTTCCCCTCCTGGTTTTTAGGATCCGCGGTGGACTCACAGCCTCTTTACCGTATTGTGAGCAATATCATCTCCAACTCTGGAGATTATGAACTGTTTCAGAGACAGGTGTACACCCTCGGTGTACAGAGGGTGTACACCCGTCTGTATTGGGAGTAATATCATCCTCTTCCTCCCTGAATATTAAGAAGAGTATCACAGGGGTGTTTCCACTCCCTCGGATATCGCGTGTCATATCCTCCTCTCCCACGCTGCAATTAGAAACAGTATCAGTGGGGGCGTGTCCACCTTCTGTGATATTGAAAGTAATATCATCCTCTTCCCTCCAGGATCATGGGAACAATATCCCTGGGGGGTGTCCACTTTCTGCCATATATGTAGTCATATCAACCCCTCCGCCTTGAAATATTATGAAGGACCATCTCACACGGGAGTGTATACTTCCTGCGATATTGGGAGTAATATCAACCTCTCGGCCTCTGAATATTAGGAAGAATATCACAGGGTGGGTGTACACCTCCTGCTCTATTATGGGGAGTCATATCTATCTATTATGGGGAGTAATATCATCCTCTCCCTTTCAGGATATTAATAACAATTTCACAGGCTGGGTGAACACAGCCTGCGATGCTGGAATTATTATCACCCTCTCTCCCTCGGGATACTAGGAAGAATATCACAGAAGAGGTGTACACTCCCTGCGATATTGGGAGTAATATCATATGCTTCTTCCGTGAATATTAGGAGCAATATAACCGCGTGGCTGTACATTGATTGCTATGTTGGCAGTCATGTCATACTCTACCCGCTGGGTATTAGGATCGGTGTCACAGGGTGAGCGTACACCTACTGCGATATGAAAACTAATATCATGCTCTCCATCCCTGGATATTAGGAACAATATCACAGGTAGGTGTACACCCCCTGCGGTATTAGCAGTAATAATATTCTGAATTATTAAACATCAGTCTTATTAATAATTATCAATGGTAATATTAATTAACAGTATAACGTTATTAATCATTAATGATTATTTTCCAAATATGATTATGCATGATTAAAATTAATTATTAATATTTATGTCACTTTTAATATTAGTTATTAATCTTAATATTAATTATTGTTTTATTACCAACATCACTTATGATTGATTGAAGTAACATTAATTAGTGATATCATTATTTTATTATTAATAGTGATATTGCTATTAATTATTAATAGTAACCGTTAATATTTTTCATCCGTACTGTTTTAATGTCTCTACTGTAATTATTAATATTGATGAATACTATTAATTGTTATTATATCCATTAGTATTAATAATTAATAGAACTGTTCCCGATATCCGTGGGGGAGAGGATATTACTCCCAATATTGCAGAAAGTGTACACCTCTCTATGATGTTACTCCTAATAGCCGGGAGGTAGAGGATGACATTATTGAAAATAGTGCAGTGGGTGTACATCCCTTCGGTTATCTTGTTCCTAATATCCTGGGTGGGAGCGGATGATAAGACTCCCAATATCGCAGGGGGCGGAGACCTCCCCCGTGATACTGACCCTAACATCCAAAGGTGGAGAGGATGATATTTCTTCCAATTTCGCCGGGGGTGCACACCAACCTTGTGATATTGATCCTAATATTCAGGCGGCGAAAGGAGGATATTAGTCTGAATATTGCAGGATGTGTACACTCCCTAGGGATATTGTTCCTAATATCCAGGGACGGAGAGGATGATATCACTCCCAATATAGCCGGGGTTGTACACCCCTTGTGTGACATTGCTCCTAAAGTGCAGCGGGGGAGAGGAAGATATTACAGCCAATATCGCAGGGGGTGTACACCCCCTTGTGACATTCTTTCTTCTATCCTGGGAAGGAGAGGAAGATACTAGCGGCAATGTCGCAGGGGCTGTACACACCCGCTGTGATATTGTTCCGAATATCCGGAGGGGAAGAAAATGATGTTACTTCCAATATCGCAGGGGGTGTACATCCTCCTGTGATATTGTTTCTTATATTCAGGGGGAGAGGATGATATTACTCCCAATATCGCAGGGGTTGTACACACCTCCTGCGATATGGGGAGTAAGAGCCAGCCCCACTCCCCCCCGGCTCTTAGGAGCCCCTTCGCAGGGGGATGAGGCCCCACCCCGAGGTACGGGGAGTAAGAGCCAGCCCCTATCCCCCCTGGCTCTTAGGACCCCCATCGCAAGGGGGTGAGGCCCCCGCTATGCGGGCAGTCATATCACCCCCCTCTGGATATGACGATTCACGTCGCAGGGGGACGGGCGCCCCCCGCGATGCGGGGCGTCATATAACCCCCCCTTCCCCCCTGGAAATTACGGTCCACGGTGGTCACACAGCGTGTTCACGTTATTGTCAGTAATATCTTCTCCGCCTCTGGAAATTACCAACTATGTCACAGATGGGTGCACATCCTCTGCGCTCTTTGGAGTAATAGCATCCTCTTTCCCCTTGATATTAAGAACAATATCACAGGAGTGTTTTTACCCCTAGGGGCATTCCGTGTAGTATCATCCTCTCCCACGTTGAAATTAGAAACAATATCACTGGGGGCGTGTCCACCCCGTGCGATATTGAAAGTAACATCACCCTCTTCTCTCCTGGATCATGGGAACCATATCACTGGGGTTGTGTACACTTTCTGCGGTATTGGGAGTAAGATCATCCTCTCCGCCTTGGAATATTAAGGACCATATCACAGTGGGGCTGTACACACCCTGTGCCGTGAAGAAGAGTATTATCCTCCCCTGCCCTGCACATTGGAAAAAATATCAGAGTGGGTGTACACCTCCTGCGATGGGGGGTGATATCATCTTCTCTTCTTCTGGATAATAGCAACAATAGTACACGGGTTTGTACACTTTCTGTGACATTGGGAGTAATACCAACCTCTCCACCTTTGAATATTAAGAACAATATCACAGACTGGATGTACAACCCTTGCGATATTGGGAGTCATATCAGCCTCTCCTCTCCGTGGATATTAGGAATAATATCCCAGGATGGGTGTACACTTCCTGCTTTATGGGGAGTCATATCGTCTTCTCACTTCCTGGCTGCTAGGAACAATATCAGAGGGTGGGTGTACACAGCCTGCGATATTGCGAGTAATATCACCCTCTCCCCCTCCGGATATTAGGAACAATGTCACAGAAGGGGTGTACACTTCTTGAGATACTGGGAGTAATAGCATTCTCTTCTTCCGGGAATATTAGGAGGAATATCAACGGGTCGATGCACACCCACGGCTATCTTGGGAGTAACGTCATACGCGACCCCCTGGAGATGATATTCGGATCAATATCACCGGTTGGGTGTACACCTACTGCGATACTGAACGTCATATCATGCTCTCTCCCTCCCTGGACATTAGGAACAATATCACAGGTGGGTGTACACCCACTGAGGTATTAGGGATAATATTCATATTAATTCTTCCTCATTTATTAACATGAATATGTATTACCAATATTAATATTAATATTAAGAAATCATTGTTAAAATAGTGTTCAGATTATTAATATTAATGTTAGTTATTAGGAGCTAATATGACAGTTTTCTAATGAATAAGATCAATATCACTCTTTAAGACCAGGCGTCATTAATCATTAATATTCATCATTTATTGTTATCGTGAGTAAAACTCTTTAATACGAATTATCATTATTATCGGTATTGATTTTAAGAATTATATGATCAGTTATTAATATTGATAATTATCAGTATCAGTTAATAATTGAGATTATTAATTGTGGTAAGTAACATTGCGCCATTCCACCCCTCCCTCGGCAGCTCGTTTACGACCCAAAACGGGGATTCAAATGCCCCTGAGAGAGCAGCGGCATACTGGGAGAGAGGAGGATGCTCACGTGGTGGAGAGGCGTGTTTTTGTGTACCAGCCCTTCACCTCTGCCGACCTTCTCAACTGGGAAAACAATACCCCGTCCTACACCGAAAAGCCGCAAGCCCTAATTGATTTGCTCCAAACTGTTATCCAGACCCACAACCCCACCTGGGCTGACCGCCACCCGTTGCTCATGTTCCTCTTTAAGAGAGATGAAAGGCGAAAGGCGGAGAGGGCTCCAAGCAGCAACTAAGTAGCTAGAGGAACATGCACCAGCTGATTATCAAAACTCGCAAGAGTATGGAAGGACCCAGTTACCAGGAACCCACACCCAGTTGGACCCACATGAAAGAGAGGATATGCAAAGGCTAAACCGAGACAGGGAAGCTCTCTTGGAAGGATTCAAGAGGGGAGCTGAGAAGGCCACAAACGTTAACAAGGTCTCTGAGGTCATTCAGGGAAAAGAAGAAAGTCCGGCACAATTCTACGAGAGACTGTGTGAGGCCTGTGGTATGTATACTCCCTTTGATCCCGATAACCCTGAAAATCAGCGCATGATTCACATGGCTTTAGTCCGTCAAAGCGCGGAAGACGTTAGAAGAAAACTGCAGAAGCAGGCTGGGCTTGCAGGGAAGAATACATCACATTGATGAGAAATAGCTAAGCAGGTGTTTGTAAACAGGGATGCAGTAAGCCACGAGGGAAAATGCAAAGAGAATGAAGGTCTGGCCCGGCGAAACGCCGACCTGTTTGTTAGCTGCAGCAATCAGAGCTGTCCCCCCCAAAGAAGCAAGGGAAGGGGGGCCCTGGGAAAGAAACTCAGCTTGGATGTCAGAGTTTGCAGTGTAACCAGTGTGCTCATTGTAAAGAAATAGGACAGTGGAAGAACAAATGCCCTCAGCTCAAAAGAAAACAAGATGACTCAGAGCAGGAGGCCCCGGACAAGGAGGAAGGGGCCCTGCTCAACCTGGTAGAAGGGATATTGGACTGAGGGAGACCGGGCTTAAGTGTCCCCAAAGAACCTCTGGTCAGAATGACAGTCGAGGGTAGAGACATTGATTTTCTTGTAGATACCGCTGCTGAACATTCGCTAGTAACCGCCCCGGTCGCCCCCTTATCCAGAAAGACTATTGATGTCATCGGAGCCATGGGGGTTTCAGCAAAGCAAGCTTTCTGCTTGCCTGGGACTTGTACTGTAGGAGGACATCAAGTGATTCATCAGTTTTTGTACATGCCTGACTATCCCTTGCCCTTGTTGGGAAGGGACTTGCTTAGCAAGCTGAGAGCTGCTCTCTCTTTGACAGAACACAGCTCTTTGCTGCTAAAGTTACCCGCCACGGGAGTCATTATGACCCTTACGGTCCCCCAAGAGGAGGAATGGAGCCTTTTGTGAACTGAGGCGGGCCAAGAGAGAAGACCAGCTCTGGCTAAGCGGTAGCCAAGAGTACGGGCAGAAGACAACCCTCCAGGGTTGATCAGTTAAGACTGGGGCCCAGCCGCTTAGGCAAAAACAGGACCCGGTCCCCAGAGAAGCTCTTCAAGGTATCCAGGTCCATCTTAAGCACCTAAGAACTTTTGGTATGATAGTTCCTTGTCAGTCTCCACGGAATACTCCCCTCCTGCCTGTTCCCAAGCCATGGACCAAGGACTACAGGCCGGGACAGGATTCGGGCTTGCTTAGTCAAACTACTCTGACTTTCCATCCAACAGTACCTAGCCCGTCCACATTGTTGGGGTTGCTGCCAGCTGAGGACAGCTGGTTCACCTGCTTGGACCTGAGAGACGCTTTCTTTCCTATCAGATTAGCCCCTGAGAGCCAGAAGCTGTTTGCCTTTCAGTGGGGAGATCCGGAGTCAGGTGTCACTACTCAGTACACTTGGACCGGGCTTCCCCAAGGGTTCAAGGACTCCCCCACCATCTTCAGGGAGGCGTTGGCTCGAGACCTCCGGAAGTTTCCCACCAGAGACCTAGGCTGTGCGTTGCTCCGCTAGGTTGATGAGCTTTTGCTGGGACACCCCACGGCAGTCGGGTGCGCCAAGGGAACGGATTGCCCTACGCCGACACCTGGAGGACTGTGGGTGTAAGCTGTCCAAGAAGAAAGCTCAGATCTGCCGACAGCAGGTACGTTCCTTGGGATTTACTATCCGACGGGGGAACGCAGCCCGGGATCAGAAAGAAAGCAGGTCATTTGCAATCTAGCAGAGCCTAAGAGCAGAAGGCAGGTGAGAGAATTCTTAGGAGCTGTGGGGTTTTGTAGACTGCAGATCCCAAACTTTGCAGTTAGCCAAGCCTTTGTATGAGGTCACAAAGGGGGCGGGGACCGGGAAATTTTTGAATGAGGATCCCAACAACAGCAAGTCTTTCGTGAGTTAAAGGAGAAACTTATGTCAGCCCCAGCCCTGGGGCTACCCGATCTCACAAAGCCTTTTACATCCTATGTGTCAGAGAGAGAGAAAAGATGGCAGCTGGACTTTGAACCCAAACTGTGGGGCCCTGGCCGAGGCCGCTGGCCTACCTCTCTAAACAACTAGACGGGGTTTCTAAAGGACGGCCCCCGTGTTTGAGGGCCTTGGCAGCAACTGCCCTGCTAGTACAAGAAGCAAAGAAGCTGACTCTTGGGCAGAACCTGAACAGAAAGGCCCCCCATGCGTGGTGACTTTAATGAATACTAAAGGACATCATTGACTAACGAATGCCAGACTCACCAAGTACCAGACTTTGCTCTGTGAAAATCCCCGTATAACCATTGAAGTTTGTAACACCCTGCCACCTTGCTCCCGCTGTCAGAGAGCCCTGTCGAACATGATTGTGTAGAAGTGTTGGACTCAGTTGACTCTAGCAGACCTGACATCCGGGACCAGGCTTGGGCATCAGTAGACCGGGAACTATACAAAGATGGGAGCAGCTTCGTCAACACCCAAGGAGAGAGAGGTGCAGGGTATGCAGTTATAATCCTGGACACTGTTGTTGAAGCCAGATCGTTGCCCCAGGGCACTTCAGCCCAGAAAGCTGAACTCATTGCTTTAATTCGGGCCTTAGAACTCCGTGAGGGTGAGACTGTCAACATTTACACTGATTCTCGGTATGTCTTTTGACATACCTTCTAGTGCATGGAGCGTGATAGAAAGAAAAGGGCCTCTTGAACTCTGGGGGGAAAAGCAGAAAATATCAACCAGAAATCTTCCTGTATTAGAAGCAGTATGGAAACCCCACAAGGTAGCAGTTATGCATTGTAGGGGGCACCAGCGAGCTTCCACCTTGGTGGGCTTGGGGAATTCCCGCGCTGACTCAGAGGCTCGAAAAGCAGCATCTGCCCCTTTCCAGGCATCAGTCACATCTCCTCTGCTCCCTCAAGCACCTGATCTTGGACCTGCTTATTCTAAAGAAGAAAAGGACTTTCTCCAGGTAGAGGGCAGGACAAGTGATGGAGGAAGGATGGATTCGGTTAGCAGATGGGAGAGTAGCTGTGCCACAGCTGCGAGGAGCTGCAGTTGTACTGGCTGTGCATGAAACCACCCATCGAGGTCAGGAGTCATTGGAAAAGTTGTTAGGCCAGTATTTCTACATCTCGCGTTTCTCAGCCCTTGCCAAAACGGTGAGGCAGCAATGTGTCAGCTGCCGACAGCATCATGCGAGGCAAGGTCCAGCCATTCCACCCGGCATACAAGCTTATGGAGCAGCCCCCTTTAAAGATCTCCAGGTAGACTTCACAGAGATGCCAAAGTGTGGAGGTAACAAGTATTTACTAGTTCTTGGGCGTACCTACTCTGGGTGGGTGGAGGCTTATCCCACAGGAACTGAGAAAGCTCGTGAAGTAACCCCGTGTACTTCTTCGAGATCTGATTCATAGATTGGGACTGCCCTTCCGGATCGGCTTAGATAACGGGCTGGCGTTTGTGGCTGACTTGCTACAGAAAACGGCAAAAATATTGGGGGATCACACGGAAACTGCATGCCGCCCCCCAGACTCAGTGTTCCGGAAAGGTGGAGCGGATGAATCGGACTATCAAAAATAGTATTATTGTCTTCCCCGCTGGATATGTAAAACAACACCACGAGGGGCGTCAAACCACCTGCTACATTTGAGGGAATGTTACCCTCTCCCCCCGTTCCCCGGCCCCGGATATTAGAGGCAATAACACAGGGTAATGTACACCCACTGCTTTATTGGGAGTAATGTCATCCTCTGCCTTCTTGGATATTAGGAACAATATCACACTGTGCGTGTACGCCTGTCGCGAAATTCAATGGAATGTCGTCCCGTGCCTCCCTGGATATGACGAACAGTATCACGGGGGATGTACAACTTCTGAGATATTGGGAGTGATCTCATCCTCTCCTTTCTGGAAGTTAGGGACAATATCACAGGGGTGGTGTACACATTCTGTGACGTTGGGACTAATATCATCCTCCCGCCCCCTGAATATTAAAAACCATGTCACAAGGGCCGTGAACACACACTTCGATATTGGTATGAATACCATCCTCTCCCTCTTTGGATATTCGGTGCAATATTTCAGGTGGGGTATACACCACCTGCAATATTGGAAGTCATGTTATTTTCTCCCCCACTGGATATTAGAAAGAATATCACAGGGGGGTGTGAACAACCCCTGCGATATTTGGAGTCATATCATCGTCTCCCCTCAAGAATATTAAGAACAATATCTTAGGGGTGGGGGTTGTAAACCCCCTTTCATATTCGATATCATCCTCTTCCCCCTGGATATTAGGAACAATATCAGGAAGGGATGTACAGACCCTGCGACATTTGCTGTCATGTAATTGTCTCTCCCCTAGATATTAGGAAAAATGTCACTGGGGATGTGAACAGCCCTGCTATATTGGGAGTAGTATCATCCCCTCCCCCCTTGCATATTGGGAACAATTTCACTGGTGGGGCGTACTGCCTCTGCGATATTGGGAGTACAATTATCCTCTCTTCCCCTGGATACTAGGAAGGGTATCAGAGGGAGAGGGTGTACATTCCCTGCCATATTCAATGTCACCTTATCCTCTCCCTCCCAGGGTATTCAGAACAATAGGACAGGAGGGGTGTACACCCTCTGCGATATTGGGAGTCATATCATCCTCTTTCGCTCTGGATATGAGGAACAATATCACAGGGTTGTGTACCCCGCCCTGCGATATTGGGAGTAATATCATCCTCTCTCCCTGTGGATATTAGGAAGAGTATCACCGGGCTGTGGAAACCCCCTGCGGTACTGGGAGTAATATCATCCTCTCGCCCTCTGGATACGAGGAAGATTTTCACAGGGGTGTGTACACCCCTTGCGATATTGGGAGTAATATCATCCTCTCCACCCAGGAAATGACTAACAAGGCCACGGGGGGTGTGAACTCCTCCTGCGATATTGGGAGTCATGTCGTCCTCTCCAAACCTGGATGTTAGCAACGAGATTACAGAGGGGGTGTACGCACCCTGCGATATTGGAAGTAATATGATCCTCTCCCCACCTGGATATGGGGAAAGATATCACAGCGCGGGTATACATTTCCTACGCTGTTGGGAGTAATATCATTCTTTTCCTTTCTGGATATTAGGAAGAATATCACAGGAGTGCGGTACAATTATTTCGATATTGGGAGTACTATCATCCTCTATTTTCCTGGATATTGGGCCCAATAACACAAAAAGCTGTACAACCCCTGCGATATTCGAGTAATAGCATACTCTCCTTCCCTGGATGTTAGAAAACAATATCATCAGGGCTGAACACCCCCCGCGATAATGGTAGTAATATTGACTCTTTCACATGCCATTTGGAACAATATCACAGGGGGTGTTTACAAACAGGGTTGGTGTACACCCCCTGTGATATTCGGAGTAACATCATTCTCTCCACCTACTGACATTAAGAACAATATCCCGGCGGGAGGTGGTACACCCCCAGTGATATTGGGAATAATGTCATCCTCTCCTTCCCTGGATATTAGGAACAATATCACAAGGGGATGTACAACTTCCGTGAGATTGGAAGCAATATCATCCTCTCCCCCGCTGGATATTAGAAAAAAATATCATTCAAGTTAGATACCCACTGTGATATTAGGAAGAATATTACAGGGTGCACACCCACTCTGACTTTAGGAGAAATAGCTCCCTTAAATGTCACAAATAATACCACAGGGTATACAGTGATATCTCCCTAGGATATTACAAATACTATCACAAGGTGTACACCCACTGTGATAACAGGAGTAGTACGTCCCAAGGATACTACCAAGAATATTACAAGGCTGTACACCCACTATGACATAAGAAGTGATATCTCCCTACGGTATTACGAATAACATCACAGAATGTACACCTATGGTGTGCACCCACGGTGATATTAGGTGTAATATCAACCCAGGACATAACCAATAAGACCACAGGGAGTACATAAATGATGTACACCCACAGTGATGTTATGAGAACTATCTCTCTAGGATAATACGAATAACATCACAGAGTGGACACACATGGTATACACCCTATGTGGCACTAGGACTAATAACTTTCTAAGATATTACCAATAGCGTCACAGAATAGAAACACATGGTGTACACCCACTGTAACACTAGGTGTAATTTCTCCCTAGGATATTACCAATAACATCACAGGATGTCCACCCATGGTGTACACGCACTGTGATGTTAGGGATAATATCTCCCTGGGATACGATGAATAATGCCACAGGGTGTACAGAAACTGTGATATTAGAGGTAATATCTCTAATATCACAGCGTGTACGCCCACTGTGATAGTGGGAGCAATATCTCTCTAGGATAGTACAAATAATATCACAGAGTGTACACCCACTGTGATATTAGGAGAAATATCTCTCTGGGATATCACGAATTATATCACAGAGTGTACACACATGATGTACATCCACTTTGATATTAGGAGTAATATCTTCCTAGGACATTACAAATAACCTCACAGAGTGTACACCCACTGTAATACTAGGAATCGTATCACCCTGGGGGATCACCAATAATATCACAGGGTGTACACCCACTGTGATATGAGGAGTAATATCTTCCTAGGGTATTACGAATAATTTCACAGTCTGTACGCACAAGGTGTACACTCACGGTGATATTAAGAGTAACTTCTACCTAGTGGATGACAAATAACATCGCAGGGTGTACACCCACTTTGATATTAGCTGTAATATTGTTCTAAGTTGTTACAAATAAGATCACAGGGTGTACAAACATGGTGTACACTCACTGTGATATCAGGAGTCGTATCTCCATAATATATTATGAATAATATCACAGGGTGTACACCCACTGTATTATTAGGAGTAATATCTCTGTAGGATATTACAATTAAGATCACAGGGTGTAGAGCCAGCGTGATATTAGGAGCAATATCTTTCTAGGATAATACAAATAATATCACAGGGTGTACGCCCACTCTGCTGTCAGGAGCAATATCTCCCTAGCATATCAAAAATCCTATCACAGGGTGTCCAATCTCTGCCTTCCATGTTCTAAGGGATTCTCGTGCTTCAGCCTCCCGAGTAGCTAGGGTTACCCGCTACCACGCCCGGCTATATTTTTTTTATTTTCACTGGAGACGGGGTTTCACCACGTTGGCCAGGCTGGTCTGGAACTCCTGACCTCAGGTGATCCATCAGCCTCGGCCGCCCAAAGTGCTGAGATTACGGGTGTGAGCCATGGCGCTCAGCCAAGAGTTATATATTCAATTCATTTGGAAACACAGCTCCCATATTTGAGTGTGCATGTCCTTTTTTGAAGAAATGATGTCAGAAAACCGAAGGATGATAATAAATATGAAAAGTAACAGGCATGTGAAAAGGTCTTCCGATTAAGAACTCTAAGTTTCGATTTCGTTTTTAGATAATGGAGTCCTAGCTCTTGTGTCGTCCTTTTACATATTCTACATCAAAGGAATTTGTAGCACGGTGTCAGAATAAAGTAGAGTGTATTTCACGGCTTCTTAATTTCTTTCAACTAGACTGAGATCTTTTTCTTCAAGAGAGAAGAACATTTTCATTGCATTCTATTTATTTCTGAAAAGAGTAGGCCGTATTTTACTGAGATCACGGATTTGTTATATATGACGTTTTGATCTTCTAACATTCTTCAGTGGATTTTCTCTGAAGTAGTGTGTACAGAAAGAGTTGAATAGCAAAAAAGTAAATCATGTCATAATTCTGAGATTTTTGGATTTGTCACAACTGAGAAACATTGCTGGCGGTGTATGGTCCGCAAGTGTGAAAATGTTCCTTGTGAATTGCTTGCATCCAAAATATACACACAGCATTAAGGGATGGTTTTTATCTTTTATTTTTCCAATCCTCTTTTCTTCCCAAGGTGTCCAAGTCACACAAAGCCACGGAATCTCACAGGTGTCTGAGAATTCCTCCTCCTGGGACTCTCAGAGGATCCAGAACTGCAGCCCATCCTGGCTGGGCTGTCCCTGTCCATGTATCTGGTCACGGTGCTGAGGAACCTGCTCATCATCCTGGCTGTCAGCTCTGACTCCCACCTCCACACTCCCATGTGCTTCTTCCTCTCCAACCTGTGCTGGGCTGACATCGGTTTCACCTCGGCCACGGTTCCTAAGATGATTGTGGACATGCAGTCGCATAGCAGAGTCATCTCTTATGAGGGCTGCCTGACAAGGATGTCTTTCTTGGTCCTTTTTGCATGTACAGAAGACATGCTTCTGACTGTGATGGCCTATGACTGCTTTGTAGCCATCTGTCGCCCTCTGCACTACCCAGTCATCGTGAATCCTCACCTCTGTGTCTTTTTCATTTTGGTGTCCTTTTTCCTTAGCCTGTTGGATTCCCAGCTGCACAGTTAGGTTGTATTACAATTCACCTTCTTCAATAATGTGGAAATCTCTAATTTTGTCTGTGAGCCATCTCAACTTGTCAACCTTGCCAGTTCTGACAGCGTCGTCAATAGCATATTCATATATTTCGATAGTACTATGTTTGGTTTTCTTCCCATTTTAGGGGTCCTTTTGTCTCACTATAAAATTGTCCCCTCCATTCTAAGGATTTCATCGTCAGATGGGAAGTATAAAGTCTTCGCTACCTGTGGCTCTCACCTGGCAGTTGTTTGCTGATTTGATGGAACAGGCATTGACATGTACCTGACTTCAGCTGTGTCACCACCCCACAGGAATGGTGTGGTGGCATCAGTGATGTATGCTGTTTTCACCCCCATGCTGAACCCTTTCATCTACAGCCTGAGAAACAGGGACATACAAAGTGCCCTGCGGAGGCTGCTCAGCAGAACAGTCGAATCTCATGATCTGTTCCATCCTTTTTCTTCTGTGGGTGAGAAAGGGCAACCACATTAAATCCCTACATCTGCAAATCCTGCCCCTTAGTCACATTCTTTTTGTGGCTTGACGGCTTTTATTCCTTTCCGTATTTCCTTTGTGAATATTGCTTTCTTCGTTATGCCTTTCACTGGAATGGGTGAGGATTCTGGGATCCTTTGTTTAGCAGAAACCTCATGACAGAATCCTCTATGCCTAGGCGGCCTCCTTTAGTTTCTGAGCAATAACTCTGTCATCCAGGTGGAATCACAACCATCTTTTTATGTACACGAAGTCCTCATTTCGTTTTGGAATTCCCTGAAAACTGAATTTATGGAGACAATGTACAGGAGGTCCTCCAACACCATTGGTGCGTTCAAGGTTGTGTAGTTATAATGTTGGTGAGGAATAAGTGGTTTCATTATACCTAATTTTGCTTAAAGGTGAAGTTTCCAAGAGACTTCCAAAGATGTTAAGTGAGGACATACTGTACATCAAATTCATATCCTCTTCCACAGTTCTTGTGGAATTTCTTTATAAACTGCTTCTAGAGAAACTATTTAGGCTGGTTATGTGTAGAGATCCATGTCACCGGTCCTCAATCTTGGCTTTGAGTCAACTCACCTGGGGAGCTTACAAATGATGAGGCCTGGGTCTCATTACCTGAGATTCTGATTTCTCTGCACCTGTGTGAGCATGTGGATTTTTTTTTTTTTTTTTTTAAAGCACCAGAGGTGATTCCAATGCCGAAGATTTTAGAGGCATCAAGCTCCAATGAGTAAGAACAGAAGTTAATTGTAATATGATTTCTTCAAATATTATCTTCAAATGCATTGTCCATCAATACCATACAAATGTTTATTATGCTGTTGTTTCTTACCATTTAGCTTTTTCTATGTTTTTCTTTTTCTTTTTTTTTTTCTTTTTGAGGCAGAGTTTCACTCTTGTTGCCCAGGTTGGAGTGCAATGGGACGATCTCGGCTCACTGCAACCTCTGCCTCCCGTATCCAAGCGATTCTCCTATCTCAGCCTTCAAGTAGCTGGGATTACAGGCATGCGCTACCATGCCCGGCTAATTTTATTTTGTTTTGTTTTGGTATTTTTAATATAGACAGTGGTTCCCCATATTGGTCAGGCTGGTCTTGAACTCCCGACCTCAGGTGATCCGCCCGCTTCCGCCTCCCAATGTTCTGGGATTACAGGCGTGAGCGAGTGCGCCCAGCCACCACTTAGCATTTTCATTTTACATTTGTTGAAATTATAGATTTATACACACTTTGATTGCTGCTTTGTTATACACTTGCATATTCATAAGATGGGAAATAGAAAAGAATAAAATGGGCACAGTATCCCTGAAGTTTCACATTCCGAGACATGTTAAAAATATTTGCTTTTTAGAAATTTGTTTCAATTGATAAACTGTGGTATACACACACAATGAAGTACTATTTAGCCTAAAAAGGAATAAACAAAATCCTCTCCACTGCAGACAAAATGGATGAGATTGCAGGTCTGTATATTAAGTGAAATAAGCCAGGCACAGAATGACAAATACTTCATATCCTCACTTCTATGTAGGAACAAAAAAGAAAATCTTGGCCAGTTGTGGTGGCTCAGGCCTGGAATCCCAGCACTGTGGGAGGCCGAGTCGCAAGGATCACTTGAGACCAGGAGTTTGAGATCCGCCTGGCCAACATGGTAAAACCCCGTCTCTACTGAAAACACAAACAATTAGCCGGACGTGGTGACGCGTGCCTGTAGTCTCAGCTACTCGGAGGGCTGAGGCCCAAGAAGCGCTTGAACTCGGGAGGCGGAGCTTGCAGTGAGCCTGGATTGTGCCTGTGTACTCCAACTGGGCAACAGAAAGAGACTCCATCACACACCTACACACAAAAGGAATCTCAGGAAGGTGGAAAATATAAAGGTTGTTAGCAGACGCTAGGAAGAAAAGGGGTGGGATGGGGAATGAAGAGAAGTGGATAATTGGGTCCCAAAATACAGAAGGATGGAACAACTGAGTCCTAGTGTTTGATAGCACAGTATGAAAATTTTAGTTCACAGGAATTTCTTGCATATTTCCAGATGCTTTGGTGAGAAGCTTCCTAACTTTCTCATTATGCTGGTTTTTCAGCTATTCTCTTTCTGCTATCGAAATCATGCTGCAGTTTTTGTTTTTGTTTTTTTGTTTTGAGACAGAGTTTCACTCTTGTTGCCCAGGCTGGAGTGTCATGGTGCAATCTTGGCTCACCACAACTTCTGCCTCCTAGGTTCAAGCGATTCTCCTGCCTCCATCTCCCGAGCAGCTGGCATGCCCCAGCACGCCCAGCTAATGTTGTATTTGTAGTAGAGAAGGGGGGTTTCTTCCTGTGTGTCAGGCTGGTCTTGAACTCCTGACCTCAGGTGATCCGCCCGCCTCGGCCTCCCAAAGTGCTTGGATTACAGGCGTGAGCGACCGCGCCCGGCCCATGCTGCATCCTTATCTGTTGTCTGTTGTTGTTTGTCTGTTTTTGTGCCCAGACATAACTTCTCACCTATATGTTCAAATGATTTTCAACATGAGTGCTAAGAAAGTCCATTGGTGGAAAAGCAGCCTTTTCAAGAAATGGTGTTGGAGAAACTTGATTTCCACCTGCAGAAGAATGAAGGTGGACTCTGTGTCACAACAGGTGCAAAAATTAACACAAACTGGATCAAAGACCTAACCCCAAGTGCTGAAAGTATAATATGCCTCAAAGAAAACATTGGCCACACTTTCATGACATCAGATTGGGCAATGCTTTCTGGGATATGACACCAAAAGCATAGACAACAAAAGAAAATTAGATTCCTTGGATGATATCTAAATGACAGACACTTTTGTGCATCAGCAAACACTGTGAACTGAGTGAAAAGATAACCCATGGAATAGGAAAAAGATTTGCAAATCATATCTCTGAAAAGAGGCTGATATGCATCATAAACAAAGAACAGCTACAAATGAACAATCAGAAACCCAAAGCACCCCATTAACAATGGTCAGAAGACTCGAGTAGACTTGTTCCTAAAGAAGATATAGCAATGGTCAATAAGCGTCTAAAATGATGTTCAAAATCACTCATCATAGGGAAGCGCAAATCAAACCAAGAATGCCATACCACACATTAGGATGGATATGATAAACAAACAAGCATTGGTGAGACTAGAGGGAAGTAGGAATGTTCGAATCTGATTGGAGGGAATGTAAAACCGTGAAGGAACAGGGAAAATACTATGGCGTGTGCTGCAAAAAGTAGAAACAGGATTATCAGATGTTCCCGCAGTTGCACTTGTGGGTGCCTGCCAAAAAAAATTAGAAGCCAGGAGTGGAAGAGAGATTTGTACACCCAAATTCATAGCGGCATTATTCACAATAGCCAAAATGAGGAAGCAACCCAAGGGTTCGTGGACAGATGAATGAAAAAGCACACTGCAGTTCATTCATGCGATGGAAGACTATTCAGCCTTCAAAAGGCAGGCACTTCTGGCCGGTGTGGTGGCTCACGCCTGTAATCCCAGCATCTTCGAAGACCGAAGTGGGCGGATCACCTGAGGTCAGGAATTCAAGACCAGCCTGGCCATCTTGGTGAAACCATGTCTCTACTGAAAATGCAAAAAATGAGACGAGCGTGGTGGCGTGTGCCTATTGTCCCAGCTACTCGGGAGGCAGAGGCACAAGAATCGGTGGAACCCGGGAGGCGGAGGTTGCAGTGAACCCAGATTGTGCCACTGCACTCCAGCCTGTGCGATAGAGTGAGACTCCAAGGAAACACAAAACAAAACAAAGTCAAACGAACAAACAAACAAAAAACGAACAAACAAACAAAAAACAAACAAACAAAAAAAACAAAGAGGCACTTCTGACGCATGCCGCAACATGGATGAACCTTGTAAACATTATCTTCAGTGAAATAAATGAATCCCAAAAGGATAAACACGCCCATGCTCAGTGGCTCGCACCTGTAACCCCAGCACTTTCGGAGGCTGAGCCACGCGGATCACTTCAGGTCAGGAGTTGGAGACCAGCCTGGCCAATATGGTCTCTATTAAAAATACAAAAATTAGCTGGGCGTGGTGGCGCACGCCTGTAATCCCAGCTACTCCAGAGACTGAGACACAAGAATCGCTTGAACCCACGATGTGGAGGTTGCAGTGAGCCGAGATCATGCCACTGCACTCCAGCCTGGGTGACAGAGAAAGACTCTGTCTCCAAAACAAGAAAATTAAACACGGTATGATTCCACTTATCTATCAAGTGTCTAGAGTAGTTAAACTCATAGAGTTGCAAACTAGAAAGGTGGCCCCCAGTGGTGGGCGAGAGAGAGGAGTGGAGAGCTTGGTGAATGGGTGCAATTTCCATTTTGAAAGATAAAACTGTTCCGGAGATGATGACAGTGATGGTTGCTAAACAATGTGAACGTACTTAATGTCATGAAGCTGTAAACTGAAAAAGCGTGGAAACTGTAAGTGTTTATACTGGCCATTCTATATGAACTAATATATAGTTATAATTTTTAATATTTATACGTGGTATATTTTCCCATAATAAAAGATGAAAATTAAAGCAGTTGGATGTTTAAAAAGAAAAGAAAGAAGTGAAGAATACACACCAGCTTTCTCCTGATTAGAGGAAGAGCCCCAAATCTTCTATGGACACTCACTTTTCTCTTCTTCTTCTTGCTTTATTATGAGGAAATCCTTAGAGGTTGGGGAACTTGGGCGACTTTGACTAATGAGGAGCTCTGTGCCTTGAGCCCCCCAGGCCACAGAACAGTAAATAGTCAGTCTGTGACTCCAGCCCTGCAGTGTGAGGTTGCAGTCCTGTGGGCTCCACAGACATCACCTGTATCAGGAGGCTCATGTCTTACCGTGTCTTCTTGCCAGCCTCGAGGACGGAGTCTGAGCCTCCATGGTGCACCACACAGGGAGGACAGTGGACCTGTTCTCCGTGGTCATGGCTCAGAAGAGGGGAAGGGCAGTTCAGTGAGTGTAGGCAAAAGAAAGAGCGATCAGACTCTTACTGTGTCTATGTAGAAAGGAAAGACATAAGAGACTCCATTTTGAAAAAGGCCTGTACTTTCAACAATTGCTTTGCAGAGATGTTGTTAATCTGTAGCTTTGCCCCAGTCACTTTGAACCAACCACTTTGACCCAACCTGAATTTCACAAAAGCATGTGTTTTATGAAATCAAGGTTTAAGGGATCTAGGGCTGTACAGGACGTGCCTTGTTAACAAGATGTTTCCAAGCAGTATACTTGGTAAAAGTCATTGCCATTCTCTAGTCTCAATAAACCAGGGGCATAATACACTGTGGAAAGCCTCAGGGATCTCTGCCCTTGAAAGCGGCATATTGTCCAAGGTTTCTCCCCATGTGATAGTCTGAAAAGTGGCCTTGTGGGAGGAGAAAGACCTGACCGTCCCCAAGCCCGACACCAGTAAAGGGTCTGTGCTGAAGTGGATTAGTCAAAGAGGAAAGCCTCTTGTAGTTGAGAGAGAGGAAGGCCACTGTCTCCTGCCTGGCCATGGAAACTGAATGTCTTGGTATAACACCCGATTGTACATTTGTTCAATTCTGAGATGGGGGTAAAACCGCCCTATTGTGGGAGGTGAGACACGTTTTCAGCAATGCTACCTTGTTATTCTTTACCCCACTGAGATGTTTGGATGGAGAGAAACATAAATCTTGCTTAGAGACACGTCCAGTCATAGTACCTTCCCTTGAACTTCCTTATGACTTGTATTGCTCACAAGTTCGTTGCTGACCTTCTCCTTATTATCACCCTGCCCTCCTACTACATTCCTTTTTGCTAAAATAATAAAAATAATAATCAATAAAAACTGAGAGAACTCAGAGGCCTGTGCCTGTGCAGGTCCTTGGTATGCTGAGCGCCGGTCCCCTAGGCCAACTGTTGTTTCTCCATACTTTGTCTCTGTGTCTTATTTCTTTTCTCAGTCTCTCGTCCCACCCGACTAGAAATACCAACAGGTGTGGAGGGACAGGCCACCCATTCAAGTGAGTGCTGAGGGACGGTCGGGAGCCTTGTTTGTTTCCTCCTCCTCAGGACAAACAGGAGAGTGCGGTGGGCAGATGGGAGGAGATCAATATGCAAACTCCTTGCTCAGCTGACTGTGGAGTTTCTGTTCTTTGTTGTGCTGGGGGGTCTCAGAAATCTTATTGAAAATTTTTCTTTCCTCCCCCACTGGTTGTCCTTTTCATAGACATCTCACCCATGGTAGCAGGGAATCAGTCCCTCTAAACTATTCCCTAAGAACAACAAAGAGATTATGAAGGTAATGATGAGGATAAAGAGGATGACGACAGACACCATGGCATCATGAACCCTTACTGAGGGTTTCCTACAGACCAGGCTCTGAGCTCTGTGCTCTATGCAGCTTGCTTCATTTCATCTGCATAGTCTCCATGTTATTAGTGCACATTTCATGATGATTTTACAGACTAGAAAAGGCGCAACGGATTTTCATGTAGCTTGTACCAGATCACGAAGTCAAAAAGGGTGAAGTCCAATTTGAACCAGGCAGTCTAAGTCCAGACACATGGCATTTGGCCGGTCCTCTCCCTGCATCCAACCTGCCCTCTCAAATCCTCGTCACTCAGGCGGATGCCGCTGCTCACTGTGCCCTTCCCTTTGGGGGTTCCTTGTAGACCACAACTAGACCAGTGGGTGCCACAATCACTGTGTCATGTATAGAAAGGGCAGCTGCGATCACATCAAGGATTCCAGAAAGAATTGGCACAGGATCATTCGGGACGCATCTCTCTCTTGCCGCTGTTCCTGGCTTTCCTTACAGCTGTCGACTTCCCCAAAGGAGTCATCAATTCGGAGTTTGGCTTCCATTCCTATTGAAGAAGCTGGAAAGTGTTTCAAAAATGCTCCTCTGATGTGCCTGTGCTTAAGACCTCTGAGCTCTGCTTAAAACTTTTTGAAGCTGGGCGCGGTGGCTCACGCGTGTAATCCCAGCCCTTGGGAGGCTGAGGCAGGCGAATCACAAAGTCAGGAGTTCGAGACCAGCCTGGCCAACATGGTGAAACCCTGTCTCTACTAAAAATACAAAAAAAAAAAAAAAAATTAGCCAGGCATGGTGGCGTATGCCTGTAATCCCAGCTACTGGGGAGGCTGAGGCAGGAGACTCCTTTGAAGCCAGGAGACAGAGGTTGCAGTGAACCGAGATCATGCCACTGCACTCCAGCCTGGGCAACAGAGCAAGACTCTGTCTTAAAAAATTAAATAAATAAAAACTACGAAAAAATGTGCTTGGATGGGCTTGGCCAACTTTAGCCATTAGCTCACATACCACTTTGGAAGGGCATAACTTCAGTCACTTCACCCTTTAATCCCTTTGCTCAAGACTAAAGTTCCGAGAGGAAGTCTAATCGGCTGAGTTGTGTCCATGTGGGCAGTGCAGGAAAGGGTGCAGTGGGAGGCGGCTCCAGGGACGTCTTTGGCTTCCATCATGGGGGAGCAAGCGCCTGGATTATCCACCCTAACAAATCTGGACAAAGGAAAACGAGGTTCTCTGAGGAAGGAGACATAGAGCCCAAGGAGCTAACCAAGAGACAAATAGTCATCCTGTCTTGTCATTTTCTTTTACACATGTGTGTACATTATCTTACACTTATCACTTTGTTTTCTTTCTCTCCTTTAATTGCACCCTGTTGCCAAAAGTTAAAATAAAATGAAAGTATTGAGATAGCTCAGTAACTGACTTTTGGTCAATTGCCTTTTCATATAGTGAATAGCTGCCCAAACGATTGTCTCTGTCACTGTGCAAATTTGCAAGCGTTTGCATGATCACTCCCAATCCCCCAATACAGGGCTGTGTTACAGCACAATTTAGTTCAGTGTTTTGCTCTCTGCAACAGGGAGGTTCTCATCCATTACAGGTTGCAGTAAAAACAGGGGTACCATAAGCAACCACCTCTTTCCTCAACGATGAGATGAAAGCAAAAGCCAAGTAGCTCCATATATCCAACTTAAAAATATAAAAAGTTACACCCGTGGGCTGCAATTGGAGCTATGGCGGCGGCAGCTGTCTCTGGGTCTAGCCCGGGGTGTGGACCTGGGGACTCCCCAGAAGGGCCCGATGGGGAGGCTCACGGAGCGTCGGTGGAAGGCGCACAGGATGCTAAAGCTTTACAATGGTCTCTCGGAAGGGGAGGGGGTGGGACTCCCCTCGGGGCCCGACCCCCTGGACCCCACTGATCTGAACGGGGCGCACTTCGACCCGGAAGTTTACCTAGACAAGCTGCCTAGAGAGTGCCCTCTGGCCCAGCTGATGGACAGTGAGACGGACATGGTGCAGCAGATCCGGGCTCTAGACAGCGACATGCAAACCCTGGTCTATGAGAACTACGATAAGTTCATCCCAGCCACAGAAATTGACAAACAGCATACAACTCTATGAGGAATTGCAGGAGACCCAGAATTTCCCAAATAACCTTGTAAAAGAAGAACAAAGTTGGAAGACTCACAATATATATATATATATATAAAGTTGTGTTTTCGTTCAGTTGTAAATGTTTAGTAATTTCTATTGTGATTTTTCATTTAATTCATGAAAGGATATTTTTAATTTTCCAAATGTATGCTTGTGTTTAGCTATCTTCTTGCTTTTGACTTCTAATTTTATTGCATTATGGTCAGGAAAATGTGGTCTGGACAATGTCAATCGTATAGTGGATTTGGTTGAGACTTCTTTATGGCCTAATATGTGGCCAGTTTTTTTTTTTTTTGCAAATTTGCCACATGTGGTTAAAAGGAATGTGGATTATTTGTTTTTTTAGGAGAGTTTTTATTTTTAAATAGATAAGGTTCTCAGTGTAATTGAAATCTAGCTTCAATTAACAATATGCTAAATCTCTCAAATCTTAGGATGTTAGTCAGTGTAAAAATAGACTGCTGCTAAGACTAATAAGCCCTGAACTCTCAGTGCGTTGGCACCCATAGCATAGTCTGGTGCAGGGCAGGGGTTCTCCTTAGGGGCCCTTGTCCAACAGTGATTCAGAGATTCTGGAGATTTCCATCTTTTAATTCTGCCATCTCAGAATTTTTCACTTGTAGCCATATGGTTAAGAAGAGAGGGAACATAGCTCACACTTGCCTTTGATGACCTTGGCCTGAAGGGATTTCTTACATTCCTATTGGTGGAAATGCAGTCACATGGTTCCAAACTAACTGCAAGTAAGGCTGGGAAATGTAGTCTTTCTGCATGTTCAGGAAGAGGAATGGTGTGAACACAGCATTGTCTTTGACACACTAAGCATGTGCTTAAGAGTTCTTACTCTTATAGGAGGTTTGTCTGTCCTGTGTAACTTTCTCAGTTTTTGCTTAGATAGTTTCAGGCAATGTTGTTTGGTGCATTCAGCTTGATGATTATTATGTCCTCTTGGCAAAGTAGTCAAGATTCCCATCAATTTGAATGAAAGTGTTTTACAGATAGGTCAGGAAATGTTAATACTTTAAAATGCCCTTCCATTCCTCCACTCTACAGATAAGAACAACAGAGTCCTAGAGAGAGGAGGTCATGGGTCTCGCTCATGAGTGGCAGAATTGAAACCAACATGGCAGTAACTTTGCCTTTCCCCCATCGTGTTGTTCTCCCTCTATCTTCACTCTGCTGATTTCTTCACTTGCTCCATACAGACCTCCCAGTGCCAAGTGTATAAGTGTGTCCGGAATTGGTGGGTTCTTGGTCCCACTGACTTCAAGAATGAAGCTGTGGACCCTCCTGGTGAGTGTTACAGTTCTTAAAGTTGGCGTGTCTGGAGTTTGTTCCTTTTGATGTTCGGATGTGTTCGAAGCTTCTTCCTTCTGGTGGGGTTTGTGGTCTTGCTGGCTCAGGAGTGAAGCTGCAGACCTTCATGGTGAGTGTTACAGCTCTTAAGGCTGCATGTCTGGAGTTGTTCATTTCTCCTGGTGGGTTCATGGTCTTGCTGGCTTCAGGAGTGAAGCTGCAGACCTTCTCGGTGAGTGTTACAGCTCATAAAGGCAGTGCGGACCCAAACAGTGAGCAGCAACAAGATTTATTGCAAAGAGCGAAAGAACAAAGCTTCCACAGTGTGGAAGGGGACCCCAGCGGGTTGCCGCTGCTGGCTTGGGCAGCCTGCTTTTATTCTCTTACCTGGCCCCACCCACATCCTGCTGATTGGTCCATTTTACAGAGAGCCTGAGTGGTCTGTTTTGACAGGGTGCTGATTGGTGCCTTTACAATCCCTGAGCTAGACACAAAGGTTCCCCACGTCCCCACTAGATTAGCTAGATACAGAGTGTCCACACAAAGGTTCTCCAAGTCCCCACCATAGTAGCTAGATACAGAGTGTCGATTGGTGTATTTACAATCCCTTAGCTAGACATAAAGGTTCTACAAGTCCCCACCAGACTCAGGAGCCCAGCTGGCTTCACCCAGTGGATCCCACACAGGAACCACAGGTGGAGCTGCCTGCCAGTCCCTCTCCGTGCTCCCACACTCCTCATCCCTTGGGTGGTCGATGGGACTGGGCGCTGTGGAGCAGGGGGCAGTGCTTGTCGGGGAGGCTCCGGCCACACAGGAGCCCATGGAGGGAGGAGGCTCAGGAATGTTGGGCTGCAGGTCCCAAGCCCTGTCCACGGGGAGGCAGCTAAGGCCCAGCGAGAAGTCGAGCACAGCAGCTGCTGGCCCAGGTGCTAAGCCTCTCACAGCCCGGGGCCGGCAGGGCCAGCTGGCAGCTCCTAGTGCTGGGCCACCAAGCCCACGCCCACCCGGAACTCCAGCCGGCAGGCAAGAAGCACGCAGCCCCGGTTCCGGCTCATGCCTCTCCCTCCACACCTCCCTGCAAGCTGAGGGAGCCAGCTCTGACCTTGGCAAGCCCAGAAAGGGCCTCCCACCGTGCAGCCGCGGGTTGAAGGGCTCCTCAAGTGCTGCCAAAGTGGGAGCCCAGGCAGAGGAGGCACCAAGAGTGAGCGAGGGCTGTGATGGCTGCCAGCACGCTGTCACCTCTCAGAAGGAGTGATTAATCTGGGCTTCTCCAGAAAGTCCATTCCTGGTAGGCACTGGGAATAAGAAATCTCAGAGTATAAAATAACATCAAGTGGTAGCACTTTTGTGAATGGCTCCCAAATTAGATCCTTTACCTTTTTTTTTCATGAAGCACAGTTGCACAAAACACGCTTAGCCTGAGATGAAGCACATATTAGAGAAAGGTTCTCTCTATAGCATTATGTATTACTCGAATGAGCATTAAAAAGAAGAGATGGGACATGCTCTCTCTAGCTACTATTACCTCCACTATAGAGTTGACTTACACAAGCTCATTATTGCATTATGCTTTATTCAACAAAATAACTTTAATGTTGAAGCTTAAATTGAATTCGCTAAAACATCTTTGTCTCCAGCATAATGTGCCTCAAGTGTCTTCTTGGTGCCTGAATTTTCTCCAGAATTATAGTGCTGAAGCTATGGAAATGGTGAAATTATATGCAATCTGCAAAACAATGTGGCTATAATGTGGTAATTGGCCTTCCGCATAATTAAAGGAACATTTCCTCATCAGAGCTGTTCCATCAGATACCCAAAGGCTATCGTTGTACAAATCACCCACTTAGGAAAACCTTTATTCCCAGTAGCCTATAAAAATCTGGTTATGCAAACAGATTTGCTTATTCAGTAACATTAATGGCTTCTCAGATTTAAAAAGTCATCAATGTGATTGACCTATAATCTGTTTCCTCTGTGACCAAGTGTCGTTTTTATTTTGACAGTTAGGAGCCTTTTGACCCTTCCACAGCTGGCATGAAGGCACAGGGAGGAAAATCTCAAAAACCAAAAACCTGTGTATTCCCAGACTATTAATCAATAAAAATCACTTCAACTGGATTAGGGTCTTTTACCTTGCAGAAAGGCTCTTATGGACATTGGAATTGGATTTTTACACTTGATATGACACCTCCTTGAGTCAAATCAGATTCGTGTTTGATAGACTCTTGCCGAAAAATTGCTCCAGGGTCTGTGCAGTAGCTAACGCCTTTTTGTTGTTGTTGTTGTTTTAAAAGCAGCATTAAATGTTTTCATGAAGACCTTCCCAGCAGTGATGTTATTGGGAATATGGTCTTTAGCTCTGGTCCTGAATAACTCACACTGAGGAAACCTCTAACAAGTGTCTTATTGGAAGTTGTCTGATGGATTGTTGGTTTTAATAACAAATCTCTTCCCTTTTTCTGTCCCCTGTGTTCTATTCTCCTTTCTCTACACATTATTCTGGGAGGATTCACCTATTCCCAAAATCCTTTCCTCTTTATTTCCATTCCAGAGCTCTCTGTATAACTCCAGGCTGATGAATCCAACTGCCCAGTTGTTATCTCCACTTGGCTGTCTGTCTTGCATTGACCTCATCTTACCTTTCCTCTCCTGATTTCCTCTTCTGCCTGGGCTCACCACGTCAGATTCACACCACCATCCACCCAGCTTCCAAAACACCTGGGCCTCATCCTTCATTCCTCCCTCTTTCTCAGTTAAGTTAGTCTACTGTCTCCTCTCCATCCTCACTGCCACAGCCTTGGTCCAGCCAACCATCTTGTCTCACTTGGTGTATTGCAACCTCCCACCTGGTCTACTCACCTCCCACTCTCCTCCAGCCAGACTGCTCTTTTTATAGCACAAAGTGGATCATTACTCCCCTGCCTAAAAACATCTACTGTCTCCTTTTGTCTACAGGATAAACATGACAAAGAGCCTTTAAGATTTGGCTCTAACTTACCTCTACATTAGTCACTTTTTACAATTATATGAACATCTCTCAGCTCCTCACCCTCTCACGTCTCGATTTTTGCACATGCTCTTCCCTCTGCTGGGAATGATCTTCCACAGCTCTCCTATCGACCTGGCTAATTCCTACCATTTTCTAGTCTTCAACTGAGGAGTCCTGTGGTGGAGAAGGATTTCTGACCACCTGATAGAGATTGCATGCCCACCCATCACCTGGCTTTTTTTTTTGACGGAGTCTCGCTCTGGCCATCCAGCCTGGAGTGCAGTGGCGCGATCTTGGCTCACTGCAATCTCCGCCTCCCGGGTTCAAGCAATTCTCCCACCTCAGCCTTCTGAGTATCTGGAATTACAGGTGCCCGCCACCACTTCTGGCTAATTTTTTTGTATTTTTAGTAAAGACAGGATTTCACCATGTTGGCCAGGCTGTTTTCGAACTCCTGGCCTCAAGTGATACACCCACCTTGGCCTCCCAAAATGCTGGGATTACAGGCATGAACAACTGCACCTGGCCGACTGGGTGCCCCCTCTTTGTGCTCCCCTTGCCCCAGGCATACTGTCACCATAACTCCTACCATTGTGAGTTGAAAATGATTTTTTTTTTTGCTTTTTATTTCTCTCATTAAATGCAAAGCTCATTGAAAAGAGGATGGTGGTTGTTCACTGTTGTACTCCTAACTTTTGACTCAGTGTCCTGAGGTCGGCTCTAGAGCTGTGCACACATGTTCAGACATTGGAGCACATCTTGTCTAGCGCCTCTTTTGAGGTGGCTTGGAGAAAATTCAGTAGGTACTTCCCCTAGGATGAAACAGAAGCTTCACCTAAATCAGGAGTTCTTCAACTTCAGCCTGCATTAGAATCCTCTGAGAGCTTGTTAAAAATACAGTCTCCTAGAGACCACTCTTCAAGAGTCAGTGAGTTGCTTCATCATCAAAATATATACAGAATCCAGCAGGTCTTCAGCGCCAGCCTGGTCTGAGCCACTGTGGACTGCCACTTGCAGAATCTCACTGCTGGTCTCCTTGCTTCTGCTCTTACCTTCTTATCATCCATTCAAGTAGCCAGAGTGATCCTTTTTAAAAATTTTTTAAAATTTTTTTGAGATGAAGTCTCACTCTATTGCCCAGGCTGGAGTGCAGTGGTGCTATCTCGGTTCACTGCAGCCTCTACCTCCTGGGCTCAAGCCATCCTCCCACCTCAGCCTCCTGGGTAGCTGGGACCACAGGGATGCACCACCACACCTGGCTGATTTTTGTATTTTTTGTAAAGACAGGGCCTTTCTATGTTGCCCAGGCTAGTCTTGAACTTCTGTGTGCGCCCACCTCAGCCTCCTGCATTTTTAGGAGGCCCCTCTTGTAGGGATTTTGATGCAGAGGCCTGGGCGCCTCATGGCTCCTCCCATCTCTCTCTGTCTTTCTGTCTCTGTCTCTGTCTCTGTCTATCTCTCTCTCCCTTTCTCTTTGCCTTATAGCTTCCCTGGGGACTAGACTCTGCCTTAGGCATCCCTCTGACTCCTCTTTCCTTTTACACTGAGGCTGCTTTAAGTCGCACCTTGATCTGAAGCCTTGGGCTTCTGTTCCTATTGCTTGCTTTTGTTGGAAGGGCCGTGCAGCTTCTTGACAAATTGCAAAGGTGCCCACGAGTTTCCAAGTTCACAACAACCAAACCAGATGACAAACAAGGATGCAGCCCACGGCTGGGGAGACAGATTTCATGTCCACACAGAGATTCCAAGATGCTGAACTGAAATCCACCCCGAAACCTGTTTTCTCTCTCATTTAAGTTCAATGTCACCTGGGGCCTTGCAGGGCAGGGCTGGTGACCATTCACAGGGCAAAGATGCTTTGAAATGTCAACTGAGAATGGTGTGGTGGTTGACAGATGGCACATCAGGGCATAGATTAACATGGAAAGAGAAACTCACCCCTTGGGGGTAGTGTGTGAGGCTGGCAGCCACACAGAGGGCTTTTCCTGCGAGCTCTCGCATAGATGCAAACAGCCAGGAGGTTTTGCTTTCTGAGCCTGAGTGGAACAATGTTCCTCCCTGCACATTGCCGCTCTGCAGCAAATGTTTATTCCTGTTGCATTGATTAAAAGTGCTTACCAGGCCGGGCGCGGTGGCTCACGCCTGTAATCCCAGCACTTTGGGAGGCCGAGGCGGGCGGAACACCAGGTCAGGAAATTGAGGCCATCCTGGCTAACACGATGAAACCCCGTCTCTACTAAAAATACAAAAAATTAGCCTGGCATGGTGGCGGGCGCCTGTAGTCCCAGCTACTTGGGAGGCTGAGGCAGGAGAACGGCATGAACCTGGGAGGCGGAGCTTGCAGTGAGCCGAGATTGCACCACTGCACTCCAGCCTGGATGACAGAGCAAGCCTCCGTCTCAAAAAAAAAAAAAAAAAAATAAATAAATAAAGAAAGTGCTTACTGAAAGGGTTTGAGGGGAGTGGTGACAGTGTGAGTTATGGCTCTGCCGGCTGCCAGTGGAGCCAGCCACTCTGCATAGCTGTGCAAGGGTGTTTTGAAAAGTGGCTCAGCCAGCCAGGAGTGACCGGGTGTAAGTGTTGCTGCCACAACATCTTGTAGCCTGATTGGGGCCGTATTTGCAGAACCCCTAAACCACTACATTTGTTCAGGCTTAAAAATAAGCTTGCTTTTTTGTTTGTTTGTTTGTTTGTTTTGGTTTGTTTTATGAGACGGAGTCTTGTTCTGTCGCCGGGTTAGAATACAGTGGCATGATCTCTGTCCACTGCAACGTCTGCCTCCTGGGTTCAAGTGATTCTCCTGCCTCAGGCTCCCGAGTAGCTGAGACTACAGGCATGTGCCATCATGGACAGCTAATTTTTGAATTTTTATCAGATATGGGGCTTCACCGTGTTGGCCAGGATGGTCCGATCTCTTGACCTTGTGATCTGCCCACCTCGGCCTCCCAAAGTCCTGGGATTACAGGTGTGAGCCACCGTGCCTGGCCAAACATAAACTTACTTTCTTACCTCTTCTGCTGAACTCTATTTGCTTCTTTTCCCAAACGTCTTTATCCAAAAGAGCTTTTAGCAACAAAGTTACCCAATGCCCTTCCCTAGTCTCTCCTTGCAACTGGCTCTCAGCAGGTGGTAGGAGGAAATCCTTAACAGAACCAATTTACGTGACTGTTTGGAGGACTCTCGCTAGCCGCAGGAGGTGTTTGCATTTTTAAATTGGTTAGTAGGGTCAGAATGTTTCATGAGTAAGAGCACAGCCTCTACGTTGGATGCCCTGAATTTGAATCTCAACATGGCCACTTTGTATATAACCAGAGGATGGAATTGGGGACCCAATGGATCTACCATGACATGAACTTGCACCAACATTCACCTGACCTCCAAAATGCCTATTCTGACTGGTAGACCCTAGTCTCTCCCTAGTGCCAGTTCAGAGCCTGTGTCCAGTGATCCTGCATAGGTCTCATTAGTTTCTATTCCCCTGTTCAGTCATCCTAGTAAAAGGCTGTGTACTCCTTCAGGGGCAGGCTGGGAGAAAAATTGACAGTATAAATTTTTGGCAGTGGAGCAGAGTCCTTTTTGGAGGGGACCTGGCTTCCCATTCAGACAAAGGACTCCCGGTCTGTGAACTGGCTTATGTCTGGGAATTGACTGGAGACTGTGACTCTGTTTTTATGATTCAGATTAGACTTCTACTCACCTGACCTAGAACCCTTCTGCAAACACAGATCAAGTAAAAATGTGGCAGGCTTCTTACCTATTTCACTTCTAGGAATGCCACGATCAGCTGGCAGCATAGGTCTCTGCAAGTCAGGCAATTCTGGTTGCAGCTTTGACTCTGTTGTCTTTTATGGTAACTGCGTCCACCTTGCCTTTGGGGATTTAGTGCTGCGATCACTTGGCCCCAGCCCCTGTACTGTGCCTATGTCACTTACCCTCTTTATACCTCAGTCTCCTCCTCTGTAAAAATGGGCATCTAATAGCACCAAACCCCAGGGCTGCTGTGAGGTATACATGGATTAGCATATGGAAAGTAATAGAAGAGGGTCTCAAAGCCCATGTGTCATTAGCAGAATTATTTCATGACAGGGGAGAGCTGGAGGAGAGAGGAAGGTGCTGAGCAGACCCATGTGCTCTCCCACCTGTGTTTCCTGAGCGCCTATGTGCTGCCCACTGTGAGAGCTGTTAGGGTTGAAATAGGGAGCACAGCAGGGTAGGGGCCGCCATCAGGAGCTTAGTGGGGAGACCATTGTGCAACATGGTTCCAGCGCTTGGGGTGGGGAAGCTCAGGGAGTAGAGGGGCCTAGGATCCCGGGCAGAATCATGGAAAGGACATAGCCTCCCCAGCCTCTCCTGCCTCCACTGCCTCCCTGGCCTCCTCTGCTTCCCTGGCCTCTCCTGCCTTCCTGGCTTCCCCTTCCTCCCCAGCCTCCCCAGTCTCCCCTGTCTCTCCTGCTTTTGAGGTAGGCCAGGAGCTGCTGGTGCTCACTTAGCCTGTCCTGGACTCTTGGTGTAGCACCTCGATGTCCAGAAAATACCCCCGGGTTCAGCTTATCACACAGCCAAGGAAGGAGCTCCACACTGACACTAAGGGTGCATCCTGGGCTCATTCATCAGGGCATGCCTCCAAAATATTTCTCCACGTCTCCTCTCTTTGCCCACCTGCATTATCTCTGTGCCTGAGCCCTGGCTGGGGGCCTGCAAGGATCCCCTATCTCCTCTGTCCCTGCACGGCTGGGTCCCAGGCAATCTGTCTGCCCACCACACCTCTCTCCCCTCGCCCTCCATGCTCCAGCCCCACAGTCCTCTTTCTGCTTCTTTCCTAGCCTCTGGGCTTTTGCACACGCTGTTCCCTCTGCCCGAACATGCTCCACTGGGCTGAGAACAACTCTCTGAGACCTCTCTCAGCTGTTGCTTCCTTTGGAACAGCCGCTGCTGCTGTCCCTCTCCCAGCTCCAAGACCTGCTGAGCCTCCTGTCTTTCTCAGTTCCCATGACCCCAGCACTTCTCCTTGGCCTCCTTTTGCCCAATTGACAATGTCCGTTCTCAATGCCTTGTCACCCAGCGCTGAGCCCCACTGTGTGAAGGCCATGCCTGTCATGTTCACGACAATATCCCCTCTCCCATCACCACGCCTGGTCCACAGAGATGCTCAAAAAAGATCTGTTGGTAGGCAATGCGAAGGTGCATTCATGTCATCCTGCAGGCGGAATTCTCCACGAGTTTTGAGCAGCCTCGGTTTTCCCACCACCTCCAAATCATGCAAGACACAGGGTAAGAGCAAAGACAAGGTGGCTGTGGCTGATGTCCACCCTCTCGGGGCGTCCCTTCTCTTCTCTCTTCCTTGGGCAGGGAGACCATCGGGGTGCAACCTGGCTGGGGCGGGGAGGAGGTGCAGAGCCTGGCCGGAACTGGTCTGGCCAAGGGCAGGGGACAGCGACCGCCTAGGCCGGGGCAGGTGAGCGAGGCGCAGGCCCCGGCCCGGCGTGTCCGCGGTGCGCGCGAGCGGCCAGCAGAGGGCGCCAGAGAGCCAGGAGCGGCCTGCGGAGGAGCCCGCGCCGGCACCGATTCCCAGCTCCGCGCCACGCGGACCCACCGAGCTCGCGCTCAGACGCCCCAGCTCCGCCGAGAGGCCGCTCGCGCCGGGTCCTTCCTCTTCCCCAAGTGCAGGCCGAGCCTCCGCAGCCACGGCCAGCCCTTCGGGCAGCTCCAAAGCCACTGGCAAGCCCCGAGGCAGGGATGGCCGGCCCAGGAGGGAGGAGGACGACGTCCCTCCCTAGGAGAAGAACTGCGGCTGTTGCTGGAGGGGGGAAGCGCACAGCCCGACGACTGCGAGGACGGGGAGGACGCGCTGAGGTCAGGCAGGGAGGAGACCGGCACCCAGACAGGTGGCGACGGCAGAGGAGTAAGTGACGCGGGCGCAGGGGTCCGGGGGTGCCGGGGACGCGGGGGTGCCGGGGACGCGGGGTAGGGTGGGCGGGAGGCTCCGTGGCCGGCCCTGGGTTGAAGTTGGTAACTGAGCGGCAACTCCGGCGGGCGCGGAGTGACAGCTCGTGACGGCCTCCGAGACGCCAGCTGCCCCTTCTCGGCTGTGTGCCTTCGACTTCCTGATTCTCCCACGACGTCCCTGGCCTGGAGACCCGCTGGACTCTGCGGCTAGCCAAAAGGGGAAGGGGAGCCCCGCGTCCTGGGGGCCCCCAGCAGGGGAAGGGGCGGGGGTTGCCCCGGGCATCCTGTCTGGGGCATCTGTCTGGGACTCTGCCGGTGCCTTTCACCTGGCGAGGGGCTTGTGGCGGGGGCAGGGGGGAAGTCGCTGGCGCCAGGCTTGGCCAAGCCCTGCTCTGCTGGGCTGCGGGCTGGCGGCGCTCACCCAGCTCCTCACCTGCCCCGCATCTTCCTGTTTTTCTTCCCTTTCTGGTTGGGCAGCGAGAGTTGAGAGGAGGCAGATGGCTTACATCCCAGAAATCGCTCTCCTCTTTCCATCCCTACAGAGAGGGACAGAGAGACAAAGTTCCTTGCTTCCCCCGGGGCGCTGTCCCTGTGAGCTCCCGGTGTCCTGCACACGTGGAACCCTGAGTCACCGGGCCTGTGTGTGTGCGATGGGGCTCCGTGGCCAGCCTGGCCTCCTGGGGTTCACTTTCTGCTTTCCTACCCCAACTCTTCCTGTGTGGCTTTGCTGGCCTTCCACTGAGGAGGCACGTGGGTTTGGAGGGCAGATGAGGCCCGCTGGAGAGCTGTACCCCTCAGTGAGGGCTGCCACCTTGATGGTTTTTGATGGATAATGGGGTTGACCGCTTTGTTCCTTCCACATATTTTTATGTTTGACCATTTGCTCAGCAGAGCGTGTCTTAATCATTTGATTCGTGGTGAATGAGCCCCACATGGGAGAGAGGGCGGCCTTCATTCTGAACCCATTTAGGCAGCACGGGCAGCCCTCTTCGCCGTGGGCTGCATCAGAGCCCCCCTGCCCAGTCTTGGGGTTGCTCCCGGATGCTGTCTGGGAGGCTTGCTTATGGTGACATCCTCATCTCCCCGTGCACTTTACTACATTCAGAGCTTGGGTCACCTGGACACTGAACTCAGGTGAATTTTCTCTGAGATCCCGGGAGAAGGAGGACAGTTCTCTGGAAGGTTTTCCAGGGCGGATCACGGAAAGGATGGGAAGGGAGAGGTCCTGGTCGCGGACACAATTACGGTGGCAGTGTAACGCCGGGAAACTTTATTGCGTGAAGTCCCTCTTACTCCCTCTACATCCCTCTTTTACATGGACTCTGACAAAGACCAGGATACCAGAATGCAGTGGAGTGACCAAGTGTAGTGGGACCTTGGGAACAAGAGTCTGGAGCCAGGGGGCTGGAGTTTGCATCCTGGTTCTGCCCCTCCTTAGCTGGCTGACATGGCACAAGCCACTTACCCTCTCTGAACCTTACTGTCTTCAGTGGCAAATGGATCCATCAACAGGCCCCATTGCCTGGGGTTGTTACTGCTGAGATTAAGGGAAGCTCGTCCGTAGAAGCACTTAGCGTTGTGCCTGGCACATAGTGTATGGTGGATAAATGGGACTTAGGACTGAAACTCATGCCTTGGTGTGTTTTTGCAGTGATGTTTTGTTCTGGGGTGCATCACAAGAGACAAGGTTCTTGGCCGGGCGTGGTGGCTCAAGCCAATAATCCCAGCACTTTGAGTGGCCGAAGAGGGAGGATCGCTTGAGCCCAGGAGTTTAAGACCAGCCTGGGCAACATGGTGAAGCCTCATATCTACCAAAAAAAAAAAAAAAAAAAAGCCAAGTATGGTGGTGTGTGCCTGTAGTCCCAAGTACTTGGGAGGCTGAGGTGGGAGGATTGCTAGAGCCTGGAAGGTCCGGCTGCAGTGAGCTGTGATCATGCCACTGCACTCCAGCCCAGGTGACAAAGTGAGACCCTGTTTCAAGGAAAAGAGAGACAGACAGACAGACAGACCCACAAGTGTCTTAAACCAGAATCTCCATGTTAAAATGATTTCCGAAGGCTAAAAGGATGACATATTGATAATGAAATATTTAAAAGGCAGAAACCCCACTGAATTTCTTGGTCCACAGAGGGAAATGGGAATCACATGACCTGAAGGATGATGTAGGAACTGAACAGAAACCATCCTTGTTTCCTGAATCTGAACATGGCACCCTCTTTTCACGGTGTCTGTATCTGCTCAGTCCAGCGGCCCCTCGAAAAGAGGGAATCTTGATTTTCAAACTTAAAATTTGGCCCAAAGCCCACTGCTGCCCACAATGCCCGCCAGACACGTTCCTCTTACCTTTTAGTTTCTATGGGAATGCTCTCTTTGAAGAACCCATGAAGCAGTGTCAGGCTGGTGTGAGGATCAGCAGCAATTTCTTTGAGGAGGAGAGCCCGTTTCATCGCTCACAGGCCATGTCTGAGTGGATCAAGAAGAACAGAGTGCCCTTTTATGAGATTTTGTCTGCGTAGACCATTAGCTTGGTAAAAATGTCAAAACCATCCTCGTTCTTTAATAGCAGATTATTTTGGACTTTTCTCTGCAAGAAGCAGCATGGGCATTCAGATGCTTTTAAGGATAAAATGTTCTTTCTCATCATCAGGCCTGGTGCTCTGGATGGCTGAGGTTTTAATGTGACTGGATGTCCCTTGGAGTGGCTCCTAGGCTGTGCTTCTGTGGTTGGGTGGCAAGGGGTTGCTTTATTCGGTGGTGGCTAGAGGATGTTTTAGCAGGTAAATCGGGCCCCCAGGAGCCCCTGAGTGCCAAGTCCTGCTGCAGGGCATGTGTTTATGGTGGGGAGGTGGGGGGGTGGAGGGTGGAGGGTGGGGGGCATTGATTTCCTGCCAATATCAGAAGTTTCAGAGGCTTCTTGTGTATCCACAAACACCCACCCCATTGAGAAGGCCTAGAAAACCTGGCCCTCCCCAAGCCTTTACTGACCACTTGTGAATGATCCCAGGGTGTGTCTGACCCACAGCTCCTCCTGGAGGGAGAGAAAAGTCTCTCCTAGGTATTTGGTTATCAACCTCAACCACTTGCTGAGCCTTCCTCAAGACCAGGGACCTCGGCAGAGATTTCTGGGTTGTCAGGCAGAACCGAGCATTCGAGGGTAATAACTCTTTGGAGTCCCTGAAATCCCTGATGGATGCACCAGGTAAAAGCACCCAGGGTTGAAATCAGATGAGGAAGGTTATTGTCAGCCTGGGGCTCCTGTAGAGGTGCATCCGCGTTGCAGGGATTTTCCTTCTTGCTGAGGAGAAACCTGGGTTTCTCAGCTTTGCCACAGTCACAACATTTGGGGTGAGACCATTCGTGGTGCTGGTGGTGGGGCCATCCCGTGTATTGTGGGATGGTTAGCAGCATCTCTGGTCTCCATCCTCTAGGTGCCATTGTACCCTCCCAGCTATGGCTACCCCAGGTGTCTCCAGACGGTTTCAAATGCCATGGAGCAAGGGAGTGGTACGTGAGCAAAACCACCCCAGTTGAGAGCCATTGGTCTACACTTGTGGAAATGTTTGAGGGTGAGAGTGTCGAGCTTGGGTCCCTGCTGTACCCTTTATGAGCAACGCGGTCTTGGAAAATTAACACTACTCCAGGGGCCTCAGTTTTCTCATCTATAAAATGGAGATAAATGAGATACACTTTCATAGGAAGGTTATATGGGATTTACTGAGATAATAAGACAGTACATGGAAAATGCTGGGCATAGAATTTATTTATTTTATTTTTTTTTAAGACGGAGTCTTACTCTGTTGCCCAGGCTGGAGTGCAGTGGCATGATCTCTGCTCACTGCAACCCCCACCTCCTGGGCTGAAGTGATTCTCCTGCCTCAGCCTCCCGAGTAAGTGGGATTACAGGTACCCACCACCACACCAGGCTAATTTTTGTATTTTTAGTAGAGATGGGGTTTCACCACATTGGCCAGGCTGGTCTCAATCTCCTGACCTAAGGTGATCTGCCTGCCTCGGCCTCCCAAGGTGCTGAGATCACAGGTGTGAGCCACCACGCTGGGCTGGGCATAGCATTGTAACACAGACAAAGCACAAAATACTTGGGCAATATCTTTTTACGTTTGGCTTGTCTAGACTCCATCCTCCATCCCTTCATGCGCTGGTACAGTGCAGACCAGAATATCACCCACCTAGACTGCAGAGTGGATTTGGGTGGCATCTTGGCTTTCTGCACAAGATTTGCCTGTTCCCCACCACATCCCCCTGGTTCTCAGGGTCCAGGATTCCAGGAGGCAGGGATGTGGGCAGGCAGGGCAGGTGGCCCACCCAGTTCACTCCCACTCTGGGGACCTGCAGAGCCGGCTCTCCAAGACAGGGTGTTTTGACCAGCATCTGGGTTTCTGGATTTCCATTTGAGCACAGCTGGACTACACAGGCTGAAGCTCTCTCTGCTGAGATATAGATATTTCCCTGGCGATGATCTTTCAAGCTGACATGAAGACATGGCCACCCGCTGGAACGTGGTGTGTCTGCCGTGGTGCTCTTGTAATTTGTGAGGCAGGTTCCTGAGGAATGCAGTGCGTAAGTGGGAAATGGTGGGAAGTCCTCTCGTCCCTCGCTGGCCGAAAGTGCTGCCTGCGCAGGTTGGTGGACGGTCCTTTGAGCAGGAAGAAGACACGGAGCACATTCCTGTTAGCTATGACAGAGAGGGGCAGGGTACACACTGGACATTTCAAGCCCCTCCAGAGAAGCAAGTCTTACTGTGCTGGGAGTACTTGTGGAGTGGGGGCTGTGTCACCCTGGGCTTTAATTATTTCAGGAACATTTAACCGCAGGGCTGGCAGGCTGGATCTTGATATGTGTTTCTCAGTTGGAAAGACTTTGGACCATAGGGAAATGTCTTCTCAATTCTTTTAGTTTCATTAAGTTGGTCATTTTTCTTCTTGTGGCCTCTGGAATGTGACACAGAACTCAACGGACAGGAAGGAGATGAGTTGGAGGCTGGGACAGGGGTCCCTGCCAGGGATGCTGGTGACTCACATGACTGTGTTGATGTGTGGGGTCCGGTGCCTGGTTTGGGGAATGTTTGTGGGATATGTTCCAAAGCACTGATGGACGTATCAGGTACTGGAGGTGAATGGTCAAGTCTGATCTCAGGGCTGGCAGTGTCAGGCAAGGACAGGAAGTTGACATTGGACTCATTGGCTGAGGTTGCTTGGGACCCAGGGGGCAATGTGTCCCAGGACAGATGGGTCTGGGGCTAGGAAGTCAGGTTTGGGCTGGAGACTTGGGCTTGGGAGGCATCCCAGGTAGACAGTAGTTGAGGCTGTGGAAATGACTGCGATTGCCTGGGATGAGAGTGGAGACAGACAAGATGGGGGTTTTGCTCTAAGCCTGGGGAACCCACCTCCCAGATTCAAGGGATTCTCCTGCCTCAGCCTCCCAAGTAGCTGGGAATGCAGGTGCGTGTCACCATACCTGACTAACTTTTGTACTTTTAGTAGAGATGAGGTTTGGCCAGGCTGGTCTCAAACTCCTGACCTCAAGTGACCGGCCCACCTTGGCCTCCAAAGTGTGGGATTAGAGGCGTGAGCCACCATACCATGCCTGACCATTTTTAAATATTAATTTTTATGAAATATTTTCAAACATTTTTACTGTACATTGGAAAAGTCAATCATGATTTGAAACCTTTATCAAAATCCAATCAAATGTCAATTAACCATTTAATTGTGGATGAGTAAGGAGACTATTTTGACCAAAACATGTTAGAACAATTACCACTTATAGAAATAATCTATGTTTTAATGTTTTAGTTGAATTAAAGAATATTTTATATTCTGTGCAGGCGCAGTGGCTCACACCTGTAATCCCAGCACTTTGGGAGGCCGAGGCTGGTGGATCACCTAAGGTCAGGAGTTCGAGACCAGCCTGGCCAACATGGCGAAACTGTCTCTACCAAAAATACAGAAATCAGCCAGGTGTGATTGCACACACCTGTAATCCCAGCTACTTGGGAGGCTGAGGCAGGAGAATCGTTTGAACGTGGGAGACAGAGGTTGCAGTCAGCCGAGATCGCACCACTGCACTTCAGCCAGCCTGGGTGACAGAGCGACACTCTGTTTCAAAAATAAATAAATAAATAAAATAGAATTCTGAATTTTATTTTTAATAATTATTTTTGTAAAGAGAATGTCTTGTTTTTTGGAGTTGTTGAATTTATTGAATTGACAAAAATTACGTACAAGAGGGTATACAACATGATGTGATTGAATTATGTATACATTATGAAATGGCTAATCAAGCTAAATAACATATCACCTCCCAGACTTATTTTTTTGTGGTGAGAACAGTTAAAAATCTACTCTCTTAGTGATTTCCAAGTGTATGATATGTTGTTATTAACTATAGGTACCATGTTGTCCCATGGATATCCTGAACTTATTCTTCTTCTCTAAAAATGACATTCTGTGTCCTTTGGCATCTGCCCACTTCCCCACCCTGGCAACCATCATTCTACTCTGCTTCTGTGAATTCAACTTTTTTCTTTTCTTTTTCTTTCTTTTTTTTTTGAGACAATCTCATTCTATTGCCCAGGCTGTAGTGCAGGGTTGTGATCTTGGCTCACTGCAGCCTTGACCTCCCAAGCTCAATCAATCCTCCCAACTCAGCCCCCAGAGTTTCTGGGAGTACAGGCATGCACCACCACGCTCCACTAATTTTTGTATTTTTTTGTAGAAATGGGGTCTTGCTATGTTACGCAGGCTGGTCTCGAACTCCTGGGCTCAAGCAATCTGCCAGCCTCAGCCTCCCAAAATGCTGGGATTACAGGCATGAGCCACCATGCCTGGCCGAGTTTAACTTTTTTAGATTCCACATATAAGTGAGATCATGTGGTATTTGTTGTTCTGTGCTTGGCTTATTTCACTTAACATAATATCCTCCAGGCTCATCCATGTTGTCTCAAATGGCAGCATTTCGTTCTTTTTGAAGGCTGAATAGTATTCCATCGTGTACATACAGCACATTGTTGCTGGAAGTGTAATGGAGGCCAGTTGGGGGAGGAGGGAGAAAAGATTCACTCTAAGTCTAGATGCTCCAGCACCCACCCAGGGTGTGTGCAAGGAAGTGCAGGTTGCTCCTGGTCTTGCAAACTGTGGTTTGTGAGACTCCAAAGCCCCTATCCTTCCACGATGCTCTCTGTCCTGTTATCACATTTCCTTGGAGGAGAACCCAGCCTTGGTGGAGAGCCCTGCTCTGGCTTTGTCCCTCGGCATGAGATGGCAAAGGATGGTGCTGCTGGGAGACCCTCACGTCTGCTCACTGGGGGCTGCTTGCCTTCTCCATTCCTCCTTCAAGTATCTGAGCAGCTCCTGTGTGCCAGCTGCTGGTCTACGAGATGGATGGGTCCTTGGAGATCACGCTGTAGCAGAGGAGGCAGGCTGTAGCCCACAGGCCAGAACCAGCCCCCTGCCTGTTCATACAAATAAAGTTTTATTGGAACATAGCCACACCCATTTCAGTGCATATTGTCTTGTGGCTGCTTTCCTGCTACAGTGGAGAGTTGAATAGTTGGGACAGAGACCTATGGCCTGCAATGCTGAACTATTTACCATCTGGCCCTCAAGAAAAAGGAAAAAAACATGCTGATCCTTGTACCCTGACAGTCTTAGGTTAAGAAGACTTTGTACCACCCTGACGTCCCAGGCGGCCATGAGTCCAGCCACCCTTAAAATGTACACAGGTCTGGGCTAGCGTGCTTTCTGATTTTTGTATGGGGAAGAGAAAGGAGGGAGGAAATGGCAACTTGTTGCCCTGTTCTAACATTTTCCTAAGATGGGTCTCCAGGCAAGGGCTTGGGATCTCACCTTGCACAGCTTACAAAACCCAGTGAGGCCAGCTGTCTTGGCGCTGCCACTCTGAGGGATGGAGCCCCCAAATGACTAGGAAGAGAGATAAAAGAATAGTTTCTGTGAGTACAAGAACTGGCGTTATTGAAACTAACATTTCCCCCAAGTTTTACAATGTCTAGGCATACATATTTAAGTGTCTGCCTCAAAAGCTCATCCTAATAACCAGATGGTGCATTTAATTTCCTTTTTTTGTTCTCTGAGCAACATGCAGCTTCCTGCACAGCCCTCCTTGCAGGCAACTGTGCTGAGGTGACAGTCTTCCTGACAGCCAGCACAGATCCCCAGGGCCTCTGAGAGCCCTGTATTCTGGGGGAAGCTTTTCCCCCTTATATTCAGCCCCAGCTGGAAGGGGGCAAGTTACCCACAGGGCTCCTGCCTTAGCTTAGCTTAGCTCCTGCCAAAGCACAGGGCTCCTGCCTTAGCTTCTCCAGGGAGTCTGGCTCCCTCTGACCCTCTAGACCTCACCAGCTGAGGATCAGAGTCCCGGGGCAGGAGCCAGGGCCAGGGGGCATTGGCGGGTGGTTTGAGAATGCAGCTCTGGAAGGGGGAAGTGCGGGCCCAGGAAAAGCTGCTCGAGGGAGACTGCAAAGAGATGGCATAGTTAGTACAAGAGGGCCGGGCATGGTGGCTCACACCTGTAATCCCAGCACTTTGGGAGGCCGAGGTGGGCGGATCACCTGAGGCCAGGAGTTTGAGACCAGACTGGCCAACATGGTGAAAACCTGTCTCTACTAAAAATACAATAATTAGCCAGACGTGGTGACACCTATAATCCCAGCTACTCGGGAAGCTGAGCCACGAGAATTGCTTGAACCCGGAAGGTGGTTGCAGTGAGCTGAGATTGTGCCACTGTACTCCAGCCTGGGCAACAGAGCAAGATTCCATCTCAAAAAAATAAAATAAAATAAAATAAAAAGAGTCAGGATAGGAGGAGGAGGGAAGAGAGGGAGCTGTGGGACAGCAGCCAGGGCCTTAAAGGCACAGGAGAGGAAGCTTGGATTTCCAGTTCCAAAGGACATGAAGACAAAGTCACACACCTTTATTTAACCTGCTCCAGGTGAGGCTGGGCTTTGTGCATTTTCCTTGTTTTCTTTTTCCTTGTGTTCAGGCTGTTGTAGAAACAGGTACACAGGGGCTCTGTGTAGCGCCCTGTCCTGGTGGCCTTCAGGAAGCATGGGGCGCCCTGGTTTCCTTGGCTTCGTGTTCCCCTTTCCTCCTGCCACCCCTGACTGTGCTCCCCACCTTGTCCCTCAGACCATCCTCTTGGAGGGGCCTGGCCAGGGCTTGTGTCCTTGCTAGTCTCTGGGGAGGAAGATTCTGTGGCTTGAAAGCCTATTGGCTTAAGTTGCAAGGTGTAGGTGCCTGGGAGGGCACGTGCACGGCCCTCTTGACTGATCCATTCATGTTTTTCTTTTTTGACGCTGTTCTATGTTGTCCTGATGGAGGGGTAAGCCCCTGTCTTCTGCCTTTCCTGCCTTGGACTCTTGTAATTGGGCCAGATGAGAGGGTCTATGTGGTCTGAGAATTCAAGCAATGCAGGCCAGGTGTGGTGGCTCACACCTGTAATCCCAGCACTTTTGGAGGCCAAGGTGGGCAGGCCAGGAGTTCGAGACCAGGTGGCCAAAATAGTGAAACCCTGCCTCTACAAAAAATGCAAAAGTTAGCCAGGCTTGGTGGTGCGTGCCTGTAATCCTAGTTATTTGGGAGGCTGAGGCAGGAGAATCACTTGAACCCAGAAGGAGCAGGTTGCAGTGAGGAGGAGGTTGCAGTGAGGAGGAGGTTGCAGTGAGGAGCAGGTTGCAGTGAGGAGCAGGTTGCAGTGAGGAGGAGGTTGCAGTGAGGAGGAGGTTGCAGTGAGGAGCAGGTTGCAGTGAGGAGGTGGTTGCAGTGAGGACGAGGTTGCAGTGAGGACGAGGTTGCAGTGAGCCGAGAATGTGTCCTTGGACTCCAGCCTGCGCAATAGAGTGAGACTATGTTTCAAAAAATAAAAAATAAAAAAAATAAAAAAATAAAAAATTTATATAGAAAACAAAACATAAAACTTTCTCTTGATTTGATTTTCTTGATCTTGCTTCTCAGAGGTAACACTGGGAAGGGTTGGGGTATACCTCTCCACACCTTTTTCTTTGATTTCTTTTTATTTTTTATTCTACGTTCTGAGATACATGTGCAGAATGTGCAGGTTTTTTACATAGGTGTACATGTGCCATGGTGGTTTACTGCACCTATCAACCCGTCATCTAGGTTTTAAGCCCCGCATGCATTAGATATTTGTCCTAACGCTCTCCTTCCCCTTGTCCCCTACCCCTGATGGGTCCTGGTGTGTGATATTCCCCTCCCTGTGTCCATGTGTTCTCATTGTTCAACTCCCACTTATGAGTGAGAACACGCAGAGTTTGGTTTTCTGTTCCTGTCCACACCATTTCCCTCTGTGCACGCAAGCACATGTATTTGCACATAAGTGTTTATTGTAACCTTTTTAAAAAAATAAAAATGGAATAATGCTATATTTATTCTTTGGAAAGCCTGCTTTTCAGGCAGCATGTCTTTGACATTGTCTCACGTTGGAACCTGGGAACCACCTTCTTCTCCTAGCAGTTATTCTGACGTGGGGATGCACCACGCTTCGTTTAACCAGCCCTGCACCCATACGTCTGTGGATGGTTTCCGCCTTTTCCCAGTCACAGACGGTGTTCTGATGAATTTCCTCGCACATATCACTTGGTGCTCTGTGCGTGCATTTCTGTGAGATGTTCCTGGAGGTGGGCTGTCTAGGTCTGAGGGGGATCTGTGCTTAATTTGCATCCTGTGCAAAATTCCATCCAGTCATCCGGCTCCCCAAGGGCTCACATGGTACTGTCCTCTGTAGACATCATCTTCTGCAGATGATGGCACGACCGCCTCTTTCTTTTACTCACACCAGTCTGCACCCTGGTGTCCTGGGGGGGTCCAGCCCCTACCCGCTTGTCTGCCCCCAGTCCCCCCAGCCCCTGCTAATAGGGACTCTGGCTTCTGAGCTTTGGCAGACTGCTTCACTCTGGAGAAGTTTGCTTTCTCAAACATTCCTGGCAATGTTACTGTAAATCCCGAGGCCTGTGTTTGCCTTCTTTGGGCCTCAGTTTTCTCATAAGTAAAATGGGGATAATGTGATGCTACTGTCTGCATCCTAGAGCTGCCGTGAGGGTTCAGTGAGATCACTGTTGAGAGCACGTTCACAGCGCCGGCCTTGTGCGCAGTCAGCACGTGTGGGGCAGGGCTGTTGCTGATACGTGGCTGACTGTCATTGCTAGACTGTGGCTTTACCAGGGATGATGTCTTTAGTGCCGAGCCCAGAGCCACCCCTAGTACCTGCTGTGTTTATAGAGTGATTGAGTGGCAGGGTCAGAGACTGGGGCAATGGCAGCAGAAACAGAGGAAAGAAGTGGGGCTTCTAATAGGTCCTGGACCAGTGGCCCTTGAGATGAAGGCTTCTTGCCAAGGTCTGGGGCTGTGCTGTGTGTTCTAGGCCCGAGACTGGAAGCTAGGCCTGGCTGCAGCCCCCGCTGAACTGGGGAAGTGCAGGTCAGCATCCTGCTTCATTAGGACACCTCCAAGCCCAGCTTAGACGTGGATGCCAGGTGACCCCCTGTTCACTCTGAGCCCAGACAGAGGACAGGGAAGTGTGCAAGGGTGGGGACCCCCATCACAGCCCTTGACTCTGTAAGGCATATTAAGGCATATGGGTTTGTGCACGTGTGTGAGCACGGCCGTGGCTTCTCTGAGTTTCAAGCTCGAGGTTGTGTTTATGCAGGGTTAGGCTTGCCAGGTAAAATACAGGACGTCCAATTAAACCTGAGTTTCTCATTAACCCTTTTTTTTTTTGGTGCAAATATATCCCATGCAATATTTGGGACCTGCTTACCCTAAAAAATGATTTGTTGTTTATCTGAAATTCAAGTTTAACTGGCATCCTGTCTTTTCACTTGCTACATATGAGAGTTCCGTGTGGGGGTTATCAGTGTGCATTTGTGAGTTCCCATGTGAAGGACTGTCTCCAAGTGTCTGTAGGTGCCAGGATGGAGATGGACAGAGAAGATCCTCTTGGGCTGCTTTAGTGGTACCTAGAGGCTGTGGGGTTGGACACTTCAGCCCCAGGGGCCTGGGCAGCACTGTCCAGCACCTGCCTGCTCCTGTCTTCTTCACGGGGGCTGACTTCCCTGCCATCTCCCTCCAAATACGGTAGCAAGAGCTATCCCATCTGCCCCCATCTGGAGCTTAGCTGCCCAGCCAGACAGGATGGCAAACAGTGTGCAGAGGACTGCAAAGTCTTCCCCAGCTCCTTCTGCAAGGGGCCTGCAGATGAAATGGAAGCCCTCATCCTCACCGCCTCCCCCTTCCAGAAAACCCAGGCAACAGCCACCTCTGAATGCTGCTTTAGAAGCTTCTCCCTCCTGGTGATTAAACCACCCCAAGGCACTGCATTTCCACCATAGGCTTGTTCACATGCACGCAGCCAATTGTCTTGGATCCACCTGTGTGTCTGATTCATCAGGGTGAGGGGTTCTCCTCTGAGGTGCTTGCAAAGATCTGCTTAATTTTCATCTGGAAGACTCTGTAGAAATCAGGCCCAGCTTTGGAAGAAAGCCCTTTCTCCCCCTTTAGCAAATTCTGTGTCATTCTTTTTTTTTTTTTTCTTTCTTTTGTGAGACAGAGTTTCACTTTTGTTGCCCAGGCTGGAGTGCAATGGTGCAATCTCGGTTCACTGCAGTCTCTGCCTCCCGGGTTCAAGCGATTCTCCTGCCTCAGCCTCCTGAGTAGCTGGGACTACAGGCACCCACAACCATACCCGGCTAATTTTTTTTTTGTATTTTTAGTAGAGAGGGAGTTTCCCCATGTTGGCCAGCCTGGTCTGGAACTCCTGACCTCAGGTGATCCACCTCGGCCTCCCAAAGTGCTGGGATTACAGGTGTGAGCCACCATGCCCGGCTGGAATTCTGTGTCATTCTGGATACTTATCATGACTTCAAGCATCCAGAACTCTGTCCTGGGTATCCTGAGCCTGAGTGTGTATGTGTGTCCAGCTGGCTTGGAGGTTGTCTACAGGCAGGTTGAACTTGGCCTCTGAGTCCATGGCAGCCTCACATGGGAAATACCACCAAGGAGCCTCATCCTGTGCTTTTAGGAGATAGTTTCTATTTAGTCATTGCTGAATCTGTTACAGACAGGGTCTCAATTTCTTGCAAGTCCTGTATGAGGTGGGTGCTGTGATTATCCACATGTTCACTTGTTCTCTCTGGCCTCTTTCAGGCTCCTACACTTCCTTTGCTCTTTTCCTGCCACAGGGCCTTTGCACATCCTGCTCTTTCTGCCTGGAAAGATTTTCCCTCTCCCTGCCTCTTCACCTGGTCACGGTCTCATCTGACAGTGGAGTCACTACATCCTCAGGGACGCCTGGCCACACTGACTCAGTCAAAGCAACCCCCTGTTATCTGCTTTCATGACACCAGGTGCCTCTCTGTGGTAGACACTAGCTCAGCTATGGATTCCTATTTCTGTGCATGTCATCCTTCCCCTTCAAGACTGTGGTCACCATGAGGACCAGGGCCATACCTGTTCCTGATTCTCATTTGTGTCTCTGGTGTTTAGTATATGCTCACCTAGAATTTGATTAATGAATGACGGCATACCCATTTTACAGATGAGAAAGTTGAGGCTCAGGAACATTATGTAACTTTCTCAGTAGTAGGTAGTGATGGTTTGAAGCCATCTGGCTGGTCGCTGGGTGCACACTCTTAACGAATTCACTATGGTTCTTCTCTCATGGTAGCTCTCCAACAGCAGGAATGAGAGACAATTTTAGGATAGGTGTAACCAGAATCCCAGGGGTTATCCTAGAAGATGGTGTCAGGAACATGCTTGCCTATGGGCCTTCTTACTGTATGGCATAAAATACTCAGTTTTTCTGACTCACCTTTAGTAAAGACCTTAGCAATATTTGAAGCACAGTTGTCAACAGGAAAGGGTGGCTTTTTAAAAAGCAGTCTATATCATATTTATCTTGTGGTCTGCCATGCCCCCCTGATCTTCTTCAGCTTCAGTTATGCAAAATTAACACTTCTTCTCTTGACTGCCTCTCTCTTACCTGTTCAGTTTCTTTTCTGTGTTCGAGATTGCTTAGATTTTTTCCCCATTACTACAGCCTGCTTCCCACCTGTATCCCCCAGCCAGCTTGTTCTGGATTTTGTCAACAACAGTTCCAGCGTTTAGTGAGGGCTGGACTGAAGGAAAGCCTTGGAAAAGGATGTGTGATGAAAGGTGAAGACACCTAATGGGCAGGCAGTCATCAGGGTTAATTCAAAGGCTGGAAGAAGGGCTGACCTGGAGGACTGGAAATGTCTTTGAGCCGAAGGTCATGTGCAGGTGGAACGAAGAGGGTGAGCCTTTTGGGGTGAACTGCAAGTATTTGATAAGATCCCTGTCCCCATGGTTGGGGAAGTCTTGATAAGCATCCTCAATGTGATGGGGGGATTAAGGGACCCCTGGCTCTACCAGCCCAACATGGCAGTAACATGACCCAGCCAAGTTATTGATTATTGGTTGCCCAGCTGTCATCAGCTCAACATCTTCTGTTAGTTATAGCTGCAATTTGCATTAGTTGTCAATGCCAGTTTTGAATTTCCTAGTCAATAAAGTGTTCTGAGAGTGGCGACTAAGGCTGAGCACTACCCATAATCATGAGTATTACAGAGGCAAGCCCCTTGCCCACCCACCTGCAGGTGATGACACACCCTAGGAAATCACTCAATTCTTTGGAGGACCCCGAATAAATGCTCAAGTCCATCTGTTCATCTGTCCATCCATCCGTCCACCCCTCCTTCTATCCATCCATCCATCCATCCATCCATCCATCCAGACATGCATACATCCATCCACCCACCTACCCATCTATCCACCCACCCACCCATCTATCCACCCACCCACCCATCTATCTATCCAACCCACTCTCTTATGCACCCAACTATCATCCACCTACCCACCCACCAACCCATCTATCCATCCACTCACCCATGCATCTATCCACCCATTCACTCAACTACCCATCTATCCACACACCCGTCCATCCATTTATCTATCCCTCCACCCCCTCACCCACTCATCCATTTCTCCACCCACCCAGCCATCCCTTCACCGACTCAACCATCCATTCATTCATCCACCTGCCCGCCCACCCATCTTTCCATCCACCTATCTATCCACTCACCCACCTATGTATCCATCCATCTGCTTGTCCTTCTGTTCATTTATTCCACAAAGATTCGTTAATCACCTGCTAGATTCTGGGGAGGTACCTGCTCTAGTAATTGAGAAGACGGTCTCTAGAATATGATTCCCTGGGCTCAAACTGAGCTGCCTCCTAGCTAGCTGCTTGGGTAAGTTATAGAAATTGTGCTTTGATTTTCTTATCTGAAAATTGGCTATTAATATCTTCTACTCTTGCAGATGTAGTGAGGATTAAATAAGATGTCAGGTTAAAAGTGCATCATCGACACTCAATAGAAATTAGGTTTTACCATTCATTATTATTCTTGGCAGATGCTGCAGATAACGTGGAGAGCATACGAAAGACACATGTTTGAACCAATAGTGACATACGGGTGCTAAGTTCTGCAGTAGGGGAAGGGCAGAGAGCCATGGAGTGGGCCTGGCCCAATCCTGGAGCCTCAGAAAAAATTTCCTCATTGAATTGCTGTTTTAGCTGAGACTTGTGGGATGGGTAGTAGTTGGAGATCCCAGACAGGATGTGACCGAGTTAACCATGGAAAAATGTGGTCCTGGCATCCATGGCAGAGTTGAATGATCCAGTCCTTCTCTCTCCTCTGGTTGGAAGTCCACCAGATCTGGGAATGTCAAGTTGGGGGAGGGGCTGGCAATGATCATGACCTTCGCCTGTCCTCACATGTCCTTTGTGTATCTGCAAAGCCTCTGTTCAGTCTCCTCTTCTGGAAAGTGGGATCGGAAACCACATCTGCTTCTTTCCCAGGACTGCTAGGAAGACAAGATTAGATGGCAGGTGAGAGCTCTTTGAAAATGAAAACATTCTGCTATTTGAATGCAAAGTGTTCTTCTTTGCCTGTGATGTTTCCTAATCTGTGAACTCATACTGGACCTCGAAGCTGTCTATTAAAAAAAAATGACAAAGTGGCTGGGCATGGTGGTTCATGCCTGTAGTCCTAGCACTTTGAGAGGCTGAGGGGGGCAGATCACTTGAGACCAGGAGTTCGATACCAGCCTGGCCAATATGTGAAACCCCATCTCTACTAAAAATACAAAAATTAGCAAGGTGTGGTGGCATCTGCCTGTAGTCCCAGCTACTCGGGAGGCTGAGGCACAAGAATCATTTGAACTCAGGAGGCAGAGGTTGCAGTGAGCTGAGATGGCTCCACTGCACTCCAGCCTGGGTGACAGAGCGAGGCTCTGTCTGAAAACAGAAAAAAAAAAAAAAAAAAAAAAAAAAAGCAAAGTTAACACTTCCTCCATCTCTCCCCTAGGGGAGGCAATTTGTCAAAGATTGTTGTTGGATTTTACACACAGGGAAATCTAAGGAAGGTGTGGAAACCAGACCAGGACTCCAGACTGTGGTCTCCCTGTTTACAGGGTCTTAAATGGGGGAGCCACTTTGGGTTCTTTCCACAAGATTGCTTTGTAAAAAACCAAGAAACAAACAAACAAAGAACTCAAAAAAACAGCCCTCACCTAAATATTCACAAGGGACCTCAGGCAATATCTGCAAACAAAAGTGAGTGATCAGTGGAATCTGTCATCTTTACAACTAAGACAGCTCCAGAGTTGAAGCAAGTGGAAATATCTCTAGAGACAGAGATTTGGGCAGGTTTTGCCAGTTACAAACTATGAGAACTTGGGCAAGTTTACCTCTCTGAGCTTCTGTGACCTTGTAAAATAGGCTGCATTGTGCTAAACGTGCAGGAGGAATCCCAGCATCCTCCTGTGCACAAGGCTGGTTTCTTCCCATCCTTTTCCTTGTTCTGCCTCTCTCCTCCTCTCCAAGAGATGAATACATGTGGACCCAATAGGGGCCTATGTTTGCAAAAGCTCGCAGGTGATTCTCATGCAGCCAGCCTGGCTGTGGCACTGACCTCTTGGACACTTCTGAAGGCGCATTTACTAGTGAGGAAGGTCACTGTGTGTGAAAGGCACGATTCATCTTCCATTCCTTTCTTCCATGAAGCAAGGCGCATGGGTCGACTGAGCTGGGAGAGTCCACAGAGTCAGCCTCCCCCACACTTCCCTCCCTCCTTATTCCTTGTGTGCTGTACTTTGTCTTGATTTCCTGTACTCTGCACCAAGCCAGGAGATGGTAAGATCTCAAAAAAATCATTTTTTGGGAAATGGGACCAAGAGGGTTTTGGTTTGCTTGTTTGTTTGAGACAAGGTCTGTCGCCCAGGCTGGAGTGCGGTGGCATGACCTTGGCTCACTGCAGCCTTGACCTTCTGGGCTCAGGTGATCCTCCCACCTCAGCCTCCTGAGTAGCTGGGACTGCAGGTGCACACCACCATGCCTGACTAATTTGTCTATTTTTTGTAGAGATGAGGATTCACCATGTTGCCTAGGCTGGTCTCAAACTCTTGGGCTCAAGCAGTCCTCCATCCACCTCGGCCTTCCAAAGTGCTGGGATTACAGGCATGAGCTGCTGTGCCTGGCCAAGGTTTTTTTTTTATTATTATTATGAAAAATTTTCAATATACATAAAAGTACAGAGACTACTTTAATGAGCTATCATATACCGATCACATAGGTTTAAAAACTATTAAAGTTTGTAATATTTACTCCATTTGTTTTTCTGAAGTATTTAAAAAATAGTTTACAGTAGTTTTGTAATTGCATCATGATATTCACCCCTACGTAATTTACTTTCCCTCTAAAAACATGAGGGCATTTTTTATATGATCATTGTCATACCTAATCAAATTACCAGCAATTCCTTAATATCCTCTAAGATCAAGTTTACATTCAGATGTCTTCTCCTCAAAATGTCAATTGTGATTATTTTTCTCTTTGAGCAAACATAATAAGATCTCAAGATTTAATGACAGGGATTCCATGTTAGCTCTGATGTCTAAGCTCTGTGGTCCATTGTGGCTTTACTTGAAAGTCTCAGGCTAGGCGTGGTGGCTCACACCTGTAATCCCAGCACTTTGGGAAGCCAAGGTAGGTGGATCATGAAGTCAAGAGATCAAGACCATCCTGACCAACATGGTGAAACCCTGTCTCTATTAAAAATACAAAAATTAGCCAGGCGTGGTGGCGGGTGCCTATAGTCGCAGCTACTCAGGAGGCTGAGGCAGGAGAATCGCTTGAACCTGGGAGATGGAGGTTGCAGTGAGCTGAGTTTGCACCACTGCACTGCACTCCAGCCTGGGTGACAGAGCGTGACTCTGTCTCAAAAAAAAAAAAAAAAGTGTATGTGAGGAAACTGGGATAGAGCTTGGGGATATTGGGGGTTGGAGGTACTTTATCTACTGAACAAATCCATGGGATACCAATGCTAGAGGAAGAAGCATCATCCTCAGTTTCTACTAACTCAACCACTCATGAGATGGGGACTTGGTGTCCAAGAGAAGAGCCTCTTTTTAGGTCTTCAGCCTTGATCAAACCATTTCTGAATTCCTCATACACATATAATCAGGTGCTATGAGTGGTACTGATTGGATAATCTTTCTGTCGTTTCCTGTGATAGGAAGGAAAATACATGTACAGTCAAATTCCTTGAGGGTTCTTTCTTTTGCATCAGGGTATCTCAAACTCCTGCCCTTAAAACACCTGCAAGAGAATCATCCAGGCGGCTTGCTCACTCTGCATGCAGACCCTTTAGAATCAGAGTCAGAATCACTGGGGCTGGAGCCACAAAATGAAATGACATTTCAACAAGTTTGTCATCACGTAAGAGAGAATAGGTGAGTATTTGGATACCTATAATACAAAGTAGATTCAAAAAGAATGATGATTATTTTAAATATTGCGTTTTTAAAAATTTAATACAGAAAAGGCTGGGCACGGTGGCTCACGCCTGTAATCCTAGCACTTTGGGAGGCCAAGGCGGGTGGATCATTTGAGGTCAGGAGTTCAAGAACAGCCTGGCCAACAAGGTGAAACCCCACCTCTACTAAAAATATAAAAATTAGCCAGGCGGTAGTGGTGCACGCCTGTAATCCCAGCTACAGGGGAAGCTGAGGCAGGAGAATCGCTTAAGCCTGGGAGGCGGAGGTTTGGTCGGCTAAGATCGTACCGCTGCACTGCAATGTGGGTGACAATTGTTTAACCACCACCAAAATGGGTTCTGAGTCCAAATATTAATATGAAGGACACTGGTGACATTGTCTCAAAAAAATTAATGAATACAGAAAAGTACAAAAAGGGAGAGAAATCACCGAAAATCTCACGACCCCAAGAAATAAACCTCATAATATTAAGTGAACAGCATTCCTTGCTATGCACAAAGATGGCTAGAGACATGAACAGACACTTCTGATCACACAAAATGAGATTTTAAAAACAAGAAGTAGCAAATTGAATGCTGGGTAAATTTATCAGAAGAAAAAGAAATGGAAGTGAAACTGAAGGAACTGGTCAACTCAGATAAATGTAGTTTTTCCTCACTAAAAATCAGTTTCTAGAACGTCTAAGAAATCAAAGATGATGAAAAATATTAAGAAGTTTTATATATATGTAAAAGTCTTTACAGTTGATTGATCATCTCATGAAAAATCTGTACAGTCACTGCAAATAAATCATTGCAAAATCTTTACTCCTTTTGCTTTTTGCCAGCACTTTGCAGTTTCTGGACGTCATTCTGCCCTTGCATTCCTTTTGCTGTTTTCATGAGGTCATCTTCTCATGCCAGCTGTGTCTTGCAAGTCTATGAGTTCATTTTTGTTTGCATAATTCAAAGAACCAGATAGCATGCCAAAGCCCATTGTTTAACCACCACCAACATGGGTTCTGAGTCCAACTATTAATATGAAGATGACATCCATTGTGGTCTTGTACATTTTGTTGCCTTTCCGGGGTGAAGGACATTGGTGACCATTTGTTTCCTCTGGAGTGGTCGATTGGTCATGAACTTCCTGGTCCAGATAATTACTGTGTCATTCATCATGGTGGTTGATCATCAGGTAGTTAGGGAGGAAAATAAACAAGAAGTTATATATTTAAAACCACGTTTCAATTTTAGACCTGATTAATTGACTTAATAAAGGGCATTAGCACTTCTCCTTCCTACAGTCCCTCCCTTTACCGCTGGAAACTAGTTATTTCTAGGTTGTTTTATGTTGTTAAGGTTGACCACCTTCTCTTTCTGTTCTGCAATCATAGTCCTGTTTTTAAATGGATTCACCTCTCATAATTAGCCTTTTGTCATGGTCATTCAATTCACCAGTTGCTTATTTTTTAATTTCTTGGCTGACTAAATTTTATTATGAAGACTTTTTTTTTTTAAAGACCTCAGAAATACTGTATTCTTTAAGTTCTTCAACATGTGATCATGTCTTTTGCCTATTTTGATTGGGCAATAATTTAGCTGGCTATAAAATTCTTGGATTATACTCTATTTCCATTAGAAATTATAGGCAACCATCCACTGACATTTCATTGTGCTTTCTTTCTTTCTTTTTTTTTTTTTTGAGATGGAGTCTTGCTCTGTCACCCAGGCTTGAGTGCAGTGGTGCGATCTCGGCTCACTGCAAGCTCTGCTTCACGGGTTCACACCATTCTCCTTCCTCAGCCTCCCGAGTAGCTGAGACTACAGGTGCCCGCCACTATGCCTGGCTAACTTTTTTGTATTTTTTGTAGGGACGAGGTTTCACTGTGTTAGCCAGGATGGTCTCAATCTCCTGACCTCGTGATCCACCGGCCTTGGCCTCCCAAAGTGCTGGGATTACAGGTGTGAGCCACTGTATGAGCCCAGTCTCATTGTGCTTTGTACTAACCCCCTTTCCCTGGTCTCTTCCAGCTTGTCTTCTTCTCTCCCAGTAGTTTCTTCATGAAGAGGCCATGTGCTATATTCCATGAGATATTTCACACTCAAAGAAGACTTCTTTTATACTCTTTTGATAATTTGTCTGGGAATCACTGTCTTGATTTATAAGGGACTTTGTAATAAATACAGTAAAAGAGAAACACACAACGTATTTTGAGACATCAGAGAAGGGAGAAACCAATTCTATTAATATTTGGGGTTAGCAGGGAAGGCTTAGTTAAGAGGTAACATTTGAACTAAGCCTTGAAATAAGGGAAGGATTTGGCCATGCAGTAATGGGGAGAGAGTAGAAGCAAGACATGATGGTTAGTGTTATGTATCAATTTGACTGGGTTGTGGGGTGCCCAGATATTTGGCTACACATTATTCTGGGTGTGTCTCTGAGGTATTCTGGATGAGGATAACATTTAATTGCTAGACTGAATAAAGCAGATTGTCCTCCCAAATGGGGGTGAGCCTCATCCAATCCACTGAAGACCTGAACAAAACAAAATGGTAGAGTCACAGAGAATTTGCTCTTTTTACCTGATTATATTTGAGCTGGGACATCAACCTTCTCCTGAGTTTAGATGTGGACTCGAGTTGGAACTATATCATTGGCTGTCCTGGGTCCCCAGCTTGCTGGCTGCAGACTCCAGGACTCCTTAGCCTCCATAATCATGTGAGCCATCCCTTACAACAAATCAATCTGTCTCTCTCTATGTGTATAGCTCTACCTCTATCTCTCTGCTCTTTCTCTGGAGAACCTAGAGTAATACACAAGGTTATATTAGAGAAGAGGATGACCCAAGGAAAAGCATGGAGGCAGAAAAATGCAAAGAGGGTTTGGGAAGACTGGGGTCCTGACGGGGAGTTTGGATTTCACTGTGTGTAGCATGGAGAATCCTTGAAAATATTCAAGAGGTGAAAATTGTATTTGTGGAAGAACACCAGGAGTATGTGAAAGAAAAACACTCACTCCATTTTAACTCCACTGAAGGGAGCATCAACGGGATGCACTGGGGACATGGGTTGGAGGGTAGTTGAGGCCATATCTGGAGGATCTTTACTTCTAGGCTGAGTCTGAAGTTACCTTTCTGGGGAGTGGGAGATTACAAATCTTTGAGCTCCACTCAAGAGATGGTTTTGCTAACAATGGCAGGGCGACGGTGGTGGTGGTGGTAAACTGGTAGCATGAATTCTAATTGGGCTTCTGTTATTCTAGCCGAGAAAGTTGGGGAATGGTCTTTCCGTAGAATAATACAGACCTGGGAATCAACTGCATGGAGGAGGTAGTTATAGGTGATGAGATGGCTCAGGGACAAAGTTTGGTAGAAGGAGAAAAGATACTAGGCTGGTACAAAAATAATTGCTGTTTTTGCCACTACTTTCAATGACAAAATCCGAAATTACTTTTGCACCAACCTAATAGGATGCAAACTTCGGAGCCATCTGCATCAGAGGGATTGATGAAGATCAGCAAAGCTTGGGAACACAGGAAAGGAGCGGGGAGGGTAATGACTTGAGGGCATATCAGGGATAATCAAGGTTTTTCTTGTTAGCATGTGGAGACTTAAGCATGATTATATGTTAAACGTCTGGCACATACATGGTGCAAAATATTTATGAGTGAAATGACAAGTGAAGGTGGTGAGTCATGGGAGTTCCAAGGGAACGGGTGATAAAGGGAGGTCTCAAATGAGGCACAAGTGGAGAAGGTAGCTTGGGAAAGGAGAAGGATGCTACTCCTTATAAGATGGGAAAGGCAGAGGAAGAGGGTCAAGGTACAGTGATCCGGGGTGAGATAGAAGTGAGTTGAGAGAACTCCACTCTGGGCTCTGAAATCCCTAGGGATGGGTTTGGGGGCTTTGAGATATGGAAGAGGTTTAAAGTTAATTGTTCTAGCAAATATGGTTTGGAACTTATTTGTGATGCTTAAAAATATTGCTGAGCACAAGTGAAGTCTACCCTAGAGTTGGATGGTGAGATTATTTAGTGGAACTACCAGATCCATGTTGTGATTCTTTCCAGTATAATTCAGCAGCCCTTGGGCAGTTGCGAGGCAAGTCATCAGTGGGGTATGGAGATTTTCCAGGTGGGTGTGGTTGAAGGCAGGGAAGAAAGAGTTCAGGAGCACATTTCAAGAAGAAGGTGACTGTAAGGTCCAGGCTGAGCAGGAAGGTAAAGCAAGAAGGAAACATGAGGTTGTGAAGAGAAGTTTAGAGGGATGAGGAGGCAGGAGAGGTGAACAGTTGCAGGATGTAGCTAGAGTGGCGATGTTAGATCTTGGAGCAAGAGAGTTTTACAGTGATTATGAAGATCAAAGGGCATTAGAATCAAGCTATAAAGAGCCACTGTTTGATGTTGGGATGTGAGGATGCTGCAGGTGGATGTCTGCACATTGATGGTGAGAACATGGTCACCCTGGCCCTGCTGGGTCTTTGCTAAAGAGACTGTGCTCTGTTCTTGGGGCCGTTTTCATCACCTGATTAGAGCAGTGGTCCCCACATGGTGTTCTTTGGACCATCTGTATAAAATGTTCATAGGTCAAGGGTAAAATGGAAAAACAGAGAAAATGTCACAGAAATGTGCCCATTGGTGAAACACCACGAGCTGTCCTTTTTGGAGGATTATTCTTTATTCTAAAAATGTATATATTCTATTCTATTAAAACATTTTTGTATTTGCATTTTTTTCTCTTTTATGAAATGCCATGGGGTAGAAATTTGTAATGTATCCAATTCTCCTGTCTTCATGCATTGCCCTGTGGTGGGGGAGGGGATGTGGCTAGTACTGGCCAAGAGGCTGGGGGCAGAGGTGCAGTGTGAGACTTCTAGCCTGGGGCATTTAATTCTTCGTACAGGGCTCTCTAGCATTCTTCTCCCTCTGTTCCCTGCTTGGTGATACTCGAGGTAATGCAACCCTCATTACCCTTAGTCTTAGGGCAAGTTTGATGGGAAACAGAGCACCCCACACCTCCCTGCAGATGTAGCATGAGAGAGAAAAACAACTTCTGATGTTTGAAGTTACCAAGATTTAGGAGTTGTTTGTTACTGCAGCAAAACCTCACCTATTCTGACAAATCATGTTGGAATTTCTATGTATATGTGTGTGAAACTGGTAGTTTAAAAACGTTCCTTCTTTCCAAAAAGAAAAAAAAATTGCAACCTTATGTTGGTTCTCAAATTAAAAAAATATTTTTACTGGTTTATAAAATAGAAAAATCTGAGAATCTGTAGCTTAGAGAACTAACAGTGTGGGATGTCTATAAAGACCAGGTTATTTTATCAGCTCCTAACATGCCTTAATAAAAGCTTAGCCAAGACTTGTAATATTTCAGTCTTTCCCATTCCACGTTCCATGGACCCTTGGAGAGACATTGATGAAGCGGTGCATCCATGAACCACCCTAACTCAATCCTAGTGGCAGAATCCCCCTTTTACTGCAGAATGAGCTTCTTCCTACAGTGATACTTGAACCCCTTAGATATATCCTGTACTAATTATATTAAAACACGACCAATGCTTTTGCTTTGTTGTCCCCCAAATTAAACATATTAATCATGAGAACCCAGAGAATTGGATTTAGTGTAACTGATTCCAAACTGTCAGTAAGAACATAATTAGGTTATATTTTTCTCCAGTTCAGATAAAAGAAAATTGACAATAAAATGCTGATCAATATGTGTAGCTCAGGAGGTAGAGCCTGCTTTGAGATGCAGAAGTGTTTGGTTTTTTTTAGATCTATATTCTTGAGTAAAGAAAAAATCCATCTCTCTTTCCTAGAGGGGAAGATTTTCAGAGCTGGGCTTGGCAACGGCCTGACTATCAGAGGCTGAATTAAACCAATAGGTACCTCCCTGGAGTGAATGGTGCATTTCTCCTGTTCGGGGCACCGTGTTTTTATGGTGGAGTTTGCTTTCTGTCTTGGTCTCCGGATGTGTGTATCTGTGGGTGGATGTCTGCATGTAAATGGCAGTGTATACCTGTGTGGGTGTGTACAAAATTCCCATGTGAATCTCAGCTTTGTGGGGATCTCCGGGTCTTGAGCCCAGCAGATGCCATTTGAAGAAAAATCACTTGAAAATGAGACAGAAAGAATGGAAACTAAAACCTAGCTCTAAAGGCACCAGGCTGATTAAAAAAAAATTCTGTATCTTCTTTGTTTTCTACTCTACCTACTTCCAAATGGCATTTCTGTTTCCTATGAAATGATTAGAATGAAAGAGATTCTGAGCACAAAAGAGCAGATACTGTGTGATTCTGTGTATGTCAGGGTGTCAGCTGTGACGCTGCTGACATTTCGGCTCAGCAATTTCTCTGTTCTATGTGTGGGAGTTCCCTGTGCAGTTTAGGATGTTGAGCGGCATCCCTGGATCCCTGGACTCGCTGGATGCAGTAACACAACTCCCCTCAAGTAGAGACAACCCCCAGTGTCTCCAGATATTGCCTAATGTCCCCAGGGGGCAGAATAGCCCCATCTGAGAACTGCTGCTTTCATGAAGTACAATGTCAGGTGAAATAGGTGGAGGCTGTTTGTAGTCAGGGGTTAGTAGAGATGGAAGAGACCCCAGGAATATCCTGGAAGGGGCTGTAATATTTTGTTTCTTGAATTGGGTGTCGGTAATATGGAGATGTTCAGTTGTTGTTGTTGTTTTTGTTGTTGTTTTGAGGGAGGCTCTTGCTCTGTCACCCAGGCTGGAGCACAGTGGCACCGTCATGGCTCACTGCAGCCTCTGCCTCCTGGGCTCCAGCAGTCCTCCCTCCTCAGCCCTCCTGAGTAGCTGGAACTACAGGCATGTGCCATCACTGTTGACTAATTTTTGTATTTATTTATTTTTTGTAGAGAGGGGGGTCTCACTATGTTGCCCAGGCTGGTCTTGAGCTCCTGGGCTCAAGCAATCTGCTCACCTCAGCCTCCCAAAGTGCTGGGATGACAGGCATGAGCCACTGCACCTGGCCAGTATGTTCAGTTTGTAAGAAAAGTACTGTGTTGACCTCTTCTATGTGCACATTTCTTTAAGTAATAATTCAATAAAACATTTAGAAAAATTGGTCATAATAGGGGTGATGTGCAGAGTGATTGGCATGAAAGCTGATCACCTTAATTTGAACTACTCTGAAATGAGCACCAGGGGCCACCAAGAGGAGCCTTTCAAGGTGTCATAGCCAAGGAGAGGAGTGTGTTGTGTACATCTATGCATAAAGGATTCGCTGGTTACATGGAAGGATGAAGCCTCCTCCTGAGGACAGAGACAGCAAAGCAAGTGGAAGCCCAAAGCATTGAGCTTTCTAAGTAGAATTTGCTAAAATCTTGTGGATGACTCATGCTCTTAACCTACACGCATGTACATATTGTCCATATACACATTAATTCTGTAACAAGGCCCACACATAAGGGTTTTTTTCTCTTTTGAGACAGTCTTGCTTTATTGCCCAGGCTAGAGTACAGTGGCATAATTGTGACTCACTGCAACCTCCGCCTCCTGGGTTCAAGCAATGCTTGTGCCTCAGCCCTCCGAACAGCTGGGACTACAGGTGCATACCAACATGCCTGGCTAATTTTTGTATTTTTAGTAGAGACAGGGTTTCACCATGTTGGCCAGGCTACTCTCAAACTCCTGGCCTCAAGTGATCTGCCCACCTCAGTTTCCTAAAGTGTTGGGATTTCAGGTGTGAGCCACTGCGCCTGGGCCCACAGGTAAGGTTTGAGTTGAGATAGAGAAACTCTGGCAGGACTGAGGAATTGGGCCACAGTCTCTGGGAAATATGCACAATTTCTGGAATCTTCTCTACTTCCAGAGTTCCCACTTTCTATCCGTCTCCTGTTTATTCAACAAACTTGTATGGAACCACAGTGTGTCTAGAACTTGCCAGGTGTGGAGGATAAAAAGATGACTGAGGTCGGGCATGGTGGCTCATGCCTGTAATCCCAGCACTTTGGGAGGCCAAGGCAGGCGGATCACTTGAGGGCAGGAGTTTGAGCACAGCCTGGCCAACATGATGAAACGTCTCTACTAAAAATACAAAACTTAGCCAGGCATGGTGGCATGCATATGTAGTCCCAGCTACTTGGGAAGCTGAGGCAGGAGAATTGCTTGAACCCAAAAGGCAGGTGTTGCAGTGAGCTGAGATCACACCGCTGCATTCCAGCGTGGGAGACAGAGCGAGATTCCATGTCAAAAAAAAAGATGACTGGGATACAGACTCCATCAGAGTTGACTCTAACAGAAATTTGGTAAGAGCCCAAGGTCTGGCTGGGCAAGCACCTTGATCCTGCAGCCTCTACTAGAAGGAAGAACACTCTTTTCTTTACGCATGAAAATGTTTTGTGCTTCTTACCTACAAGCACAATTTGTGTTAATTCTGCAAAATTTGCCATATAACTGTGCCTGTATTCTTAGCATTTTTCCTTTGAGAGATTTTTCAGCATATCATCTTTGGACTATGTGGAATTGGAAATTTACTTAGAGTCAATAACAAGTACAGGAAAGTCAGTTCTTAGTCAAGAGTTAGGTTTTCAAAGACAGTGGATAAAATAAAAAATCTAGTACAGTCAAGATTATACGTGCAAATCCCCTCATCATTCATACAGTTTAGCAGTCAGTCTTACCGTGGCTCACCAGGTCCAATCCATATTTCTTCCTCCACGATTGGAGCAGAGGGTGATTTTTTTTATGAGCAACTGATGAAGTCATTTAGAGACCATTTGCAGTAGGAGCCCTGTGTACTAGAGACCAATCAACGTGCCCTCACAGCACCATTTCTCTCTCTCTCCCTCTTTGTTCTTGCCAAGTACCCACAGTTCATTTTTCATAGATTAAAAGAGCCCAAGTTGGGCCTATACCTAGGAGTACAATTGCTGGGTCATTTGGTAAATCTATGTAGAATTGTTTGGGAAGTTGTTGAAGTGTTTCTCACAGTGGCTACAATATTTTAATTCCTACCAGTAGTGTATGAAGTTTCTAGTTTCTGTATCCTCACCACCACTTGTTATTTTCTGTATTTTTTTTTTTTTGAGACAAAGTCTTGCTCTGTCGCTCAGGCTGGAGTGCAGTGGCAAAATCTCAGCTCACTGCAACCTCTGTCTCCCAGATTCAAGTTACTCTTCTGCCTCAGCCTCCCGAGTACTTGGGATTATAGGCACCTGCCACCATGCCTGGCTAATTTTTGTATTTTTTTAGGAGAGACAGGCTTTCACCATGTTGGCCCGGCTGGTCTCAAACTCCTGGCCTCAGGTGATCCACCTGCCTCGGTCTCCCAAAGTGCTGAGATTACAGGCATTCACCATCGCACCAGGCCAACTTTCTCTATCTTTTATTCTAGCCATGCTTATGGGTATGACGTCGTATCGCATTGTGGTTTTGATTTCTGTTTCCCTGATGATGAATTTCATTGAGCATCTTTTCATGTGCTTATTGGCCACTTATATGTCTTCCTTGGAGATGTGCCATATTTTCATATTCAAAAATGAAAGCACAGGTCCACACAAAAATTTGTACATAAATAATTACAGTAACATCACTCCTAATAACCCAAAGAGGGAATTTATCCAAATGCCCATCACCAGATGAAGAGATATATCGATTGTTGTCTACCCACATGGTGGAATATTATTTGATCACAAAAAGGAGGAAATTACATACGCTACAGCGTGGATGAACCTTCAAAACAGATGAAAGATCACATTCTACATGATTTCATTCAGATGGAAATCTATAGAAATAGGAAGTCGATTACTGGTTGCTTAGGGCTGATAGGGGCATGGGAGGATAGGGAGTGTTAGCTAAAGGGTATGAGGTTTCTTTTTGAGGTCATGAAATGTTCTAAAATTGACTGGTAATGTTTGTGTATATCTGTGAATATATTAAAAACCATTGACATGTAAAAAATGCAAAGAAAAAACAGCCCAAGTTGCAATTTTATTTAACACTTGATTGGCTTTAAAAATAGATTCCAGGCTGGGCATGGTGGCTCACATCTGAAATCTCAGTCCTTTGGGAGGCTGTGGTGGGAAGATTGCTTGAGGCCAGGAGTTCCAGGCCAGCCTTGGCAACATGGCAAGACCCTGTCTCTACAAAAAAAGAAAAAATATATATCAGCTGGGTGCAGTGGCTCACACCTGTAATCCCAGTACTTTGGGAGGCTGAGGCGGGCAGATCACCTGACATCAGGAGTTCAAGACCAGCTTGGCCAACATGGTGAAACACCGTCTCTACCAAAAATATAAAATTTAGCCTCTTGGTACTCTGAGCAGCACCATGGCGGTTGTTAAGAACAAGTGCCTTATAAAAGGTGGCAAAAAGGGAGTTAAGGAGAAAATAGTTGATCCATTTTCTAAGAAAGATCAGTATGATGTGAAAGCACCTGCTATGTTCAATATAAGAAATATTGGAAAGACTTGGTCACCAGGACCCAAGGAACCCAAATTGCATCTGATGGTCTCAAGAGTCTTGTGTTTGAAGTGAGTCTGGCTGATTTGCAAAATGATAAAGTTGCATTTAGAAAATTCAAGCTGATTACTGAAGATGTTCAGGGCAAAAACTGCCTGACTAACTTCTATGGCATGGGTCTTACCTGTGACAAAATATGTTCCATGGTTGAAAAATGTTCAACAATGATTGAAGCTCATGTTGATGTCAAGACTACCGATGGTTACTTCTTTCATCTGTTTTGTGTTGGTTTTACCAAAAAACACAACAATCAGATACAGAAGACCTCTTATGCTCAGCACAAACAGTCCCCCAAATCCAGAAGAAGATGATGGAAATCATGACCTGAGAGGTGCAGACAAATGACTTGAAAGAAGTGGTCAATAAATTGATTCCAGACAACATTGGAAAAGATGTAGAAGAGGCTTGCCAATCTATCCTCTCCATGATGTCTTCATTAGAAAAGTAAAAATGCTGGAGAACCCTGGGTTTGAAAGGCATGGAGCTTCGTGGTGACGGTAGTAGTTCTGGAAAACCCACTAGGGACGAGAGACATGCTAAAGTTGAATGAGCTGATGGATATGAACCACCAGTCCAAGAATCTGTTTAAAGTTCAGACTTAGTAGCAAATAAGAAGTCCTATTTGTGAAAAACAAACAAGAAACAACAATGAAAGAGCAAAATTAGCTTGGTGTGGTGGTGCATGCCTGTAATCCTAGCTACTCAGGAGGCTCAGGCACGAGAATCACTTGAACCAGGGAGACAGAGGTTGCAGTGAGCCAAGATTGCACCATTGCACTCCAGCCTGGGCAACAGAGTGAGACTCTCTCCAAAAGGAAGAAAAAAAAAGTATCCGGGCTTGGTGGCATGCGCCTGTAGTCTCAGCTACTCTGAAGGCTGAGATGGGAGGGTGGATTGAGGCCAGGAGTAATTTGAGGCTGCAGTGAACTATGATTGTGACACTGCACTCCAGCCTGGACTGCAGAGCAAGACCCTGTCTCTTATACGTACACACACACACACACACACACACACACACACACACACACACACACACATACATACATACATACCCGGGCTCTACCTCTGGTGATTCTGACTCAGTAGGGTGGGGTGTCCCCTAGGGATCCTGCTGTTCAGCCTGGTCTGGGATCCACTTTTCATTGGGAACTGAGACACTGGCTGTGAGCCTTTCTGTCCTGTGATGTAGAGGTCATGGCGATGCAGTTTCAAGCTTAAGGAGACCTGACTGTGCGTTAGGTGTTGTGCTGAACATCATCTCTTACTCTCACAGCAACATCCTTAGAAGGTTAATGATGTATCCCTGCTCTACAGATGAGGAACTGAGCTTTCAGAGGAGTTTAGCTTGTTCAAAACTTATTCTTCCTATGGAAACTTTGTACCCTTTGACCAGTGTCTCCTATCCCCTACCTTTCCTCCACCCCAGCCCCTGATAACCACTGTCCTACTCTCTATTTCTGTGAGTTCAACTTCTTTAGATTCCACATATAATAAAATCATGCAGTATTTGTCTTTCTGTGCCTGGCTTATTTCACTTAACACAATGTCTTTCAAGTTCATCTATGTTGTTGAAAATGACAGGATTTCTTTCTTTTTTAAGGGTTAATAGTATTCCGTTGTGTGTATATAGTACATTTTCTTTATCCTTTCATCCACTGATGGACACTCAGGTTGATTCTATATCTTGGGTATTGTGAATAGAGCTGCAGTGAACATAGAAATGTAGGGATCCCTTCGACATATTGATTTTGATTTTTTTTTTGGTCTATATCCAGAAGTTGGGTTGCTGGATTATATGTTTTGAAATCTATAGCACAGCAGCGTGACTATAGTCAATAATAATGTATCTTTCAAAATAACTAAATGGGTACATTTCAAATGTCGCATCATGAAAATTGTCAGTAAATTAGGGGATGGACCTGTTCATTAGTTTGATCTAATCATCCCACATTGCATACACATATCAAAACATCACATACATTGGTACAATTATGATTTGTCAATTAAAATAACGTTAGTTAAAAAAATAAGTAACTTGTTCAAAGCCCCAGTTGGGATTGATGGAGCTGGGACATGCACCAAGGCTATTGCTGTCAGGCCCACAGAGTCCTTTGTCCACGAATGTTGAAGCCCTACCTGAGATTTCTACTGAGATCAGTGTAGGGATTCAATGTCTCAGAATCATCCCATCCTCCAGGGCCCACAAGTCCATGACCGCTGCCTCTACCCCTGACCCTACTGACCTGAAATATGGCCCCTGCTTTCTTTTCCAGGAGCATACAACACTTACACCAAGCATTGATGGGATTTGTTGACTTCATTTGAGATGTGGGGCCATGGAGAGGGTCCCATGATCCTTGCTTGGTGTTGGCCAACTCATTGACTTCTCTCCTTTGACTTCACCCTTCCCTTTTCTACTCACCTCCTCTGTCATGGATTGCTCTGGGAATTCTGAGCCCTGGTTCCTTTATTTTGCAGATAACCTTCACTCTTCTCTGCAACGAATCCCAAAAGTGTGTAGTTGAGCTGACTGCAAGGTGCTTGACACGCAAGAGAATTTATAAATGGGATTCGGCCTCTGGAAAGTGGTGGTAGTTCCAGATTTATGTGGATGTTACTTTGTTTTTCCCTATAAAATCTATTCTTTAAACTGTCAAGCTCTTGGCTCCTGGCTGCAGTCCTTTGCTGGTGGCAGTGGGCTGGGTACTGCCACCGGGGAGAAATGCTCCCCACTTAGGGAAAGGGAAACTGGTTCTCTTTAAGAGGCAGAGGGAGGTTTCCAGTGCCAGTTTGTTTGGAGGCAAAATGGCTGTTGTATTAAAATTGCCCAAACTTGGGCTGGTGCCTAGTGTGTTTAGAGCTCAAAGCCATGATTGTTTTCATTTTTTTTTTTTTGGTTGTTGGTTTTCCATCCTTTTGCATGGCAGGTTTCTGCTAATAGCTTCAACCTCAAGAGTCCCATTATACAGACACTAATAGCACCTACTGTGTGTCAGTCTGTAGTGCCTACTATGTGCCAGGCATTGGAGATAATATAATGATGAACAAGATAAACATGGCATTTGGAAAAGAGAGTCTGGTTCCCACTCTCAGCCCACCCCAAAGAGAGGCCAGAATTGGGCTTCCAAAGATCTCAGATTCCTTTGCATCACCTCCCTGAAGAGAGCGGGTGAAGCTTTGGTGTCTGAAGAGAATTTGGCTGGACAATCCTCCAGGTTTGGAATGATGGGAAGGAGCTGCCATCTGTGTTTAAGATGAGAAGTAGGGGAGTGGCTGGATATCAGAGGAAGCCAAGATGAACAGAAGGTTTTTGTGAGTTCCTATGCATAGTGGAGACCTGTTCTAGTGAGGGTCCCTGGGGCTGAGCCTGTGGGTCAGTGGAATGATGCTGTGAGGAGGGTCTTGCTATAGCAGATGGCCCAAAGACGGTTGATGGATCATGATCAGCTGGAAGAATGGAGAGTTCGGAGGATGTAGATCTTACCTGGCTTTCCAACAGTGTGTAAGCCCAGAATTCTTACATAAGCCCATGGAGAAGGGAAAGAAATGCTTGTAACGACAAGATTGAATTCTCCACCTACCAGGCATCCAGGGACTCAGAGCAGATTTAACTGAAGTTACAGAAATAGGAATGTGACATTTCCTACATCCGGGTGTGCTGGAGCAAATGTATACCCTCCCTGGTTTGTGGGGAAGGAGAATGCTAACAGACAAGACTCCAGGTTTTCGCTCTTAAACCTGGTGCCTAGAAATGCATTTTCTACTGAATGCAGACAGAAGCTCCATATAGACATATCCATCGCTGCATCTCTCATGCCTTGTGTTCTCCCTAATTTTCCCTTTTTAACCCACAGAGGAAGAAAGTTCCAGCATCACTTCTGGCCTCTCAAGTGTGAGTTAGGTGGCCAGGTGGGGTTATTCATGCCTGTAATCTCATACTGAAGGGGTGGCCTGCCCCTCCACACCTGTGGGTATTTCTTGTTGGGTGGGATGAGAGACAGAAAAGAAATCAGACACAGAAACAAAGTATAGAGAAACAACAGTGGGCCCAGGGTACCGGCGCTTAGCATACCAAGGACCTGCACTGGCACCGGTCTCTGAGTTCCCTCAGTTTTTATTGAATACTATCTTTATTATTTCAGCAAAAAGGAATGTAGTAGGAGGGCAGGGTGATAATAAGAAGGTCAGCAACAAACATGTGAGCAATAGAATCTATGTCATAATGAAGTTCAAGGGAAGGTACTATGACTGAACGTGCATGTAAGCCAGATTTATGTTTCTCTCCACCCAAACATCTCAGTGGAGTAAAGAATATCAAGGCAGTATTGCTGTAAACATGTCTCACCTCCCACCATAGGGCGGTTTTTCTCCCATCTCAGAATTGAACAAATGTACAATCGTGTTTTATACCGAGACATTCAGTTCCCAGGGGCAGGCAGGAGACAGTGGCCTTCCTCTATCTCAAATGCAAGAGTCTTTCCTCTTTGACTAATCCACCTCAGCACAGACCTTTTATGGGTGTCGGGCTAGGGGACCGTCAGGCCTTTCTCATCCCACGAGGCCATATTTCAGACTATCACATGGGGGGAAACTTTGAATAATACCCAGCTTTCAAGGGCAGAGGTCCCTGCGGCTTTCCACAGTGCATTGTGCCCCTGGTTTATTGAGACAAGAGAATGGTGATGACTTTTACCAAGTATACTGCTTGCAAACATTTGGTTAACAAGGCACATCCTGCACAGCCCTACATGCCTTAAACCTTGATTTCATACAACACATGTTTTTGTGAGCTCCAGACTGGGTCAAAGTGGTTGGGGCAAAGTGGCTGGGGCAAAGCTACAGATTAACAACATCTCAGCAAAGCAATTGTTTAAAGTACAGGTCTTTTTCCAAATGGAGTCTCTTATGTCTTCCCTTTCTATGTAGACACAGTAAGAGTCTGTAAGAGTCTGATCTCTCTTTCTTTTCCCTACATATCCCCCTTTTCGTTTTGAAAAAACCACCACCATCATCATGGCCCCTTCTTGCTGGTCGCTGTCTCTCTGGAGCTGCTGGATACAACTGTAGACTAAAAATAGAAAGGACAGATATACAAGGATTAATACAAAATTTGCAATAGTGGAATTTCCGGTGGTTTTAACCCAAGTGACGGGGGCAAGAGGACGGTGTGGGTGCTGTGGCACCCGGGCAGTCTCCCACCTCCTTTGTGTCTTAGTTGCTGTTTCTCATCGTTTTCAGTCTTTCTCCTCACCTGCTCACTCGCACCTTTTATCTCTTTGTCTCCCTTCTCTTACGGTCTCTCTCTCTCTCTCTATTTTATACTATCTCTCTCCCCAGTCTCACTTTCTGTGTCTCTCTCTGATCTCTGTCTCTTTTTCTTTCTCTTCCTCTCCCTGACTCTCCACATGTGCAGTTTCCTTGGTGGATTGTAACTTCATCTGTTCTTCTGATATCACCATTTTGTTCACCCTGCGAGTCGATGATGCTCGATTGCGGGTTTTCTGTCTCTGCAGAGGCACTTTCATTTGCATCCCTGATGAGTTCATTGTAGAATTTCAAATGTCTAGTGGGTATCCAAACAGGAAGCTGATTTTCTCCTGGTGAAACACAAGCAAAACCTCTCCCCCATGTTATCACTTTACCTATTTCCCATGTTTTGTTTTTGTTGTCTTTCCACCAAATCAGTTTTCCCTCATGTGGGCTGTTCTTTTTACCAGTAAAATGTTCTGCAGAAGTAGTGGTCTGATTTCTATGTATGTCTAGAAAATCTAAAGTATAGAGTGTTAGATTAAGTTGCATCTGGGGAGTGCTATACTCCTTATTGTCTTTTTCCTTTTTTTGTTTAAGCAATTGAGCTTTGAGTGTTCTAAGCAGGACAGGTAAGATCTGCGTCTGACACAGTCAGCCAGGTCTCCTTACCCTCTGCTTCCCTTTCTGCCTGTGACTGAATGGGCATGTCAAGGTCTAGTAGGGGATCCAGGAGGAGGAAGCCTCATTAACTTCTATTCTGCAGCAATTGATGGCCATCCAACTTGAACAGTGGGGGCTTATCACCTCATATACTAAGACCAGAGATAGCTGATGCCAAGGTTGGCTAAATTAGTAGCTTGAAATGTTAGGTTTTTCATTTGAGGTTTCTATGCTGCTATTGTCTTCTGCTCTTGGTCACAGAGACTGCCACAATCGGCATGTCAAGTCCTCATGTGACAATATCCAGACACAGCAAGGAAGAGGTACAGTGTATTCCTGCATGTTTCTTAAAAAAATGTTTTTGATAGAGAATAATTGTACAAATTTATGGGGTCCATGTGAGATTCTGGTACATGCATGCAATGTGTAATGATCAAATCAGGGTCTTTAGGATATTAATCACCTCAAACATTGATCATTTCTTTGTGTTGGGAATATTTCAAATCTTATTGCTATTTAGAAATACACAAAAAATCTATTTATCAGGATACAAAATCTATGTACACATATCAGTAGCGGTGCTATACACCAACATCTACCAGGCTGAGAATCAAATCAAACCCTTTTATGATAGCTGTAAAAATAAAATACTTACGAATGTAACTAACCAAGGAGGTGAAAGACCCCTACAAGGAAAACTACAAAACACTGTTGAAAGAAATCATAGATGACAAAAACAAAAGGAAACACATTCCATGCTCATGGATGGGTAGACTCAATATTGTGAAAATGACCATACTGCCAAAAGCAGTCTACAAATTCAATGCAATTCCTATCAATGTACCATCATCATTCTTTATAGAATTAGAAAAAAAATGCCAAAATTCATTTGGAACTAAAAAAGAGTCTGCAAAGCCAAAGCAAAACTAAGCAAAAAGAACCAATCTAGAGGCATCACATTATCCAACTTCAAACTATATTACAAGGCTATAGTCACCAAAACAGCACGGTGCTGGTATAAAAATAGTCACATGACCAATGGGACAGAGTAGAGAAGCTAGAAATAAAGCCAAATACTTAACAGCCAACTGATCTTCGACAAAGTAAACAAAAACAAAGTAAGAAAAGTACACCGTATACAACAAATAGTGCTGGGATAATTGGCAAGCCACATGTAGAAGAATAAAACTGTATCCTTATCTCTCACCTTATACAAAAATCAACACAAGATGGATCAAAGACTTAAATCTAAGGTCTGAAACCATAAAAATTCTAGAAGATAACATTCGAAAATGCTTCTACACATTGGCTTAGGCAAAGAGTTTATGACCAAGAACCCAAAAGCAAATGCAACAGAAACAAAGATAAATAGATGGGACTTAATTAAACTAAAGGCCTCCTGCACAGCATAGGGAATAATCAGCAGAGTAAACAGATCACCCACAGAGTGGGAGAAAATTTTCACAAACTGCATCTGACAAAGGACTAATGTCCAGAATCTACAGGGAACTCTAATCAGCAAGAAAAAAATAATCTCATCAAAAAGTGTGCCAAGGACATGAATAGACAATTCTCAAAAGAAGATATACAAATGGCCAAGAAACATATGAAAAATTACTCAACATCACTAATTACCAGGGCAATGCAAATCAAAACCACAATGCAATACCACTTGTAAAATAAACAAAAAGAGGGCCAGGCGCGGTGGCTCACGCCTGTAATCCTAGCACTTTGGGAGGCCAAGGTGGGCGGATCATGAGGTCAGGAGTTTGAGACCAGGTGACCAACATGGTGAAACCCAGTCTCTACTGAAAATACAAAAATTAGCCGGGCATGGTGGCAGTTGCCTGTAATCCCAGCTACTCAGGAGGCTGAGGCAGGAGAATTGCTTGAACCTGGGAGGCAGAGGTTGCAGTGAGCTGATATGGCACCACTGTACTCCAGCCTGGGCGACAGAGTGAGACTCCATCTCAAAAAAACAAAACAAAACAAAACAAAACAAAAAAACAAAAATTAATGTTGGCATGGATGTGGTGAAAGACAACGCTTTTACACTGATGGTGGGAATGTAAGCTAGTACCACCACTATGGAAAGCAGTATGGAGATTCCTTAAAGAACTAGAAGTACATCTACCGTTTGATCCAGCAATCCCACTGTTAGGTATCTACCCAGAGGAAAAGAAATCATTATATGAAAAAGATACTTTTGCACACATGATTACAGCAGCAGAATTCACAGTTGCAAAACTATAGGTCCAGCCCAAATGCCCATCAATCAATTAATGGATAAAGAAAATGTGTTATATATATATATACCATAGAATACTACTTAGCTTTAAAAAGGAATAAAATAATAGCATTCATAGCAACCTGGATGGAGTTGGAGACCATTATTCTAAATGAAGTAACTCAGGAATGGAAAACCAAACATTGCGTGTTCTCACTCCTAAGTGGGAGCTAAGCTATGATGATGCGAAGGCACAAGAATGAAACAGTGGACTTTGGGGGCTCAGGGGGAAGGTGGAAGGGGGTGAGAGATAAAAGACTATACATTGGGTAAACTGCTTTGCTGATGGGTATGCCAAAATTTCAGAGATCACCACTAAGGAACTTATCCATGTAACAAAATACCACCTGTTCCCTAAAAACTATTGAAATTAAAAAAAAGAAATATACAATAAATTGTTGTAGTCACTTTCTGTGATAATAAACACTAGATCTCATTCCTTCTGTTATATATTTTTATACCCATTAATCAACCTCTTTTCAAACCCCTCCTATTCCCAGCCTCTGGTAACTATCATTCTACTCTTTATTTCCATGATATCAATTTTATATAGCTCCAGGGCACACAAGTCCATAACTGTGGTCTCTATCCCTGACCCTACTGAACTGAAATATGGCCCCGCTTTGATTTCCAGGAGCATAAGCTGCTCATATAAGTGAGAACATGCAATAGTTTTCTTTCTGTGCATGGCCTAGTTCACCTGACATTATGACCTTTAGTTCCATCCATTTAGCTGAAAATGACAGGATTTCATTCTTTTTTATGGCTGAATACTATTCTATTGTGCGTATATTCCCATTTTCTTTATCCATTCATCCATTGATTGACACTTAGATTGATTCCATATCTTGGCTATTGTAAATAGTGCTGCAGTAAATATGGGGGTACAGATATCCCGTTGATACGCTGTTATCTTTTTTTGGATATATACACAGGAGTGGGATTGCTGGATCATATGGTAGATCTGTTCTTAGTTTTTTGAGAAATCTCTGCACTTTTTTTCATAATGGCTGTACTAATTTACATTCCCACCAACAATATACAATAATTTTCTTCACATGCTTGACAGCGTTTGTTGTGCTTTGTCTTTTTAATACCCATTCTAACAAGTGTGAGATGATATCTCATTGTGGTTTTGATTTGCATTTCCGTGATGATTAGTGATGTTGAATATTTTTTCATAAACTTGGTGATTTGTATATTTTCTTTTGAGAAATGTCTGTTTATTTTTTGATAGTTTCTTTAGCTGTGCAGAAGCTCTTTCATGTAATTAGATCCCATTTGTCAATTTTTGCTTTTGTGGCAATTGCGTTTGGCATCTTCACCATGAACTCTTTGCCCATCACTATGTACCGGATGGTATTGCCTAGGTTGTCTTCAGCGTTTTTATAGTTATGGGTTTTACATTTAAGTCTGTAGGCCATCTTGAGTTAATTTTTGTGTATGGTGTAAGGGAGGGGTGTTGTCTTTTCACTCTGTTGATTGTTTTCGTTGATATGCGGAAGGTATTTAGTTTAATATAATCCCATTTGTCTGTTTTTGTTGCTTGTACTTTTTAAGTGTTAGCCATACAATCTTTGTTCTCAAGCGTTTCTCCTGTGTTTACTTCTAGTAGTTTCATAGTTGTGGCTGTTACATTTAAGTCTTTAATTGATTTTGAGTTTATTTTTGTAAGTGATGAGAGATATGGGTCTAGTTTTATTCTTCTGTGTTTGGATATCTAGTTTTCCTGGCACCATTTAATGAAGAAGGTGTCCTTTATTCAATATATGTTCTTGACAGCTTTCTTGAAAATCAGTTAGCTGTAAATATGTGGATTCATTTCTGCATTCTTTAGTCTTTTTCCTTTGTTTTTGTGTCTGTTTTAATACCAATACACGCTGTTTTGGTTACTGTAGCTTTGCAGTATACATATATACGTATATATGTATATACATATATATGTATATACATACACACACACAGATATACATATATACATATATATACACGTATATATACGTATATACGTGTATATATACGTATATACACGTGTATACACGTATATACACGTATATATACGTATATACACGTATATACACGTGTATATACGTATATATACGTATATACACGTGTATATACGTATATATACGTGCATATATACGTATATATACGTGTATATATACATATATATACATATATACATATATACGTGCATATATACATATATACGTGCATATATACATATATACGTGCATATATACATATATACATATATACATATATACGTGTATATATACATATATACATATATACGTGTATATATACATATATACGTGTATATATACATATATACATATATACGTGTATATATACATATATACGTATACATATATACGTGTATATATACATATATACGTGTATATATACATATATACGTATATATATACGTGTATATATACATATATACGTATATATATACGTGTATATATACATACATACGTATATATATACGTGTATATATACGTATATACATATATACGTATATGTATACATATATATACACATATATATACATATATACGTATATGTATACATATATATACACATATATACATATATACGTATATGTATACATATATATACACATATATATACATATATATGTTTTTTTTTTCTTTTTGAGATGGAGTCTTGCTCTGTTGCTGAGGCTGGAGTGCAGTGGCGTGATCTCTGCTCACTGCAAGCTCTTCCTCCCGGGTTCATGCCATTCTCCTGCCTCAGCCTCCCGAGTAGCTGCTGGGACTACAGATGCCCACCACCACGCCTGGCTATTTTTTTTTTTTTTTTTTAGTAGAGACGGGGTTTCACCGTGTTAGCCAGGATGATCTCGATCTCCTGACCTTGTGATCCACCTGCCTTGGCCTCCCAAAGTGCTGGGATATAGGCTTGAGCCACCTCGCCCAGCCTCTTTGCAGTATATTTTTAAATCAGGTAGTGTGAGGCTTCTAGCTTTGTTCTTTTTGCTCAGTATTGCTCTGGCTATTTGGGGTCTTCTGTGGTTCCATATGAATTTCAGGTTTTTTTTCCTGTTTCTGTGAAGAATATAATTGATAGGGATTATAGTGAATCTCTAGATTGCTTCGGGTAGTATGGTCATTTTAACAGTATTAGTTATTCCAACCCACGAGCATAGGATGCCTTTCCATTTGCTTGTGTCCTTCTCAATTTATTTTATCAGTGTTTTGTGGTTTTCATTGTAGAGGTTTTTTTTTTTTTTTTTTTTTTTCCTCATCCTTGGTTAAGTTTATTCCTAGGTATTTTATTTTTGTGGCTATTGTAAATAGAATTTCTTCCTTGATTTCTATTTTAGCTAGTTTGTTACTGGTATATAGAAACATTACTGATTTTTGTATGTTGATTTTGTGTCCTGAAGCTTTACTGAATTATACATCCGTTTTTAAAAATGTTTTTTATTTTTTATTTTTTGAGAGAGTCTCACTCTGTTTTCCAGGCTGGAGTGCAGTGGTGCAATCTTGGCTTACTGCAACCTCCACCTCTCGGGTTCAAGCGATTCTCCTGCATCAGCCTCCCAAGTAGCTGGGATTACAGGCACCTACCACCATGCCTGGCTAATTGTATTTTTGGTAGAGACAGGGTTTCACCATGTTGGCCAGGCTGGACTCAAACTCCCAACCTCAGCTGATCCATCCACCTTGTCCTCCCAAAGTGCTGGGATTACAGGCATGAGCTACCATGCCCAGCCTAATTTATTTTAAGAGTTTTTTGGTAGAGTCTTTAGGTTTTTCTGTTTACAGGTATAAGATTATGTCATTTGCAAAGTGAGACAATTTGACTTCCTTTTGTCCATTTGGATGCCTTTTATTTCTTTATCTTGTCTGATCACTCTGGCTTGGATGTCCCATACTGTGTTGAATAAGAGTGGTGAAAGTGGGCATCCTTCTCTTGTTCCAGTTCTTAGAGGAAAGGCTTTTCAATATTTCCCAGTGAGTAGGATGTTAACTGTAGATTTGTCATATATGCCTTTTCTTAGGTTGAAGTGTTCCTCGTATGCATAATTTGTTGAGAGTTTTCATCATGAAGGAATGGTAAGTTTTACTGAGTGATTTTTCTGCATCTGCTGAGATGATCAGATAGCTTGTGCCTTTCATCTTGTTGATGTGATGTATCACATGTATTGATTTGTGTATGTTGAGCCATCTTTGCATTCCTGGGATAAATCCCACTTGATCATGGTATATTATCTTTTTCATTCATCATTAGATTTGGCTTGGTAGTATTATGCTGAGAATTTTACCATCTATGTTCATTAGGAATATTGGCCTGTAGTTTTCTGCTTTTGTTGTGTCCTTGTCTTGATTGGATATCAGGGTAATGCTGGCCTTATACAATGAGTTAGGAAGAATTCCTTCCTCTTCAATTTTTGGGAATAGTTTGAGAAGAATTGGTGTTTGTTTTTCTTTACAAATTGGGTAGAAATCAACATAAAAGCCCAGTCTAGGGCTTTTCTCTTTTGGGAGACTTTTTGTTACTGATTCAAATCTGCTATTCATTTTGGGTCAGTTCAGGTTTTCTTTTTCTTCCTAGTTGAATCTTGGTAGGCTGTGTATGTCTGGGAATTTATCCCTTTCCTCTAGGTTTTCCAATTTGTTAGCATATGGTTGTTCATAGTAGCCTCTAATGATCCTTTTTATTTCTTTGGTAACAGTTGTAAAGTCTCCTTTTTCATTTCTGATTGTATTTATTTGGGTCTCTTTTTTTTTTTTTTTTTTTTTTTTTTGGTTAGCCTCACTAGTGGTTTATCAATTTTTTTAACTTTTCAAAAAACCAACTTTTATCTTGTTGATTCTTTGCATTTCTTTTTTGTCTCTGTTGCATTTGGTTCTGCTATTTTATTTATATTTTTTCTTTCTACTAATTGTGTGTTTGATTTGTTCTTGCTTTTTGAATTCCTTGAGGTGCATCATTAGGTTGTTTATTTAAAATCTTTCTACTTTTTTGGTGTAGGCATTTATTGCTATAAACTTTCCTCCTAGTACTGCTTTTGCTGTATCCCATAGGTTTTGCATGATGTGTTTCCATTTTCTGTTTAAAAAAAATTTTTGATGTCCATCTTAATTTCTTCATTGACCCAATGATTATTCAATAGCATGTTTAATGTCCATGTATTTGTACAGTTTCCAAATTTCTTCTTCTTATTGATTTCAAGTTTTATTCCATTGTGGTCTGAGAAGATACTTGATATGATTTTAATTTTTAAAATTTTATTGAGCCTTGTTCTGTGTCTTAACATATGGTCTATCCTGGAGAATGTTCCATGTGTTGATGAGATGATTGTGTATTCTGCTGCTGCTGGATGAAATATTCTGAAAATATCTGTTAGGTCCATTTGGTCTAAAGTGCAGCTTAAATCTAATGTTTCTTTGTTGATTTTATGTCTAGATGAACTGTCCAATGCTGACAGTAGGATATTGAAGTTCTCAACTATCATTGTATTGGACTCTCTCTCTCCATGTAGATTTAATAATATTTGCTATATGTCTCTGGATGCGCTTGTGTTGGTTGCATGCATATTGGGAATTGTTATACTTTGTTGCTGAATTGATCCCTTTATTACCATAAAATGACCTTCTTTGTCCTTTTTACAGTTTTTGGCTTAAAGTCTGTTTTATCTGATGTAAGTTTAGCTACTCCTGATTATTTTTGATTTCTGTTTCTGTGGTATATCTTTTTCCATCCCTTCACTTTCAGTCTGTGTGTGTCTTTACAAGTGAAGTGAGTTTCTTGTAGACGTTGTTGGGTCATTTTTTATCCATTAAGCCTGTCTCTATCTTTAGGTAGGTAATTTAACCAATATTCGAAGTTATTATTGATAGGTGAGGACTTATTCCAGTCATTTTGTTCATTGTTTTCTGGTTATTTTGTATATCCTTTTGGTATGGTTTGGCTGTGTCCCCACTCAGATCTCATCTTGAATTCCCATGTGTTGTGGGAGGGACCCAGTGGGAAGTAGTTGAATCATGGAGGCAGGTATTTCCCATGCTATTCTTTTAATAGTGAATAAGTCTCATGAGATCTGATGGTTTTAAAAGGTGGAGTTTCCCTGCTCAAGCTCTCTCTTTGCCTGCTGCCATCCCTGTAAGATGTGACTTGCCTCTCCTTGACTTCTGCAATGATTTTGAAGCCTCCCCAGCAATGTAGAACTGTAAGTCCATTAAATCTCTTTCTTTTGTAAATTTCCCAGTCTTGAATGTGTCTTTATCAGCTGTGTGAAAATGGACTAATACAGTAAATTAGTACCAGAAGTGGGGTGTTGCTAAAAGATACCTGAATATGTGGAAGTGACTTTGGAACTGGGAAACAGGCAGAGGTTGGAACAGTTTGGAGGGCTCAGAAGGAGACAGGAAAATGTGGGAAAATTTGGAAGAGGTTTCCTAGAGACTTGCCCAAAATGCTGATGGTTATATGGACAATAAAGTCTAGGATGAGGTTGTCTCAGATGGAAATGAGGAACTTGTTAGGAACTGGCACAATGGTGACTCCTGTTATGTTTTAGCAAAGAGACTGGTGGCATTTTGCCCCTGCTGTAGAGATTTGTGGAATTTTGAACTTGAGAGATTTAGGGTATCTGATAGGGTATTTGAACTTGAGATTTAGGGTATCTGATAGAAGAAATTTCAAGCAGCAAAGCATTCAAGAGATGACTTGGGTGCTGTTAAAGGCCTTCAGTTTTATAAGGGAAGCAGAGCATGAAAGTTTGGAAAATCTGCAGCCTGACAATGCAATAGAAAAGAAAATCCCATTTTCTCAAGGAAAATTCGATCTGGCTGCAGAAGTTTGTTTAAGTAACAAGGAGTCAAATGTGAATCCCCAAGACAATGGGGAGAATGTCTCCAGGGCATGTCACAGGTCTTCTTGGCAGCTTCTCCTATCAAACGTCCAGAGGCCTAGGAAGAAAAGATGTTTTTTTGGGCTGGACCCAGGGACCCCTGTTGTGAGCAGCCTAGGGTGCCTGAGTCCTAGCCACTCCAGCTGCAGCTGAAAGGAGCCAAGGTACAACGTGGGCTGTTGCTTCAGAGGGTGCAAGCCCCAAGCCTTAGCAGCTTCCACATAGTGTTGAGCCTGTGGGTGCACAGAAGTCAAAAATTGAGGTTTGGGAACTGCTGCCTAGATTTCAGAAGGTGTATGGAAATGCCTAGATATCCAGTCAGGAGTTTGCTGCAGGGGCAGGGCACTCATGGAGAACCTCTACTAGGGCACTGCAGAAGGGAAATGTGGGTTCGGAGCCCCCACATAGAGTCCTTACTGCAGCGCCACCTAGTGGAGCTGTGAGAAGAGGGCCACCATCCTCCAGACCCCAGAATGGTGGATTCACTGACAGCTTGCACTGTGTGACTGGAAAAGCTGCAGACACTCAATGCCAACCCGTGAGAGGAGCCAGGAGGGGGTTTAAACCATACAAAGCCACAGGAGTGGAGCTGTGGCCTTTTTTCTCCCAAGGCCATGGGAGCCCACCTCTTACATCAGCATGACCTGTATGTGAGACATGGAGTCAAAGGAGATCATTTTGGAGCTTTGAGATTTGACTGCCTCACTGGATTTTGGGCTTGCATGGGTCCTGTAGCCCCTTTGTTTTGGCAATTTTCTGCCATTTGGAATGACTGTGTTTACCCAATGCCTATACCCCCATTGTATCTAGGAAGTAACTAACTTATTTTTGATTTTACATGCTCATATGCAGAAGGGATTTGCCTTGTCTCACATGAGACTTTGGACTGTGGACTTTTGAGTTAATGCTGAACTTAGTTAAGACTTTGGGGGACTGTTGGGAAGGCATGATTGGTTTTGAAATCTGAGGATATGAGATTTGGGAAGGGCCAGGGGCAGAATGATATGGTTTGGTTGTGTCCCCACCCAAGTCTCATCTTGAATTCCCACATGTTGTGGGAGGGACCTGGTGGGAAGTAATTGAGTCATGGGGGCAGGTCTTTCCCATGCTGTTCTCATGATAGTGAATACGTCTCACAAGGTCTGATGGTTTTGAAAAGGGTAGTTTCTCTGCAGAAGCTCTATCTTTGATTGCTGCCATCCATGTGAGACATGACTTGCTTCTTCTTGCCTTCCAACATGATTCTTAGGCTTCCTCAACTATGTGGAAGAGTAAGTCCATTAAAACTCTTTCTTTTGTAAAATGCCCAGTCTCAGTCACGTATGTCTTTATCAGCAGTGTGAAAACAGACTAATACACCTTTGTTCCTTTTTTCTCTCATTATTTATGGTTGCAGTTTGGTGGTTTTCTTTAGTGGTGGTGTTTGAATCTTTTCTTCTTTGTGTGTCTGAACTACCAGTGAGTTTTATACTTTCATGTATTTTCATGATGGTAGATATTGTTCTTTTGCTTCCCAATGTAGGACTCCCTTAAACATTTCTTGTAAGACCACAACAAACAAGACACAAACAAACAGTCTTTTGCTTATCTGGGAAATCCTTTTTTCTCTTTTATTATTACTATTTTTTTTAGCAATGGAGTCTCACTCTGTCACCCAGGCTGGAGTACAGTGGCATGATCATAGCTCACTGCAGCCTTGAACTCCTGGGATCAAATGGTTCTCCTGCCTCAGCCTTCTGAGTCTCTGGAACTGCAGATGTGAGCCACTGTGCCAGCCTCCTTCATTTGTGAAGGATAGCTTTGCTGGGTATAGTATTTTTGGCTTACTTTTTTTATTTTTATTTTTTACTTGTAGTATACATCCCCTTTTCTCCTAGCCTGTAAGGTTTCTGCTGAGAAATCCCGTTAGCCTGATGGAGATTCTCTTATAAGTGACTTGATGTCTTTCTCTTGCTGTTTTTAGCATTTTCTCTTTGTCTTTTGACAATTTTACCATAATGTGCCTTGGAGAAGACCTTTTTGAGTTGTATTTATTTGGTAATCTTTGAGCTTCCTGCATTTGGAAGCATTCAGGAAGTTTTCAGTTATTATTTCATTAAATAGGTTTTTTATGCCTTTACCCATCTCATCTCCATCCAGAACTCCCAGAATTTCAGTTTTTGGTCACATATGTGTCCCATATATCATGTAGCCTTGCTTCATTGTTTTTTCTTTCTTTTTGTCTGACTGGATTATTTTAAAAGACTAGCCTTCAGGTTCAGAAATTCTTTGTTTTGCTTGATCTAGTCTATTGTTAAAACTGTCAATTATCTTTTGTATTTATTTCAATGATTTATTGTCTTCCAGGATTTGTGTTTGGTTCTTTGTTATGCTGTCTATCTCTGTTGAATTTGTCATTCAGATCATGAATTGTTTTCCTGTTTTTTTTTTTTTGTATTCATTATCTGTGTTCTCTTGTATCTCCCTGAGTTTCTTTAATAACATTATTCTGAATTTTTTTCAGGCATTTCATAGATTTTCTTTTCATTGGATCTGTTGCTGGAGAATTATTGTGCTTCTTTGGAGATGTTATGTTTCCTTTTTCATATTTCTTGCATCCTTATGTGACTATCTGTGCCTCTGAGATAACAGTCATTTCTTCCAATTTTATGGATTGGCTTTTATATGGGAAAGACCTTTTCTTATAGCTGTATCTACAGTGTTCATTGGATATCTCACTTTGGCTTTGATTCTGGGTGGGTACAGTGGTATAGTCTGCATATGATTCCTTCAGCTGTAATTGGCATGAGTGGTGCCTGTGAGTCATTCCGTGGCTTAGACTGCAGTATGTTTTTTGTGGTTGTTGAGATGGAGTCTAGCTCTGTCACCAGGCTGGAGTGCAGTGGCACAATCTCAGCTCACTGCAACTTCTGCCTCCCAGGTTCAAGCAATTCTCCTGCCTCAGCCTCCTGAGTAGCTGGGACTATAGGCACGTGCTACAATGCGCAGCTAATTTTTGTATTTTTAGTAGGGACGGGGTTTCACCATGTTGACCAGGCTGCTCTCGAACTTCTGACCTCGTGATCTACCCGCCTCGGCCTCTCAAAGTGCTGGGATTACAGGCGTGAGCCACCACACTTGGCCAGACTGTAGTTGTTATTGGAGGCTGTGGTGAGGCTTTGCTGAGGATGGGGATGCCAGGAAGTCTTGTCCTTCAGCATCAGTGGTAGTGCTGGTGGACCAGGTGTGTCAATACTAGGGACCATGGGCAGTGTTTGTGGACACTGATGATAGCCTGTTTGCGTGGGCCAATCCCTGGGCTCCCAGGTGGCTTCTTTGCTTGCTGGCAGTGGCAGCACTGGGCCAAGTGGGCAGGTGCACCTCTGGGCTCCTGGGTGGTGTGTGTGGCAGTCTGATCTCTAGTTCTCCAGGTGACGTATGCAGGTTCTGGTGGTGGGTAGGCAGGCGTTTCCTCAGGTCTCTCAGTAGTAAGTGTGAGCACTAGCTCTGGAGGCAGGTGAGTCAATCTCCAGGCCCCCAGATGGTACATTCAGGCACCAGCATATTCCTATGCATTTCTAGATAAAAGTATTTTTCAGAAAACCTAAGCATATGTCCTATTAATACAACTTACCCTCATCAACTCTGCATGAGAAGAAGGGGGAATTCCCTCAGTAGAACAGTCAGAATGGAATCACAGACTTGTTTTGAACCAGTCACTGGTAAGTGGGGGTAGGCTAAAATGATAAGCTCAGAATCTAAACCTTAGACTAGGGAATGGCAAACTTTTTCCATAAAGAGGCAAACGGTAATATTTTAGGCTTTTGGTCTAGATAACCTCTGTTGTAGTGACGCAGTGGTGCCATCGTAGCCTAAAAGCATATGTAGACAATGGATAAATCGATGGACCTGGATTTATTCCAGTAAAACTTAATTTATACAGTCAGAGGGCCAGATTTGGCCCTTGGTCTATAGTTGGCCAACCCTGTTTAGAGCAGTCAAAATTTATTCCCTAGGGCTGGGCCAACTTTTTCTTAAAAAAAGAAAAAAGAAAGCAACCCACTGTCAGAATAAAATAAGGTTTCTATTTAAAAAGAAGAAGAGGCTGGGTGTGGTGGCTCATGCCTATAATCCTAGCACTTTGGAAGGGTGAGGCAGGAGGACTGCTTGAGGCCAGGAGTTTGAAACCAACTTGGGCAATATAGTGAGACCCTCTCTCTGCAAAGAATAAAAAAATTAGCCAGGCATGGTGGCACATGTCTGTAGTCTTAGCTACATAGGAGGCTGAAGGGCAAGATCATTTGAGCCCAGGATTTTGAGGTTACAGTGAGCTCTGACTGTAACACTTGTACTCTAGCCTAGGCAAAGAGGGAGAACCCAAAAACAAACAAACAAAAAATAGGTTGGTTGGGGCGGGTTGGAGAAGAAAGTATTTCTGAATTTCTGGGTAGGTTACTGGTAGTGTCAGGCCAAACTAGCTCTACAGTCATATTCATTATAAATAAAGGCAACTAGATGATCTCCATCTAGCTATTAAAAATTGGTTAAAATCTACAGAGATAAAGGACAGTGACCCTTGTATCAGTTAGTTGTTGTCACAAAATGCTGCATAACAAGTCACTACAAATCTCAGTGGCTTAATACAACAATCATTTATTTTCATGGATCTATGGGTCAGCTGAGGATTGGTCAGTCTAGCATGAGCATGTCTGGGAAGCTCGACTTTGCTCTTGGTGTCTCTTATCTTCTGCTGGAAGCAGCAGCCTGGCCTAGGCTTGTTCTCATGGTGATAGCAGGAGTGAGCGAGCACAAATGAATTCACACTTTCCAAGTTTTTGGTCATACAGATTAATATTCCAGTGGCCAAAGCTAGACACAATTCAAAACCCAACATTAGGGACTGGAGAAATATACTCCGATTCTTCAGTGGGAGGAACTGCAGAGACAAATGGCAGAGTCTTGGATACAGGGAGGACATGGATCCATTAATGTACCTTAATCAATCGCAACCCTCTAACCACCAATACAATTAAATAAGTATTTGTTGAATGCACTTGTGCCTGAATGCTTCTGGCTGCAGCCCAGGCAATGGGGGCCTGACTGGGGAGGGACCATAGCAGGGACTCGATGTCCTGCAAGTCTGCATGTCATTGTGCACGGCCGACTCCACATTGGTCATGGCTGACTTGCTTTATCCTGCGTCCCCAAGGGGCAACGATTGGCTGATTATATTTCTGAACAATTTTGACAAAGTTGTTTTCAGGAGCCCAGGAAGCAAATCAGTTGTAGATTTGAATTTTGCAGGGTGTCAGAATTGTTGAATATATATATAGTCTTTTACATGCTGATAATTATTTCCGCATCACAAAGAAGGCCGGCTATTAGGAGGCTGCTGTTCAATTCCTTTGCCCCTTGAACTCATGAGCTGTGTCTATGTGGGGGACACTCAGTTGTTAGAGCTGTTTCCCTTCATAATAACATCAGCCAGCATTCTAAATAAATGCAGGAAATTAAATAGTCTTCCCCAGACAGGTACTTTGCCCTTCTAAAGTGAATTACACATTCTAAAATAAAACACAGTCACATTAAAAAACCAAAAGGCCTTTGTGTCAGGTTGGTCTGGCTTCAGCGAAGATAATATTTGCCTCCAGAGTAGAAGATCTGTAGAATCCACGGTATTGCATATGGCAGCCCCACATCTTGTTTCCTTTTCTTTTTTTTGTTTTTAACTAAAGCAGTTGGCAATTTTATTTTCACATTTCCCAATACAAATGAAAACTGCGTCTTTTTTGGCCCCACTTCTCCCTTCCAAAACTATTCTCTTTGATAGGGCAAGGGGGCAAGTCTTCCTTATGCTGTTAAGAAAACCCGATATCACAGCAGCATGATCTCCTGGTGAAGGGAGCAGGTAAATATAAAATTCATATAGGCCAGGCGCAGTGGCCCACACCTGTAATCCCAGCACTTTCGGAGGCTGAGGCGAGCGGGTCACGAGGTCAGGAGATTGAGACCATCCTGGCCAACATGGTGAAACCCCGTTTCTACTAAAATAAAAAAAAAATTAGCCGGGCATGGTGCACACGCCTGTAGTCCCACACTACTCAGGAGGCTGAGGCAGGGAAATCGCTTGAATCCGGGAGGTGGAGGTTTCAGTGAGCTGAGATCATGCCACTGCCCTCCAGCCTGGGCGACAGAGGAAGACTCTGTCTCAAAAATAAAGCAAAACATTACAAACAAAAAAAAACACAACAATAACAACAAGAAAACAACACTGATGCAATGAGGCCTCCCCTCTATCCTTATCTGTCTGGCCGAGTCATTCTGGGCTGACTGGGCACCATCATGAGACGGGCAGGAGATCTCATCATTGGGTACCTAGGAATCATGGGCATGTGGCCTCCTAGGGGCGGCCTCATTCCAGGAGCAGGTCCCACTGGCATCATCCCAGGAGTATTAGGACCCATCATTGGCATCATGGGCGGGCCCCCCATATGGGCTGCTGCCATCATTCTGAAATGTGCGAGAAGTGTCAAATACACATTAGATTGTGAAGACTTAATATAAAAAGAAAGCAAAGTATTTTGTTATTGTTAAAATATTTTATACATGTTGACCTGCTATTTTGGATAGATTTGTTTAAATCTGTGATATTATTCCAATTACCTTCACTTCTTTTGTTTTACTTTTTAAAATGTGGTTACTACAAAATGCAAAAGTAAATATGTGGCTTGCATCATATTTCATCACATTTAGTGTGGACCCTGAGGATCTAGGGGAGTTATGAGCCTTCAGTTGATGGTGACCCAGGTCAACGTGAATTGCTCTAAAGAGAAGCAAAGGGCTTAAAGAGAATGTATAAATGGAGCGAGGGAGCTCAGTCTCCCAGGGTGAGGAAAGGCTTGCTTTCTTACACAGTCTGGCACTTCTTCAAAAGCTTAAACACAGAGTTCTATGACCTAGCACTTCCACTCCAGTTTATGAAAGAAATGAAAATATATGTCCGTCCAGAAACTTGTGCACAAATGCTCATAGCAGCATTATTCATAATAGCGCCAAAGTGAAAACAACACAATTGCTTGTCTACTGATGAGTGGAGAAATAGAACATGGTTTGACTATGCAATGGAATATTATTTAGTCATCAAAAGGAATGAAGTACTAACACGTGCTACAACACGGATGAACTACGAGAATATTAAGCTAAGTGGAAGAAACCAGTCACAAAAAGTCACATATTCTAAGATGTCATTTATATGAAATGTCCAGAACACGCAAATCTATGAAGACAGAAACCCTGTCTCTACTAAAAATACAAAATTAGATGGGCGTGGTGGCACATCCCTGTAATCCTAGCTACTCGAGAGGCAGGAGAATTGGTTGAACCCGGGAGGCGGAGGTTGTAGTGAGCCGAGATTGTGCCACTGCACTCCAGCCTGTGACAGATACTCTATCTCAAAAAAAGTAGATTTTCAGGGCTTAGTGGGAGGAGGAAATGGCAGGAAACTGCTCATGGATACAGGGTTTCTTTTTGGGGTGATGTAAATGTTTTAAAACTGATCATGATGGTGGTTGCCGAGCTCTGTGAATGCACTGAAACCATTGATTTGTTCACTTTAAATGGGCAAATCATACGGTACCTGAATTATATTTTAAGAGTTATATAAAAAAGAAAATCTTCCTTGAAGAGATGACACTTAAGGAGAGGCCTAGGGAGTGGGATGAGTTCACTATGTAGAGAAATGAGGAACAGCATTTCAGGGTGAGAAACAGCATAGTGAAGGCCCTGAGGTTGATAGGCATAGAGCAGATTTAAGGGACTTGTTTTTTGAGACGGACTTTCACTCTTGACGCCCAGGCTTGGGTGGAGTGGTGCGATCTTGGCTCATGGCAACCTCTGCCTCCCGAGTTCAAGCGATTTTCCTGCCTCAGTCTCCTGAGTAGCTGGGATTACAGGTGCCACCCACCACACCTGGCTAATTTTGGGATATTTAGTAGAGATGGGGGTTCCACCATGTTGACCAGGCTGGTCTCGAACTCCTGATCTCATGTTATCCAGCCGCCTCAGCTTCCCAAAGTTCTGAGATTACAGGTGTGAGCCACTGCGCTCAGTCAGATTTAAGGGACTTTCAAGAAGTTTGTGTGGCTGAAGCCTGCAGGGCAAGCGAGACAATCAGGAAATGAGGCTGGAGAAAGAGAGGGGCTAGGTCACGGAGGGTCTCACATTAGTGTGTGGAAACTTCACACGAGTGGTCCCACTTTGGGCATCCCACCTAACTACTCTGTGTCCCAGCTTCCCCATTGGTGAAATAAAGGACTGATGTAGGGATGGAATGAGATAGTGTGTGCTCAGTAAAGATGACCTTTTATAATTTTTTTTTTTTGAGACGGAGTCTCACTCTGTCGCCCAGGCCGGAGTGCAGTGGCACGATCTCGGCTCACTGCAAGCTCCACCTCCCGCGTTCACGCCATTCTCCTGCCTCAGTCTCCCAAGTAGCTGTGACTGCAGGCGCCCGCCACCACGCCCGGCTAATTTTTTTGTATTTTTAGTAGAGACAAGGTTTCACCGTGTTAGGGAGAATGGTCTGGATCTCCTAACGTCATGATCCGACCGCCTCGGCCTCCCAAAGTGCTAGGATTACAGGCGTGAGCCACCGCGCCCGGCCGAGCTTTTATCATTGTTAACCCACACAGCAGAGGGAGCCATTGAAAGCGAGTGATCGGTTTGGATGCACCTTCTGAAGTGATCGCTTTGGTCCCTGTGAGGAGTGCAGATTGTCACAGGGCCAGGGGAAGACAGAGGCCAGTGAGGAGGCATTTGCAGTCAAACAACTGGAGGTGATGGTGGCTTGCTTTATGGTGGTGTCAGGAGAGTGGCTGAGCAGTGAACGGATCTGAAAAGATTTAGGAGGAAAAACCCACGTGACTTGGTCACTGAATGTGGGTTGTGGGGGCTGGAGGGAAGATGAGAAAGAATGAGAAGAAAAACATACTGAAGTGGGCCCTCCAGCCTAAGGTTACTTGAGGTCCCTTTGTGAAGAGGAATGTTTGTGTTTATGATGAAGATGTCTAGACTTTCAAAGGCCATTTGCAGTATTTTTTTTTTTAACACCCAACAACTCCTCCGTCCCTATGCCCTAAACATATGAATTTTTTTTTTGCCCTAATTTATCACAGAGGGATGGATGTTTATTTGCTTTAATGGGAAATGCAGAATGCCACTAAGAAAGGATATTAAATTAATCTGGATTGCTGTGAGGGAGTTAAATCTGTTTAGATGTGCCCCAGTGTTACTATAATAGTTTGGTCTCAACCCATTTCTGGCCTGCGGCTGCAGGAGGTTGACTCCCAGCTTGCTTTCATTTGAAAGATCCCAGCAACAAGCACACTTGGCATTTCCAGCCAAACCCACTTTGTGCAGCGAAGGAAAAGTTGAGGAGTGCCTCTGTTGTTTTCCCCCAAATCATTTGGCAGAAATGTGGCTGGGAGCTTCATTGCTGATTTTTTCAGTTTTAATATTGCTGTGGAAAGCCTGTACCAACCCTCAGCCATGTTATTCATCCACAGCTCCAGTCTGGGCTGCGATTTGTTTCTCCTTTGAGTGGCACAACCTTATTTTCCATTAAGACTCAAAGCAAATAGACACTCATGCACCATCACCATCACTCCCCCTGCTTGGTGGAGGGAAGTCAGTGGAATGATTCTAGTTTGGTGTTCATATCGGTGGGACTTATTTATTTATTTATTTCTGTAATTTCTCTCTGTCGCCAGGCTGGAGTGCAGTGGCGTGATCTCGGCTCACTGCAACCTCTGACTCCCTGGTTCAAGTGATTCTCCTGCCTCAGCCTCCCGAGTAGCTGGGCTTACAGGCATGTGCCACCATGTCCGGCTAATTTTTTGTATTTTTAGTAGACACGGGGTTTCACCATGTTGGCCAGGGTGGTCTTGATCTGTCCTCATGATCCGTCCGCCTCGGCTTCCCAAAGTGCTAGGATTACAGGCGTGAGCCACTGCGCCTGGCCTAGAGTTGTTTTTAAAAGCACTTTTCTCTCAAATTAACTCCGGGGTGTCCCACTGTGACTTGGGAAAAGGTTGGATTTTCTGGAGGTGGAAAGTCAAACTTCAAATAGAATTTGGAGGCTGCCACTGTGGCTCATGCCTATAATCCCAGTACTTTGGGAGGCTGAGGTGGGTGGATCATTTAAGGCCAGAAGTTCGAGACCAACCTGGGCAACATGATGAGACCTCGTTTCTACTAAAAATACAAAAATTAGCCAGGCGTGGTGGTACATGCCTGTAATCCCAGCTACTTAAGAGGCTGAGGCAGGTGTTATGGCTTGAACCTGGGAAGCAGAGGTGTCCTGTGTCCAAACCCCATGAGGCGTATCAGATGGCTGAAGATAAAATCGGTCACGCTGTGTTGGGATTGGGGTTGCTGTTATCATACCTCATCCCCACCCCTGCTTGGCATCCACAAATAGTCATCTTCAATGAGACATCCCTCCTGCCCCTGGCTGCCTTATTTCATCTGCACCCAACCATATCCGTTGCTTGTCAGTGGGTCTCAACCTTGGCTGCAACTTGGAATGTCCTGGGGAGATGAGACAATACCAAGGCTCTCTCTCACTTAGCGTGATGTTTCCAAGGTCCATCCACATGTAGTAGGCACCAGTATTTCCACTGTATGGATACAGCACATTTTGTTTATTCATTCATCAACCAAATGGCCATCTTGGTTGTTGCTACCTTTTGCTTATTATATATATTACATGATTCCATTTATATGAAAGGCCCAGAATAGGCAAATCTGTAGAGGCAGAAAGCAGGTAAGTGGTTGCCAGGAGCTGGGGGAAAGGGGAGGGGATGCAGAGTGCTTGATGGATACAGGGTTATTTTTTGGGGGGGCGGGGGGTGTTAATGAAAATGTTTTGGAACTAGACAGAGATGATGATTGCTTAACATTGTGAATGTATTTAATGATACTGAAGTGTATGGTTTCATACAGGGACTTGTATGTTATGTGAATTTTGCCTCATTAAAAAAATACTGCTAGGAGCAATGGCTCATGCCTGTAATCCCAGCACTGTGTGAGGCCAAGGCGGGCAGATCACCTGAGGCTGGGAGTTCGAGACCTGCCTGGGCAGCATGGTGAAACCCTATCTCTATTAAAAATACAAAAATTAGCCAGGCGTGGCTGTGCACACCTGTAATCCCAGCTACTTGGGAGGCTGAGGTAGGAAAATGGGTTGAACCCGGGAGTCAGAGGTAGCAGTGAGCTGAGATCGCACCACTGCACTTCAGCCTGGGTGGCAGAACAAGATTCCATCTCAAAAAAAAAACAAAAAAACAAAAAACACACACACACACACACACAAACCAAAACTACTGATGACCATGTTTCATCCCCAAGAGATTCTGTAATAATTGATCTGGGCTGCAGAGCCCGGGCACTGGGGTTGTAAAATCTCCCCAGGTGATTCTGATGTGCAGCTGTGTTTGAGAATCTCCTTCTGGAATGAACTTGTTCATGTCTTACTTGTGTTGTTTTCTAGCCTGCCAATGTCTTTCTGTTTCCCTTCACATCTTTGGGGGGTAATTTTTACAATGCAGTCTTAACAACCAGCTGCCTCAAAATGCACTGGGATACCTCGTAACCAGGTAGCTCCCCATCTCCAACTCTGACCTGCCAAGTCAGAATCTTGTGCGTGGGGCCCAGGACTGTAAATATTGAAACAGGCAGTGACCTGGGAACTATTTCTGAACACCCCTAGGTTTCCCCTGTGTTTGCCCTTTCCTTTCACATTTGGACCCCTTTGTGTGCTGACCACTGGGCTGTTTCACATGGACATAACATAAAAAAGGCAGGCCAGGTGCATTGGCTCATGCCTGTAATCCCAGCACTTTGGGAAGCCGAGGTAGGCAAATCACTTGAGGTCAGGAGTTCAAGATCTGCCTGGCCAACATGAGTAAACCCCATCTCTACCAAAAATATGAAATTAGCTGGGTGTGGTGATGCACACCTTTGATCCCAGCTACTCAGGAGGACGAGGTTGGAGAATCCCTTGAGCCAAGGAGGCAGAGACTGCAGTGAGCCGAGATCGCACCACTACACTCCAGCCTGGGTGAGAGTGAGACTCTTAAAAAAAAAAAAAAAAAAAAAAAAAAGACAGAGATGATCCTTCCTTTATGGAGCTCTCAGTAAAACAAGAAAGCTCACGATGTCCTGGCATTTGTCAGAAATATATTTGGTATATGTAGCTGGGGTCACATGCTTGACGTGCCTATTGAAAGCTTCTGGGTAGGAAGAGAACAATCATCACAGCATCACAGCCTGGCATAACTGTCTCCCAGGACAGGTCTCCCTGGGGAGACTGAGACCACAACTCTGAAATCAGAGCTCAAATCCAGGTTCTACATTTCCCTCAGTAATGTACATGATGTAGGACAGTTTTTATATTAGTTATCTATTGCTGTGCAACAATATTACTGCAAACTTTGTGGCGTGAGACAGCACACAGTTATCACTACGTGGTTTCTGTGGGTCAGGAATCCAGGCGTGACTCAGCTGGGTTCAGTGCAAGGCTGCAACCATAATGTCAGCCAGGGCTCAGTTCTCATCTGGAGGCTTGACTGGTGATTGATCTGCTTCCCATCTCATCTGGTTGTTGGTAGCATTCAGTTCCTTGCAGGCTGCTGGACTCAGGGCCCCAGGTTCCTGCTGTCCTCAGCTTCTTGCCACATGGGCCTCTCCATCTGGCCACTCATGACATGGCAGCTCACATCTTCAAAGCCAGCAAGATAGCCTCCTAGCAAGACAACTTAACATCCGATCTAACATAATCACTACATCCCATCACCTGTGCCATATTCTCTTGGTTATAAGAAAGTCATAGTTCCCTTTGTCAGACGAGTAGACTGCAAAAATTTTCTCCAATTCTGTAGGTTACCTGTTCACTCTGATGGTAGTTTCTTTTGCTGTGCAGAAGCTCTTGAGTTTAATTAGATCTCATTAGTCAATTTTGGCTTTTGTTGCCATTGCTTTTGGTGTTTTAGACATGAAGTCCTTGCCCATGCCTATGTCCTGAATGGTATTGCCTAGGTTTTCTTCTAGGGTTTTTATGGTTTTAGGTCTAACATTTAAGTCTTTAATCCATCTTGAATTGATTTTTGTATAAGGTGTAAGGAAGGGATCCAGTTTCAACTTTCTACATATGGCTAGCCAGTTTTCCCAGCACCATTTATTAAATAGGGAACCCTTTCCCCATTTCTTGTTTTTGTCAAAGATCAGATAGTTGTAGATAATGTGGCATTATTTCTGAGGGCTCTGTTCTGTTCCATTGGTCTATATCTCTGTTTTGGTACCAGTACCGTGCTTTTTTGGTTACTGTAACCTTGTAGTATAGTTTGAAGTCAGGTAGCGTGATGCCTCCAGCTTTGTTCTTTTGGCTTAGGATTGACTTGGTAATGCCAGCTCTTTTTTGGTTCCATATGAACTTTAAAGTAGTTTTTTTCCAATTCTGTGAAGAAAGTCATTGGTAGCTTGATGGGGATGGCATTGAATCTATAAATTACCTTCGGCACTATGGTCATTTTCATGATATTGATTCTTCCTACCCATGAGCATAGAATGTTCTTCCATTTGTTTGTATCCTCTTTTATTTCATTGAGTAGTGGTTTGTAGTTCTCCTTGAAGAGGTCCTTCACATCCCTTGTAAGTTGGATTCCTAGGTATTTTATTCTCTTTGAAGCAATTGTGAATGGGAGTTCACTCATGATTTGGCTCTCTGTTTGTTATTGGTGTATACGAATGCTTGTGATGTTTGCACATTGACTTTTATCCTGAGACTGCTGAATTTTGCTATTTTTAGTACAGACGGGGTTTGCTGAATGCAGCCCCCAGTCACGTACTCCCTTCTTGGTCAATCGATCACCACTCTCTCATGATCACGACCCTCTCACACGGACCCCCTTAGAGTTGTGAGCCCTTAAAAGGGACAGGAATTGCTCACTTGGAGAGCTGGGTTGTTAGAGACGTGTGCCACCACTCCCAGCGAATTTTTGTATTTTTAGTAGAGACGGGGTTTCCCCATGTTGGTTGGCCAGCATAGTCTCGATCTCTTGACCTCGTGATCTGCCCACCTTGGCCTCCCAAAGTGTTGGGATTACAGGTGTGAGCCACTCCACCCAGCCCACAGAAGGCTTTTCATACTTGCTTAGCAGCCTCCTGCATCCTACGCTAGCACCTGGCACTCACAACCTGTGGGCTGCTCTCATCCATGATCATCTCTCCCCAGGCCTGCTGTTCCTCGAGAAAGGAAGTTGTAATGGGCAGAATTCTAGTACAGCCCCCAAGAGAACCACTCCCTTATATCTGCTCCCTGTATCATCTCTTCTTGAGTGTGTGCAGAGCTTGTGATTTGGCCAAGGGGAAGGAATTTTGCAAATGTGATTATGGTCACACTTGCTTTGTTAAGCACATTTGCTCAGCTGACTTTGAGTTCATCCAAAGGAGGATGATCTTAGGTGGGCCAGACCTAATCAGGTGAGTCTTTTAAAGATGAAGTTTCAGAGATTCAACCCTTAGCCTCCAAGGAGACACAAATGGCCATGCTGTGAACTGTCTTTGGAGGTGGCAGCTCTAGGAGCTGAGGGCCTTCGTTCAACAATTGCAAGAAATTGAATTCAGTCCACAAACTGAATAAGCTTGGAAGAGGACACTGAGCATCTGTTGAGACCCCAGCTGACACTCTGATTGTAGTATTGTGACCCTGAATAGAAGACCCAGTTAAACCCTGCCCAGACCCTTGGTTCATGGAAACAGATAATAACTGGATGGTGTATTAAGCTGCTCAGTTTGCACTGGTAAATCCACCAACAGGAAAGTAATATAGAAGTTAAATGGGCCAGGCATGGTGGCTCATGCTTGTAATCCCAACACTTTGGGAGGTTAAGGTGGGTGGATCACAAGGTCAGGAGATCGAGACCATCCTGGCCAACATGGTAAAACCCCGTCTCTACTAAAAATACAAAAATTAGCCAAGCGTGGTGGCACGCACCTGTAGTCCCAGCTACTCAGGAGGCTGAGGCAGGGGAATCACTTGAACCCAGGAGGTGAGGTTGCAGTGACCCGGGACCATGCCACTGCACTCCAACCTGGGTAACAGAGAGAGACACCATCTCAAAAAAAAAAAAAAAAAAGAAGTTAAATGAATACTTTTGACAATTGATGAAAGTTGCTTTCATTCCCTCTTACTTAATCATCTTTATCTTAGCCCTGGAAGAGGGATGCTTTAACCCCATTTGTAACAAGTGAATCTGCGACCCAGGAAAGTGATAGAATTTAGCAAAGTCCACCTTACTACCTGGCGGCCCCAGCTAGAACACAGCCCCAGGTCCATATACCTAAAGTCATTACAGCGTCCACTAAAATTTTGCCCCTCTCTCGATGCCTTCCTCTTTAGAAGCCTGTTCCTTCAGGGATAGATCCCAACCCAGTGTTACAAGGCACTGAACTCTGATTTTCACAAAATATAGTAACTGCCCCCCAAAATTAATAATAGTATTTTTGAGCTGGGCACGGTGGTTCATGCCTGTAATCCCAGCACTTTGGGAGGCTGAGGTGGGTGGATCATGAGGTCAAGAGATCGAGAGCATCCTGGACAACATGGTGAAACCCCGTCTCTACTAAAAATACAAAAATTAACTGGGAGTGGTAGCAGGCGCCTGTAATCCCAGCTACTCAGGAGGCTGAGGCAGGAGAATCGCTTGAACTCAGGTGACAGAGGTTGCAGTGAGCCAAGATTGCACCAATGCACTCCAGCCTGGCAACAGAGCAAGACTCCATCTTAAAAAAAAAACAAAAAACAAAAAAATATTTTTGAGTCCTTATGTGTCAACCACTGGGCTATCCCAACACCAATAGTTATTATGATTATGATTATTTTTTCCATTTTACTGATGAGGAAACCAACACATAGAAAGGTAAAGGAACTTGCCAAAGGTGACGGTCACACAGCCAAAGAACTGTAGAAGCAGCACAGGAATCCCAGCAAACTCACAGCCAAGCTCTGCTTTTCACCTTCACATCATACAGTCCTCAGACTAAAACCCTAACTCTGACCTTCCAAATCAAAAATCATACTCAAGGCCGCACGCGGCGGCTCATGCCTGTCATCTCAGCACTTTGGGAGGCTGAGGCAGGTGGATCACCTGAGGTCAGGAGTTCCAGACCAGCCAGGCCAACATGGTGAAACCCCATCTCTACTAAAAATACAAAACTTAGCCAGGCGTGGTGGTGGGTGTCTGTAATCCCAGCATTTTGGGAGACTGATGCATGAAAATCACTTGAACCCAGGAGGCAGAAGTTGCAGTGATCCATGATCATGCCACTGCACTCCAGCCTGGGCAAGAGAGTGAGACTCTGTCTCAAAAAAAAAAAAAAAAAAAAAAAAAAATTGTGCTTAATAATAGCTTGGAAGTGCACATATCTTCTGTGAAGGTTGATGGACTACAGTTAGCTTCAAAACACAAATAAGTAACTGTGTTTAAATGAGGCTTTCTGTGTAATATCTAGGGAAAATCAATGTGGCTATTCATATTTTGTTTCCCCTTCCAGGCACAGAGAAGTTGCCCATGACTCTGTGATCCGTTTTGTCCAATGAACCATGAGCAGCAGCAACTTGAGTCACCTCTAGGTGGAAGTGTTAAGAGGCTCTATGATCCACCACATTCCCTTTCCCCTGAAGTGGTGATCAAGGACACATGCAGAGATGGGGCTTTTGTCAGCCTGGATCCCTGAGTGAACACAATGAACAGACCACCACACAATGCCCTAACACAGCCCAGACATGCAACATGACCAAGAATAAGCCTCACTGTGGCCAGGCATGGTGGCTCATGCCTGTCATTCCAGAACTTTGGGAGGCCAAGGCGGGTGGATCATTTGAGGTCAGGAGTTCAAGACCAGCCTGGCTAACATGGTGAAATCCTGTCTCTACTAAGTACAAAAATTAGCCAGACAGTGGTGGCATGGGCCTGTAATCCCAGCTACTCAGGAGGCAGGAGAATCACTTGAGTCTGGGAGGCAGAGGTTGCAGTGAGCTGAGATTGCACCACTGCACTCTAGTCTGGGTGACAGAGTGAGACCCTGTCTCAAAAACAAACAAATACCTCACTGCATGGAGCCACTGAGATTTGGGGATTGTTGTTACTGCACCAGAACCCAAATCATCCTGACCACTAGGGTGTCCTAACTAGGGTTTCTTACCAAAAGCAAAGGCATTTTTAAAGTTCCTGACATTTAAACAAAAGAGCAAATACCAATATCTACCACTTTGTCAGGCTAACACACCCAAACAAAGCCAACAGCCAGAAGTTAAAATAAACAGATCATTAGGTTGAAAATAGAACTGTCAAAACAGGCACAATTGACTTCATTTAGTGATTGCAAAGAGCATCAGGCAAGACACAGGTATGGTCATCATAACATTTATCACATGCTTAATTACACGTTTGACTAAGAAAAACATTGACTAAGAAAAACACAAAGTATTTAATCTCATCTGTAGTTCAAAGTGCCTATCCGTGTATTTATCTATTCATCCTGATTTATTTATTGAGCAACTCTTTTGTGCCAGGCACTGTGCTGTGTTGCGGGAAGTCAGGGACCCCAAACGGAGGGACCGGCTGAAGCCATAACAGAAGAACGTGAATTATGAAGATTTTATGGACATTTATTAGTTCCCCAAATTAATACTTTTGTAATTTCTTATGCCTGCCTTTACTGCAATCTCTAAACATAAATTGTAAAGATTTCATGGACACTTATCACTTCCCCAATCAATACCCTTGTGATATCCTATGCCTTTCATTACTTTAATCTCTTAATCCTGTCAGCCGAGAAGGATGTATATCGTCTCAGGACCTGTAATAATTGCGTTAAGTACACAAATTGTACAGCATGTGTGTTTGAGCAATATGAAATGTGGGCACCCTGAAAAAAGAACAGGATAAAAAAAAGAACAGGATAACAGCAATTGTTCAGGGAATAAGAGAGAGAACCTTAAACTCTGACTGCTGGTGAGCCGGGCAGAACAGAACCATATTTCTCTTCTTTCAAAAGCAAATGGGAGAAATATCGCTGAATTCCTTTTCTCAGCATGGAACGTCCCTGAGAAAGAGAATGCACACCTAGGGGTAGGTCTCTGAACTGGCCCCCCAGGGCGTACCTGTCTCTTATGGTCGAGATTGCAGAGGTGAAATAAACTCCAGTCTCCCATAGCACTCCCAGGCTTATTAGGAAGAGAAAATTCCCACCTAATAAATTTTGTTCAGACAAGTTGATCTCAAAACCCTGTCTCCTGATAAGATGTTATCAATGACAATGGTGCCAAAACTTCATTAGCAATTTTAATTTCACTTCAGTCCTGTGGTCCTGTGATCTTGCCCTGTCTCCACTTGCCTTGTGATATTCTATTACCCTGTTAACTACTTGATGTCTGTCACCCACACCTATTCGTATACTCCCTCCCCTTTTGAAACTCCCTAATAAAAACTTGCTGGTTTTTGTGGCTTGTGGGGCATCACGGATCCTACCAATGTGTGATGTCTCCCCCGGACATCCAGCTTTAAAATTTCTCTCTTTTGTACTCTGTCCTTTTATTTCTCAAGCCAGTCAATGCTTAGGAAAATAGAAAAGACCTACCTGATTATCAGGGCAGGTCCCCTGATAGTGTTGGGTGATGGTAATGCAATGATGAAGATGGCAGGCATGCCTCTGCCCTCTAGGAGTTTCTAGGATACAGAGGGGGACAAACAAAAAATAAGTAAATCCATGAAAGAAGTATAGGTGGAACCTGCACCCAATATTTCAATGTAGGTTCTTTCTATTTTCCATAAGTGTCAGCCAGCTGAGAAATAGAGACACTACAAAGAGAAGAATTTTACAGCTGGGCTGCTGGGGGTGACATTACACATTACACATTAGTAGGACTGTGATGCCCTCTGAGTCTCAGATGAGCAAGTTTTTATTAAGGGCTTCAAAAGGGGAGGGGGTGTAAGAACAGGGAGTAGGTACAAAGGTCACATGCTTCAAAGGGTAAAAAGCAGAACTACTACTAAGGGTCTAACAAAGATCACATGCTTCTGAGGGAACAGGACAAAGGGCAAAAGCAGAACTACTGATAAGTGTCCAGCAAAGATCACAAAGCAAAGGGCAAAAGCAGAACCACTGATAAGGGTCTATGTTCATTCACGCATGTATTGTCTTGATAAACATCTTAAACAACAGAAAACAGGGTTCAAGAGCAGAGAAGCAGTCTGACCACAGATATATCAGGGCGGAGTTTTTCTCCACCCTAGTAAGCCTTTGGGTACTGCAGGAGACCAGGGCGTATCTCAGTCCTTATCTCAACCGCATAAGACAGACATTCCCAGAGCGGCCATTTATAGACCTTCCCCCAGCAATGCATTCCTTTCCCAGGGTATTACTATTAATATTCCTTGCTAGGAAAAGAATTTAGTGATATCTCTCCTACTTGCATATCCATTTATAGACTCTCTGCAAGAAGAAACATATGGCTCTTTTTGCCCAACCCTGCAGGCAGTCAGACCTTATGGTTGTCTTCCTTTGTTCCCTAAAAATTGCTGTTATTCTCTTCCTTTTCAAGGTACACTGATTTCATTTTGTTGAAACACACATGTTTTACAATCAATTTGTACAGTTAACACAATTATCACAGTGGTCCTGAGGTGATGTACATCCTTAGCTTATGAATATAACAGAATTAAGAGATTAAAGACAGGCATAACAAATTATAAAAGTATTATTTGGGAACTGATAAATGTCCATGAAATCTTCACTATTTATGTTCCTCTGCCATGGCTCCAGACAGTCCCTCTCCATTTGGGGTCCCTGACTTCCCACAACAAGAAGCAATAAGAGGTTAAGGTGGAGAAGAGCAGGGAAGTCCACTTTATAAAGGGGTCAGGAAAGAACTGTCTGTGGAAGCACCATTTTAGCTGAGACCTAAAGGATGGTCTAATCTGGGGAGGTGCAGAGGAAAATCATTCCAGGCTGAAACAGCAAGTGCAAAGGCCCTGTTGTGGAAAAAGGTTTGAAAGTCCAAGAAAACAAAAGGAGGCCATAGTGGCTGAAATAGAGTAGGCCAAGAACAGGAGATAGGAGAGGGCTGGAGAGGTGGCAGGAACAGGCAGAAGACTCGGGGTCTCCATTTTATTCTATGTACCATGGGCAGGAAAGGCAGGGATGAGACTCAATGGACATCTTAAGATCACTGAAGCTGCCAGGTAGGAAATGGATTGCTGAGCATGGAGAGCAGGTGCAGAGTACCAGTTAAGACCAGTTAGGAGGCTGCTGCTGTAGCCCAGCTGAGATAGTGGTGTCCTACGCAAAGATAATGACAGTGAAGCTGGAGAGAGTGGACAAGTTGGATAAAGTTTAGAATCACAGGACTTGCTGACTGGAGAAGAGGGCAAAAGCAGAGTTAGCACAACACATGAGTTATGACCACTTTGAGCAGCTCAGCAGGGTGTGATGCCATTTACAGGACAGAGATGGCACGGACAGAGCCCATGGAGAAGGAGGAGGAAAAAAAGAGTTTAGCATTGGGTTTTTTTTTAAGACAGGGTCTCTGGCTGTGTCACCCAGGCTGGAGTGCATTGGTGCAATCATAGCTCTTTGCAGCCTCAAACTCCTGGGCTCAAGTGATCCTCCTGCCTCAGCCTGCCATGTAGCAGGACTACAGATCCTACAGATGCACATTACCATGCCTAGCCTTTTTTTTTTTTTTTTTTTTTTTTTTTTTTTTTTTTTTTTTTTTTTTTTGTAGATAGGGAGTCTCACTGTGTTTTCCAGGCTGGCTTCAAACTCCTGGCCTCAAGTAATCCTCCCACCTCAGCCTCCCATAGCACTGGGATTACAGCCATCACCTACCACTCCAAGCCATGAGTTTGGCTTTGGATGTAACAAGGTTGAGGTGTTCATGAGTTGACAAGTGGAAAAAACAAGAAAGAAGTTGAGTGTTTAAGACTGCTGTTTGAAGGAGAAGTCTAGCCTCAAGACAAAAGTTCAGGACTCATCAGCTGAGAAATGGCACTGGAAATTATGTAAATGGATGAGCTCAGCTAGCAAACAAGTCCAGAGAGAGCAGAAAGTCCAGAGAGAGCAGCACTGGGTTATGCACCTGGCCTAATGCCACCCCGCTCCTCTCAATCCCTGTGTTATGCTGGAAAGGGATCAGCCTCTGGTGAGTTTCACCAAACCCCCACATCTCTTTCTTCTGAGACCTTCTCTAAAATCCCCTCTTTTGTATTTAGTGAAATGGGATTCTCTTTTTCCCATCCACCTTCAGCAAAAACTTTTGACTATGAGAAGAATGAGGATGCATTTAGTATCTGTTCTGCATGGCTAATTCCATCAAAGATTTCTCATTATTCATGCCTGGCAGTCTCATTTTCTTCTTTTGCCTCTAAGAGCACAGTTGTAGCCTTAATTACTGACATTTTCACTCTTCTAATACCAGCGATTTCCACCATCTCAGTTCTCAGGAAGTTCTGTTTGCAGAATTATCTCCTGAATCCTCACCTGGAGATAGAAATTCTTCTCTGTGGCCATTTCTTCCCCCTCTAATTCTTATCAAAAAACTCAGTGATCTCTGTGCATCAAATATTAAACTCGAGCTTAACAGATCATGCTTCTGGCTTGTCTCTCTCTGGCCTGTGGATTAGCAGGTTTGCAACATTTGCAGAGAAGACACCAAATTCTCAGGAGGCCAGAGTTTCCAAAGGTACTGGTCACTCTTGCTCTCTTTCTCCTGCTCAAAATTCAGCACTAGAGAGTGTTACACCATTGCACCTGCAGAGGAGTTCATCTGACTCTAGGGACTACAGAGGAGAGAGATGGACAAACTAACAGGCATTCAGAAAATGACTACCACAATGGGGAAGAAAATGAAAGTCAAACCAAATAAGCAATGGTCAAAAAAAAAAAATCTAGAGGGCAGCTGCAGTGGCTCACACGTGTAATCCCAGCACTTTGGGAGGCTGAGGCAGGTGGATCACTTGATATCAGGAGTTCGAGACCAGCCTGGGCAACATAGTGAAATCACATCTCTACTAAAAATACAAAAATTAGCCAGGTGTGGTGGCGGGCACCTGTAATCCCAGCATTTTGGGAGGCTGAGGTGGGTGGATCACCTGATGTCAGGAGTTTGAGAACAGCCTGGCCAACATGGTGAAACCCTATTTCTATTAAAAAATACAAAAATTAGCCAGGTGTGGTGGCAGGTGCCTGTAATCCCAGCTACTTTGGAGGCTGAGGCAGGAGAATTGCTTGAACCCAGGAGGCAGAGGTTGTGGCAAGCAAAGATTGCACCACTGCACTCCAGCCTGGGAAACAGTGAGACTTTGTCTCAAAAAAAAAAAAAAAAAAAAAACAACCTAGAGATGTCCATGTAGGCTGAAGAGAATATTCCAGAGCAGAGGTTGGGACACTATGGCCCATGGGCCAAATCTGACCTGCTTGCACATGTGTTTGTCAATAAAGTTTTATTGAAACACAGCCATGCACATTTGCTACATATTGTCTATTGCTGCCGGATTTGGCTGTTCTCTCATGCTATAAAGAAATACCTGAGGCTGGGTAATATATAAAGAAAAGAGGTTTAATTGGATCACAGTTTTGTAGGCTATACAGGGAGCGTGACACTGACATTTGCTGAGCTTCTGTGGAGGCCTCAGGAAACTTACTATGATGGCAGAAGGTGAAGCAGGAGCAAGAGAGTAAGGTGGGAGGTGCTACACACTCGTAAACAACCCGATCTTGCAAGAACTCACTCACTATTGAAAGGACAGGACCAAAAGGATGATGCTAAATCATTCATGAGAAATCCACCCCCATGATCCAATCTCTTCCCACCAGGCCCCACCTGTAACACTGGGGACAGCTTTTATCTTGGCTTTTTCACTGGCAGCCCCTTCCTCAAGGACTTAACTTGTGCCAGCTGACTCTTAGCACATCTAAGAATGCAATTAAGTGATAAGATACTGTGGGGCAAGCAATATCTGCAGTTCCCAGGAATTAGTCCGATTGATAATGCCTAAAGCCCCACGTCTATCACTTTGTAATAGTCTTAAGGCCCTTAGACCTAGAACTGTTTACTTTCCTGTAACAATTTATCCTTTTAACTTTTTTGCCTACTTTACTTCTGTAAAATTCTTTTAACTAGACCCGTTTCCCCTTTCTAAACTGAAGTATAAAAGAAAATCTAGCCCCTTCTTCGGGGCCAAGTGAACTTTAAGGCTTAGCCATTTCTTGGCCGCCAGCTAAATAAGCAGACTCTTAATTCATGTGAAAGTGTGGCATTTTCTCTAACTCATTCAAGTACAACATTTGGAGGCCCGAGCGAGAGACGCCACGAGGCGAGAGCCGGGCTCGCTCCGGGCTCCCCGGGAAGGACGGCCGGCTCGTGGGGGGGCGCCACCTAAAAAAAAATTTTCAGGTCCTCGAAAGGTGACCGTCTTCCAGAGGAGAGCGGATCGACTACCGTGTGGGTGCCCACAAAAATTCCACCTCTGAGTCCTCGACTTCTGACCCCGAGGTCAGGTAGGTCAGATTTGACTTCAGTTCTAGTAAGAGGGAAGCGGCCCTGATGAGGGTGTCCCTCTTTTGACTCTGTCTGTTTCTCTAGGACGCTAGAATGTAGAGCCCTGGTTTTCTGTTAGGCACCTCTGTGTCTCTTTCTAGGAGGGAAGTGGCCCTGACAGGGGCCCTCCCTTGACTCAGTCCACATCCCAGGATGCTGGAGGACTGAGTCCTGGTTTCTGGCAGACCGATCACTCTCTCTCTCTCTTTTTGTATCTCTCATCTTTCTCTTGTTCAAGTTTCTTGAAGAATCTCCAAGAAAGAAAAAAAAAAAAACCTGTTATATACTCTCTGTGAATAATGAATGAATGAGGGAGGACAAGGGCTTGCGCTTGTCCTCCAGTTTGTAGCTCCACGGCGAAAGCTACGGAGTTCAAATAGACCCTCACCTGCGGTTCCTTGGCGACCTCATAAGGCTTAAGGCAGCATCAGGCATAGCTTGATCTGAGCCGCAAGTTTATACCGGCCTGCCAATGTTAAGAGGAGCCCAAGTCCCCTCATGGGGAGCGGCCAGGCAGGCATCTGACTGATCCCATCACAGGAAACCCTCCCCTTCTCTATCTTAAAAAAAAAAAAAAAAAGGAAGAAACAAACTGTCATAACTGTTTACATGCCCTAAAGTCAATTGTTTGTTTAATGTTGATTGTTCTGTTCAGTGTCTATTGTCGTTAGTAGTTGTGAAAGTTTTGCATGTCAAGACGTTGATATTGCCCAAGACGTCTAAGTAAAAACTTCTTCAAAGTCCTTAGTGCTGATTTTTTGTCACAGGAGGTTAAATTTCTCATCAATCTTTTAGGCTGACCACCACAGTCCTGTCTTTTCTGCCAGAAGCAAGTCAAGTGCTGTTACAAGAAGAAGTGTGAAAAACATTTGCCTGATTAAGATTTCTAGCACCATGAAAGTTGTAAGTATTTAGATCGTCATACTCCTCGTCCAAGCGATTAGACGTCCTCTAAACTAAACCAGTAGTGAGTTCAAAACAGCCACCCTGCAGATTTCCTTGCTCACCTCTCTTGTCATTCTGTAACTTTTCCTGTGCCCTTAAGTAGAACACTGTGTAAAGAAACGTACGCCCGTACTGCTTTACTTCGTTTAGATTCTTACTCTGTTCCTCTGTGGCTACTCTCCCATCTTAAAAATGATCCGAGTAGTCCTTTTCCATCTTGTCCCTGCCCCCTATCCCGCACATCTCTTTTTGTGGTGCGACAGCAAGTTTACCGTCTCCAGGACTTGGCTCTGCTCTCACTCCTTAAACCCTTAAAAGAAAAAGCTAAGTTTAAGCTATTTGCGTTTAAGTCACAAAGACACCAAAAGTATTTAAAGTGCAGATCTAGAAGAAGAAGAAGAACGCCTAGATCAAACTGACCCAGAAGATCTCAGGCTGGCTCTAGTCCTCCTCCCTCAATCTTAAAGCTACAGCAATGTAGCAGGTAGTATTAGCTGTTGTAAGTTTTTCTGCTCTTTCTAGTCATATTGATTCTGTTCTTTCACTACTCCAGTCCCCCAAGAAATAAGTTTCTCTGTCCATGCTAAGTTCAATATCTATGCTCAAATCTTATTAAATTGCCTTCAAAACAAACAAACAAAAAAAAAAACACTTCCTCCCAGCCTTGTAAAATTAAAGCCCTCTCCAATGTATGCTGCAGAATTTTCCTCTCAGTTTCTCAGAGGATTATAAAGTCCGCCTTAAAAAAGGCAAGCTCCAGACACTCTGCAAAATAAAATGGCCAAAGTTTAAAGTCAAGTGGCCCCCTGAAGGGTCATTGAACCTCACAATTGTTCAAGCTGTGTGGCAGGTTGTTACTGAAACTCCTAGCCACCCTGATCAGTTTCCCTACATTGATCAATAGCTAAGTTTAGCAGGATCCCCCCTCCATGGCTCCGCTCATGTGCCATTCATAATTCTACCTCCAAGGTCCTCCTAAGCCAGACCGCGTTTTCACCTCGACCCTCAGCCGGTTCAGCTCCCCCTGTACTGCCTCCCTCTGAAGAAGAGGAGAGTCTCCCTCACCCAGTCTCACCGCCTTACAACCAACCTTCTCCCTTGAAGTTATCCCATGTCTCCTCGACGACGTCCTCTGTAGGCTCGCCACCCATTGCCTCTCAATCATGACTGTGGCAGTAAGAAGTAGCCCCTCTACTACCACTGAGAGAGGCACAAGTCCCTCCAGGTGATGAGGGCTCAGCACCCTTCTTAGTTTGTGTTCCTTTTTCTACTTCTGACTTATATAATTCGAAAACCCATAATCCTCCCTTCTCTGAAAAGCCCCAGGCTTTGACCTCTCTGACAGAGTCTGTACTCCGGACTCACTCACCCACCTAAGATGATTGCCAACAGCTCCTTTTAACCCTTTTCACCTCTGAAAAGAAAGAACGTATCCAAAAGAAGCCAAAAAGTACTTCCTCACATCAGCCAACGGACCGGAAGAAGGAGCTAGAGACCTCCTTGAGGTGGTCTTTGCCTCTACCTGGCCTAACCGGGACCCAAATTCCTCAAGTAGAAAGGGAGCTTTAGACGATTTTCACCGGTATCTCCTCGCAAGTATTAAAAGAGCCGCTCAGAAACCCATAAACTTGTCTAAGACGACCGAAGTTGTCCAAAGGCCCGATAAGTCACCAAGAACGTTTTTAGAGCGCCTCCAGGAGGCTTATCGGACTTACACCCCTTTTGACCCGGCAGCTCCCGAAAATAGCCGTGCTCTTCATTTAGCATTTGTGGCTCAGGCAGCCCCGGATATTAAAAAGAAACTCCAAAAACTAAAAAGATTTGCTAGAATAAATATCAGTCAGCTTTTAGAAATAGCCCAAAAAGTTTTTGACAATCAAAAGTTTAAAAAACAAAAACAAGCAACACAGGCAGCTGAAAAGGCCGCTGATAAAGCATTCAAAAGACAAACAAAAATCTTAGTGGTGGCTATCCAAGAAGTACAGAATGAAATAGCCCGTTAATTTAGCATTAACTGAAGCCCCTGCTTTAGCCCTCCCTAATATCTCCATAAAAGCCAAGAAGTTGCTAAAGACGTGTTTACTCAGACTCTAAGACCCTAAAGACGCCCAGTGGCCTATTTATCTAAGAGGCTAGATCCTGTGGCCTCTAGATGGCCAAGTTGTCTGTGAGCCGTAGTGGCTATAGCAAGCCTGGCCCAAGGAGATGATAAGTTAACTCTAAGCCAAAATTTAACCCTTACAGCTCCTCATGCAGTAAAGACCTTACTATGAAGTGCTTCTGGCAAATAGATGTCAAATGCTCGCATCTTGCAGTATCGAAGTTTACTGGTAGATCAGCCTCGTTTGACTTTCTCTCCCACAAAGTGTTTCAATCCAGCTACACTACTTCCTGACTCAGACTCCACTATTCCTGCTCATGACTGTCAAGAACTGTTAGAAACTATCGAATCTGGCCTATCTGATCTTCAAGCTGTGCCCCTAGAAAAGGCAGATGCCGCCGTGTTCACAGACAGTAGCATCTTCCTCAAGCAGAAAGTATGAAAAGTCAGTGCAGCTGTTACCACGGAGACAGATGTGTTGTAAGCTCAAGCTTTACCAGCGAACAACTCAGCACAAAAGGCTGAATTGATGGCCCTCACTCAGGCTCTCCGATAAAGTAAGAATAAACGTATTAACATTTACACTGACAGCAAGTACGCCTTAGCTACTGTGCATGTACATAAAGCCATCTACCAGGAAAGCAGGCTACTCACCTCAGCAGGTAGCTGTGATCCACTGCAAAGGACATCAAAAAGAAAACACGGCCGTTGCCCATAGTAACCAGAAACCTGATTCAGCAGCTCAGATCGCAGCAAGACTTTCAGTCACGCCTCTAAACTTGCTGTCCACAGTCTCCTTTCCACAGCCAGATCTGCCTGACAATCCTGTATACTCAACAACAACAACAAAAAAAACTGGCTTCGGATCTCAGAGCCAATAAAAATCAGGAAAGTTAGTAGATTCTTCCTGACTTTAGAATCTTCATACCGTGAACTCTTAAAGAAACTTTAATCAGTTACCTACAGTCTACCACCCATTTAAGAAGAGCAAATCTACCTTAGCTTCTCCAGAGCCATTTTAAGATCCCCCGTCTTCAAAGCCTAACAGATTAAGCAGCTCTCCAGTTCACAACCTGCGCCCAAGTAAATGCCAAAGAAAGTCCTAAACCCAGCCGAGGCCACTGTCTCTGAAAAAACTCGCCAAGAAAAAACTAAGAAATTGACTTTACAGAAGTCAAACCACACCAGGCTAAGTACAAATACCTTCTAGTACTAGTAGACACCTTCTCCAGATAGACTAAGGCATTTGCTACCGAAAACGAAACCACCAACACAGTAGTTAAGTTTTTACTCAATGAAATCATCGTTCAGTATAGGCTGCCTGTTGCCATAAACTCTGATAATAGAGCAGCCTTCACCTCGCCTATAGCTCAGTCAGTCAGTAAGGCCTTAAACATTCAATCATGGTGCCTATCAACCCCAGAGCTCCAGGCAAGTAGAACGCATGAACCACACCCTAAAAAACACTCTTACAAAATTAATCTAAAAAAACAGTGTAAATTAAGTAAGTCTCCTTCCTTTAGCCCTACTTAAAGTAAGGTGCACCCCTTACCAGGCTAGTTTCTCACCTTTTGAAATCATGTATAAGAAGGCACCCCCTATCTTGCCTAAGCTAAGAGAAGCCAAATTAGCAGAAATATCACAAAATAATTTATTACAGTACCTATATTCTCTCCAACAGGTACAAGATATTATCCTGCCACTTGTTCGAGGAGCCCATCCCAATCCAATTCCTGACCAAAGTCCTGCCATTCGTTACAGCCATGAGACCTAGTGTTTGTTAAAAATTTCCAGAAAGAAAGACTCACTCCTGCTTAGAAAAGACCTCACACCGTCATCCTCACGACTCCAACTGCTCTGAAAGTAGACGGCATTCCTGCCTAGATTCATCACTCCCGCATCAAAAAGGCCAACAGAGCCCAGCTAAAAACATAAGTCCCCAGGCCTAAGTCAGGCCCCTTAAAACTGCACCTAAATCAGGTGAAGCCATTAGATTCATTCTTTTTACTACCTAACTTACTTGTTTTTGCCCGTTACATCCTCTGTGCCTTCCTACTCCTTTCTCCTCACCTCTTTCACAACAGGACGTGCATTTGCAAACACCATTTAGAAGGCCAGTACCTCCAAGGAAGTCTCCTTTGCAGTTGACTTATTTGTACTTTTCCCAAAGCCAGCCCATACCCACGAAAAGCAACACAATCTGCCAGTTCCAGGAGCAGGAAGTGTCGACCTTTTAGCAAGATTCAGACACTCCAAGAGCCAAACTAAGTGTAGAAGCTCCAAAAGTGCAGAAAAAAGACTCCAAAATATTGACTTTTACCTCTGTCCGAGAAATCACCCTGATGCTAGCTGTCAAGATACTTATCAGTTTTCCTGTCCTGATTAGACATGTGTAACTTTAGCCACCTACTCTAAAAGATCAACCAGATCTTCAACTCTTTCCATAAGTCCTGCTTCTCATCCTAAATTATGTACTAGAAAAAATTGTAATCCTCTTACTATAACTGTCCATGACCTTAATTCAACTCAATAGTATCATGGCCTGTCATGAAGATTGAGATTTTATATCCCAGGATTTAATGTTAAGTCTATGTTCACCGTCCAAAAAAACCCTAGTCTCATAAAGCCCACCCAAGTCAGTCAGGCCTTTAACTGATCTAAGTAACCCTATGTTCCAGAAACACCCTGACAAAGTTGATTTAACTGTTCCTTCACCATTCTTAGTCATGAAAGATATACTCCAGAAAGTGCAAGAAAATCTAGATAAGCGCCAACAAAAACAAGAAAATAACATCCCCTAGTATCAAAACATGTTCAACTAGAACCCAGAGCTAACTATTCTAATTACTACGTTAGCCAGACCCCCTCCCCATCCTACTATTAAGTCTAATTTTTGGACCTTGTATATTTAATTAGTTTCTTAATTTTGTAAAACAACGCATAGCTTCTGTCAAACTTATGTATCTTAAGACTCAATATAACCCCCTTGTTATAACTGAAGAATCAACGATTTGATTCCCCAAAAACACAAGTGAGGAATGTAATGCCCAACCTTGTTTTTACTAACCCTGTCCTTAGACTCTCCCTTTCTTTTAATCACCTAGCCTTGTTTCCACCTGAATTGACTCTCCCTTAGCTAAGAGAGCCAGACAGACTCAATCTTGGCTCTTTCACTGGCAGCCCCTTCCTCAAGGACTTAACTTGTGCAAGCTGACTCCCAGCACATCGAAGAATGCAATTAACTGATAAAATACTGTGGTGAGCAATATCCGCAGTTCCCAGGAATTCGTCCAATTGATAACGCCCAAAGCCCCGCGTCTGTCACCTCATAATAGTCTAAAAGCCCCTAGACCTAGAACTGTTTACTTTCCTGTAACAATTTATCCTTTTAACTTTTTTGCCTACTTCTGTAAAATTGTTTTAACTAGATACCCCTCCCCTTTCTAAACCAAAGTATAAAAGAAAATCTAGCCCCTTCTTCGAGGCCGAGAGAACTTTAAACGTTAGCCATTTCTTAGCCGCCGGCTAAATGAACAGACTCTTAATTAGTCTCAAAGTGTGGCATTTTCTCTAACTCGTTCAAGTACAACACATCCAGCAGGCACGTAATCCACTCTAAAATGCCATCCTGGGGTAGTGAAGATGATGTTGCTGGAAATATCCTGAAATGGCATGCGGATGAGTTCCCCCAGAGGCATACATGTTGAGCTAAGTACTTTGCTGATGAAGGGTACAAGTTGAAGGGGTTTTGAAAGGCAGAGTGAGGTTCCTCAGAAGGCTGTTGCTACATAAAGACAGGAGGAGAAATTACATGGCCAGATAGAGTGGCATGACCACTGGATAAGGGCTTTTTGTTTGTTTGTTTTTGAGATGGAGTTTTACTCTTGTTGCCCAGGCTGGAGTGCAATGGCACGATCTCAGCTCACCACAACCTGCGCCTCCCAGGTTCAAGCGCTTCTCCTGCCTCAGCCTCCCTAGTAGCTGGGATTACAGGCATGTGCCACCACTCCCGGATAATTGTGTCTTTTTTGTAGAGATGGGGTTTCTCCATGTTGGTCAGGCTGGTCTTGAACTCCCGACCTCAGGTGATCCGCCCGCCTTGGCCTCCCAAAGTGCTGGGATTACAGGCATGAGTCACCGTGCCCAGCATGGATGAGGGTCTTTAGCAAAGATGGAAGTTTTGGTACCTTGCAGTTTAATCTCTTCATTTATGTCCTCCTGAAATCTTCAGGAATAGCACTATTTTGTCAATACTTCTGGGGTCGTACTTAGGGGGACTTAAAGGAGATGTGATGTGGCAGCCTTTGACTTAAAGGAGTATCATACTAGCTCAAAGAGATCTGGGTATATGCCAGCTGAACCAACTCTTATGAGGATGTGATAGATCCTGGGAGGCCATTCTGATCCTGCCAACCTTGAGGCCAGATGAGTCTTTGAAAAACATGGTTTGGCTTAACACCAGCACTTAGTCTAACAGTCACCATGAATCTTGCTGAACTGAAGCTATATAAATACCTTTTCAAAAGATTTTTTTTTCATTCCAGATCCTTCTTAGAAATTCCTAAGGCTCAATGTTGTGTGGAAGATTCTGAGAAAGAAAATAGTTTCCGATCTTTGGGATTCCCCTGAGATGGTCCAATCTGCAAAAAGTTCATTGCCATTTCCATCAAGGACACTGAGAACAAGAGTCTTATCCGGATTGGATCCTGGGAATTGAGAAGCTTCAGCAGGTGGGAAATGCACCCTCCACAGGCTCACACCCTTGTGGGCTGTTTCAGTTACCTATTGCACCTAAAATTAGAAACTTTAAACCACCTCAAGTCATTATTGCTCATGACCCTGTGAGTTGCATGGGGACTTCCTGGCTGGTTTAACCTTGGCTCATTTGTGTGGCTACCTGCAGCTGGAGGGCCAGCTGGGTGGAACATCCAGGATGACCTCATGCATGTGCCTGGCAGTTGGTGCTGGTTGTCAGCTGGGGAAACTTGTTTTCCTCCATGTGGCCCCTCGCCCTGTAGAACCACTCTCCAAATGGCCCTTTAAGCAGGATAGCCAAGGTTTGCTTGGTGCCAGCATCGAAGAGGGCAAAAATATAGAAACTACGAGAGGGCTCTCAAGGCCTAAGACTATATGCACTCGAAAAATCTGAGGTCTCAGTTAATTGAGAAAGTTTATTTTGCCAAGGTTGAGGACGCACACCTGTGACACAGCCTCAGGAGGTCCTGACAACATGTGCTTAAGGTGGTGGGGACACAGCTTGCTTTCATACCTTTTAGAGAGACATGAGACATCAATCAATATGTGTAAGATGTACATTGGTTCAGTCTGGAAAGGCGGGACAACTCCAGGTGAAGGTGATGGTGAGACAAGGGGAAGGGGCTTCCAGGTCATAGGTAGTTAAGAGACAAATCATTGCATTCTTTTGAGTTCCTGATTAGCCTCTTCAAATGAGGCAATCAGATATACATTTATCTCAGCGAGCAAAGGTGTGACTGAATAGAATGGGAGGCAGGTTTCCCCTAAGCAGTTCCCAGCTTGACTTTTCTCTTTAGCTTAGTAACTTTTTTTTGGGAGGGGGGACAGAGTCTCACTCTGTTGCCCAGGCTGGAGTGCAGTGGTACGATCTCGGCTTACTGCCACCTCCAACTCCAGGGTTCAAGCAATTTCCCTGCCTCAGCATCCCAAGTAGCTGGGATTACAGGCGCCTGCCACCACGCCTGGCTAATTTTCATATATTTTAGTAGAGACGGGGTTTTGTCATGTTGGCCAGGCTGGTCTTGAACTCCTGACCTCAGGTGATCTGCCCGCCTCAGCTTCCCAAAGTGCTGGAAACTCCTGACCTCAGGTGATCCGCCTGCCTCAGCTTCCCAAAGTGCTGGGATTACAGGTGTGAGCCACCATGCCCATCCTGTTGTAGCTATTTTAATAGTGCTGGTGAACAATAATTTGCTCTCCCTATAAAAACAGGACATACTAAGCCAAGGAAAGCACCAATCTAGTTTGTTCTCCCCAGATCTTCAAAATGTTGGAATTAGTTTAAGAGTCCAAAATATTTCATGTGGCGAATTAGTATAAGAATCCAAAATAGTTCATGTAGTTTGATTTTTTTTTCTTTGGAGATGCAGTCTCGTTCCATCGTCCAGGTTGGAATGCAGTGGCACGATCTCGGCTCACTGCAACCTCCGCCTCCCGGGTTCAAGCAATTCTCCTGCCTCAGCCTCCCGAGTAGCTGGGATTACAGACATGTACCACCACGCCCGGCTAATTTTTGCATTTTTAGTAGAGATGAGGTTTCTCCATGGGCCAGGCTGGTCTTGAACTCCTGACCTCAAATATCTACCCGTCTTGGCGTCCCAAAGTGCTGGGATTACAGTTGTAAGCCACCATGCCTGGTCAGTTTGATTTTTTATTGTGGTAAAGTACATAAAAAATCTATTATTTTAGCCATTTTCGAAGGAAAAATTCAGTGGTGTTAAGTGCGTCCACCACATTGTACAACCATGTCCCCCATCCATCCCCAGAACGCTTTCATCCTGTCCTGCAAATATGCAGCACCTTGCTTCACTCCAGGTTGTTTGTCCCACAACAGAGCTGGGCTGAATTATTAATGTGGACTTTGTTCAACAACGGACTAAAGAGGGCGAAGCCCATGAACTGTGTGAGGAGTGCATGACAGGTGCTCGTGGGATGACATGGCTCGGCGCCCTCCAGCTGCTGCTGCCGCCGCCGGTCGTGCTGGGCGGCCACCTCGTCCCAGGGAAGAAGAACACTCACAGCTGCTGCTGATCTCCTTCCAGCGCTTCCGCTGGAACTAGGATCAGGATGTGGACACCCCCAACCTGGACCATCTGGCTGGGGAGGGCGTCAAGGCCAAGTACCTCATGCCACCCCTTGTCACAATGACCTCCCCGTCCCACTTCACTGCCATCACAGGTAAGGGCCACTCTGCCCATCAAAGCCCCAGTGTCGGTCATTCCCTGCGATAAGAAGCAAAAGCTCGGTCAGCTCTAGGGAGGCTGAGGAGGCTCCGGGGTCTCACTCTGTTGCCCAGGCTGTAGCTCAGTGGCATAATCACAGCTCAGTGGAGCCTCACACTCCTGGTCTCAAGCAGGGCTCCCTAGCTCAGGCTCCCCAGTAGCTGGGGATACAGACAAGCCACCGTGTCTAATTTTCTCATTTTCTTAGAAATTGGGGCAGGTGGTGTCTCACTATGTTGCCTAGGCTGGTTTTGAACTCCTGGTCTCAAGTGAACATCCCAACTCAGTTTCCCAAAGTGCTGAGATTGGAGACATGAGCTACCGTGCCTGGCCTTATCTTTTTTAAAAAAGTAAATAGGGCCAGGCATGGTGACTCACCCTTGTAATCCCGGCACTTTGGGAGGCTGAGGCGGGTAGACCACCTGAGGTCAGGAGTTCAAGACCAGCCTGGCCAACATGGTGAAACGTCGTCTATCCTAAAAATACAAAAATAAGCTGGGCGTGGTGGCAGAGGCCTATAACCACAGCTACTCGGGAGTCTGATGCAGGAGAATCGCTTGAACCTGTGGGGTTGAAGTTGAAGTGAGCCAAGATCATGCCATTGCACTCCAGTTTGGGCAACAGAGCAAGACTTTATCTCAAAAAAAATAAAAGTAATAAAAATAAAAAGGTAAATAACTAAAATCACTTTTAAATAATTGTATAAAAATAATAAAACATTGACATTTACAGAGCTCAGTTAGATGAGGTGACTCATACCCTCCAATGGTGTCCTGGTTCTCTTACATGAGAATTCAAATGTCTTTCTGTGGCTCAAAAGATCCCACACAGCCTGGCCCCTGGCCCATGTTCTGCCAGCCTCTCTCATCTCTCTCTCCTTCACTTCCTTCCGGATCACAAAGGCCTTTTGCCTGTGCCTTCTGCCCTGCTCCCTCCAGCCCCAGAGCCTTGGCCTGTGTTAATCCAGTCCCTTCAGCTCACCAGGAGCATGCAGTCCATTCGGGGAGACAGACACCAGACACCCAAACAGACACATACATCTCATGACAACTCGGGAGGCATCAAGGAGGAAAACGAGTTTTCCAGGTGCAGACTACAGGGGTAATCTGGCTTCAAACTAGAGAGGGAGAAAGGGGGTCTCTGAGCATGGGGCAGCTGAGCTGAAAGAGTTCTCAGGGGACCAGAGCAAGGAAATGTGTTCCAGACAGAGGGAAGAGCATGTGTCAGGTCTCTGAGACAAAGACCTGGTCATTTCAGAATCCCAGTGGCCACTAAAATAGAGGGATTCCAACCTAAAAAGGAGGAAAAGGAGGCTGCTGAAAAGCAAAGGACTCTGTGTAAGAATCATAATAGTGGGGGTGGAGCCAAGATGGCAGAATAGGAACAGCTCCAGTCTACAGTTCCCAGCGTGAGCAATGCAGAAGACAGGTGATTTCTGCATTTCCAACTGAGGTACTGGGTTCATCTCACTGGGGAGTGTCAGAAAGTGGGTGCAGGAAACTTGGTGCAGCTAGTGAGCATGAGCCCAAGCAGGGCGAGGCATTGCCTCACCCGGGAAGTGCAAGGGGTCAGAGAATTCCCTTTCCAGGTCAAAGAAATGGGTGACAGATGGCACCTGGAAAATTGGGTCACTCCCACCCTAATACTGCACTTTTCCAACGGCCTTAGCAAATGGCACACCAGGAGATTATATCCCATGCATGGCTCAGAGGGTCCTACACCCATGGAGCCTCACTCATTGTTAGCACAGTAGTCTGAGATCAAACTGCAAGGTGGCAGCAAGTCTGGGGGAGGGGCACCTGCCATTTCCTAGGCTTCAGTAGGTAAACAAAGCAGCTGGGAAGCTCCAACTGGGTGGAGCCCAACACAGCTCAAGGAGGCCTGCCTGCGTCTGTAGACTCCACCTCTAGGGACAGGGCATTGGCAAACAAAAAGCAGCAGAATCCTCTGCAGACTTAAATATCCTTGTCTGACAGCTTTGAAGAGAGTAGTGGTTCTCCCAGCACGCAGCTGGAGATCTGAGAATGGACAGACTGCCTCCTCAAGTGGGTCCCTGACCCCCGAGTAGCCTAACTGGGAGGCACCCCCCAGTAGGGGCAGACTGACACCTCATATGGCCGGGTACTCCTCTGAGACAAAACTTCCAGAGGAACAGTCAGGCAGCAACATTTGCTGCTCAACAATATCCGCTGTTCTGCAGCCTCCACTGCTGATACCCAGGCAAACTCCAACAGACATGCAGCTGAGGGTCCTGACTCTCAGAAGGAAAACTAACAAACAGAAAGGACTTCCACAATAAAACCCCATCTGTACGTCACCATCATCAAAGACCAAAGGTAGATAAAACCACAAAGATGGGGAAAAAACAGAGCAGAAAAACTGGAAACTCTAAAAATCTGAGTACCTTTCCTCCTCCAAAGGAATGCAGCTCCTCACCAGCAATGGAACAAAGCTGGACAGAGAGTGACTTTGACGAGTTGAGAGAAGAAGGCTTCAGATGATCAAATTACTCTGAGCTAAAGGAGGAAGTTTGAACCCATGGCAAAGAAGTTAAAAACCTTGAAAAAAATTAGACGAATGGCTAACTAGAATAACCAATGCAGAGAAGTCCTTAAAGGACCTGATGGAGCTGAAAACCAAGACACAAGAACTACGTGACAAATGCACAAGGCTCAGTAGCTGATTTGATCAACTGGAAGAAAGGGTATCAGTGATGGAAGATGAAATGAATGAAATGAAGTGAGAAGTTTAGAGAGAAAAGAATAAAAAGAAATGAACAAAGTCTCCAAGAAATATGGGACTATGTGAAAAGACCAAATCTACGTCTGATTGATGTACCTTAAAGTGACAGTGAGAATGGAACCAAGTTGGAAAACACTGCAGGATATTAGGCAGGAGAACTTCCCCAATCTACCAAGGCAGGCCAACATTCAACTTAAGGAAATACAGAGAACACCACAAAGATACTCCTCAAGAAGAGCAACTCCAAGACACATAATTGTCAGATTCACCAAAGTTAAAATGAAGGAAAAAATGTTAAGGGCAGCCAGAGAGAAAGGTCGGGTTACCTACAAAGGGAAGCCCATCAAACTAACAGCTGATCTCTTGGCAGAAATTCTACAAGCCAGAAGAGATTGGGGGCCAATATTCAACACTCTTAAAGAAAAGAATTTTCAACCCAGAATCTCATATCCAGCCAAAATAAGCTTCATAAGTGAAGGAGAAATAAAATACTTTACAGACAAGCAAATGCTGAGAGATTTTGTCACCACCAGGCCTGCCCTGCAAGAGCTCCTGAAGGAAGCACTAAACATGGAAAGGGACAACAGGTACCAGCCACTGCAAAAACATGCCAAATTGTAAAGACCATCGAGGCTAGGAAGAAACTGCAACTAATGAGCCAAATAACCAGATAACATCATAATGACAGGATCATATTCACACATAACAATATTAACCTTAAATGTCAATGGGTAAATTCTCTGATTAAAAGACAGACTGGCAAATTGGATAAAGAGTCAAGACCCATCAGTATGCTGTATTCAGAAAACCCATCTCATGTGCAGAGACACACATAGGCTCAAAATAAAGGGATGGAGGAAGACCTACCAAGCAAATGGAAAACAAAAAAAAGGCAGGTGTTGCAATCCTAGTCTCTGATAAAACAGACTTTAAACCAACAAAGATCAAAAGAGACAAAGAAGGCCATTACATAATCGTAAAGGGATCAATTCAACAAGAAGAGCTAACTATCCTAAATATATATGCACCCAACACAGGAGCACCCAGATTTATAAAGCAAGTCTTTAGAGACCTACAAAGAGACTTAGACTCCCACAAAATAATAATGGGAGATTTTAACACCCCACTGTCAACATTAGACAGATCAAGGAGACAGAAAGTTAACAAGGATATTTAGGAATTGAACTCAGCTCTTCACCAAGCGGACCTAATAGACATCTACAGAACTCTCCACCCCAAATCAACAGAATATACATTCTTCTCAGCACCACAACACACTTATTCCAAAATTGACCACATATTTGGAAGTGAAGCACTCCTCAGCAATTGTAAAACAACAGAAATTATAACAAACTGTCTCTCAGACAACAGTGCAATCAAACTAGAATTCAGGATTAAGAAACTCACTCAAAACTGCTCAACTACACGAAAACTGAACAACCTGCTCCTGAATGACTACTGGGTGCATAACTAAATGAAGGCAGAAATAAAGATGTTCTTTGAAACCAACGAGAACAAAGACACAACGTACCAGAATCTCTCAGACACATTCAAAGCAGTGTGTAGAGGGAAATTTATAGCACTAAATGCCCACAAAAGAAAGCAGGAAAGATCTAAAATTGACACCCTAACATCACAATTAAAAGAACTACAGAAGCAAAGAGCAAACACATTGAAAAGCCAGCAGAAGGCAAGAAATAACTAAGATCAGAGCAGAACTGAAGGAAATAGAGACACCAAAAACCCTTAAAAAAATCCATGAATCCAGGAGCTGTTTTTTTGAAAAGATCAAAAAAACTGATAGACCACTAGCAAGACTAATAAAGAAGAAAAGAGAGAAGAATCAAATAGACACAATAAAAATTGATAAAGGGGATATCACCACCAATCCCACAAAAATACAAAGTACCATCAGAGAATACTGTAAACACCTCTTCACAAATAAACTAGAAAATCTAGAAGAAATGGATAAATTCCTCGACACATATACCCTCCCAAAACTAAACCAGGAAGAAGCTGAATCTCTGAATAGACCAATAATAGGCTCTGAAATTGAGGCAATAATTAATAGCTTACCAACCAAAAAAAAGTCCAGGACCAGACGGATTCACAGCCGAATTCTACCAGAGGTCCAAGGAGGAGCTGGTACCATTCCTTCTGAAACTATTTCAATGAATAGAAAAAGAGGGAATCCTCCCTAACTCATTTTATGAGGCCAGCATCATCCTGATACCAAAGCCTGGCAGGGACAAAACATAAAACGAGAATTTTAGACCAATATCCCTGATGAATATCAATAGAAAAATCCTCTATAAAATACTGGCAAAACGAATCCAGCAACACATCAAAAAGCTTATCCACCATGATCAAGTGGGCTTCCTCCCTGGGATGCAAGATTGGTTCAACATATGCAAATCAGTAAACATAACCCAGCATATAAACAGAACTAATGACAAAAACCATATGATTATCTCATTAGATGCAGAAAAGTCCTGTGACAAAATTCAACAACCTTCATGCTAAAAATTTTCAATAAATTAAGTATTGATGGGACATATCTCAAAATAATAAGAGCTATCTATGACAAACCGACAGCCAATATCATACTGAATGGGCAAAAACTGGAAGCATTCCCTTTGAAAACTGGCACAAGATAGGGATGCCCTCTCTCACCACTCCTATTCAACATAGTGTTGGAAGTTCTGGCCAGGGCAATCAGGCAGGAGAAGGAAATAAAGGGTATTCAATTAAGAAAAGAGGAAGTCAGATTGTCCCTGTTTGCAGACGACATGATTGTATATCTAGAAAACCCCATTGTCTCAGCCCAAAATCTCCTTAAGCTAAGTAACCTCAGCAAAGTCTCAGGATGCAAAATCAATGTACAAAAATCACAAGCATTCTTATACACCAATAACAGACAAACAGAACCAAATCATGAGTGAACTCACATTCGCAATAGCTTCAAAGAGAATAAAATACTTAGGAATCCAATTTACAAGGGACGTGAAGGACCTCTTCAAGGAGAACTACAAACCACTGCTCAATGAAATAAAAGAGGATACAAACAAATGGAAGAACATTCCATGCTCATGGATAGGAAGAATCAATATCATGAAAATGGCCATACTGCCCAAGGTAATTTATAGATTCAATGCCATCCCCATCAAACTACCAATGACTTTCTTCACAGAATTGGAAAAAACTACTTTAAAGTTCATATGGAACCAAAAAAGAGCCTGCATCACCAAGTCAATCCTAAGCCAAAAGAACAAAGCTGGAGGCATCACGCTACCTGACTTCCAACTATATTACAAGGCTACAGTAACCAAAACAGCATGGTACTTGTACCAAAACAGAGATATAGACCAATGGAACAGAACAGAGCCCTCAGAAATAATGCCACATATCTACAACCATGTGATCTTTGACAAACCTGACAAAAACAAGCAATGGGGAAAGGATTCCCTATTTAATAAATGGTGCTGGGAAAACTGGCTAGCCATATGTAGAAAGCTGAAACTGGATCCCTTCCTTACAACTTACACAAAAATTAATTCAAGATGGATTAAAGACTTAAATGTTAGACCTAAAACCATAAAAACCCTAGAAGAAAACCTCAGCAATACCATTCAGGACATACGCCTGGGCAAGGACTTCATGTCTAAAACACCAAAAGCAATGGCAACAAAAGCCAAAATTAACAAATGGAATCTAATTAAACTAAAGAGGTTCTGCACAGCAAAAGAAACTACCATCAGAGTGAAAAGGTAACCTACAGAATGGGAGAAAATTTTTGCAATCTACTCATCTGAGGCTAATATCAAGAATCTACAATGAACTCCAACAAATTTACAAGAAAAAAACAAACAACCCATCAAAAAGTGGATGAAGGATATGAAAAGACACTTCTCAAAAGAAGACATTTATGCAGCCAAAAGACACGTGAAAAAAATGCTCATCATCACTGGCCAGAGAAATGCAACTCAAAACAACAATGAGATACCATCTCACACCAGTTAGAATGGCAATCATTAACAAGTCAGGAAACAACAGGTGCTGGAGAGTATGTGGGGAAATAGGACCACTTTTACACTGTTGGTGGGACTGTAAACTAGTTCAACCATTGTGGAATTCAGTGTGGCAATTCCTCAGGGATCTAGAACTAGAAATACCATTTGACACAGCCATCCCATTTCTAGGTATATACCCAAAGGATTATAAATCATGCTGCTATAAAGATACATGCCCACGTATGCTTATAGCAGCACTACTCACAATAGCAAAGACTTGGAACCAAGCCAAATGTCCAACAACAATAGACTGCGTCAGGAAACTGTGGCACATATACACCATGGAATACTATGCAGCCATAAAAAATGATGAGTTCATGTCCTTTGTAGGGACATGGATGAAGCTGGAAACCATCATTCTCAGCAAACTATTGCAGGGACAAAAAACAAAACACTGCACGTTCTCACTCATAGGTGGGAATTAAACAATGAGAACACATGGACACAGGAAGGGGAATATCACACACCGGGGCCTGTTGTGGGGTCGGGGGAGTGGGGAAGGATAGCATTAAGAGATATACCTAATGTTAAATGACGAGTTAATAGGTACAGCACACCAACATGACACATGTATACATATGTAACAAACCTGCACTTTGTACACATGTACCCTAAAAGTTAAAGTATAATAAAAAATAAAAAATAAAAACTTTTGCTGTTGACTCCAAATATCCTGCTTCATCATCTCTCCACTCCAGAAACTTTTCACATACTAACAAAGGGTGTTCGTTTCTCCTCTAAGTATTTGCCCCCCAGCCCCACCTGCAAGAAGGTGGAAGTAGGGCCTCTGCCTGGGATGGTAACTCTCAAATGTAAGGCAATACCTGTCTCTCCTCCAATATCCCAAGGACTGAAGGGCTGTGAAAGTCTGCACATTGATCAAACTTCCCACTCCCTTATCTGAAGGGACTTACTTCCTTCAAGACACTTTTCCTCTTCCCACCTAACTCCATGCCCCCATCCAGTCATCTTCCAACCCATCTCTCCCCACCTGCATGCCACACAAGAGGGGCGTGACCACAGAACCTGGAAGTTCCTTAAAATTGAATAGTATGTCAGGCCGGGTGCGGTGGCTCATGTCAGTAACCCCAGCACTTTGGGAGGCTGAGGAAGGCAGGTAACTTGAGGTCAGCAGTTCGAGACCAGCCTGGCGAAAATGGTGAAACTCCATCTCTACTAAAAATACAAAAATTAGCTGGGTGTGTTTGTGCATGCCTGTAGTCCCAGCTACTTGGGTGGCTGAGGCAAGGGAATCACTTGGACCTGGGAGGCGGAGGTTACAGTGAGCCAAGATTGCGCCATTGCTCTCCAGCCTGGGCGATAGAGTGAGACTCTGTCTCAAAAAAAAAAAAAAAAAAAAAAGAATTCGAGTGGTGTGATTAGCTTATGATTTTTTAAACATGGAATGATGTATTTATTTTCTAAGCTGCATAACAAATCAACAAATTTAGCAGCTTAAAACACCCATCTATTACCTCTCCTTTCCTGTGGGTCAGGAGTCTGGGGGTGCAGCTTTAGCTGGGTGCTCTGCTCAGGTCCTTACAAGGTTGTGATCAAAGTGTTGGCTGGAATTAGTGTCTCATATGAGGTTTGGGGTCTTCTCCCAACCTCACATGGTTGTTGGCAGAATTTATTTCCATGCAACTGTGGAACTCATGTGGCTGGCTTCTTCAAAACCAGCCAAGCATGGTGGCTCACGCCTGTAATCCCAGCACTTTCGGAGGCCGAGGCAGGTGGATCACCTGAGGTCAGGAGTTCGAGACCAGCCTGGCCAATATGGTGAAAACCCGTCTCTACTAAAAATACAAAACTTAGCCGGGCATGATGGTGCACGCCTGTAATCCCAGCTACTTGGGAAGCTGAGGCAGGAGAATCACTTGAACCCGGGAGGCAGAGGTTGCAGTAAGCCAAGATTTTGCCACTGCACTCCAGCCTGGGCAACAGAGTGAGACTCCATGTCAAAAACAAACAAAAACCAAAAACCAGGAGGAAGGAGTCTCTCTCCTCCAGACCCTCATTGAAGATCTCACCTATAGATGTCAGGCCCACCCTGAATAATCTCCCTTTTGATTAACTCAGAGTGAACGGATTAGGGGCTTAGTTACATCTGCAAAATCCCTTCAACTTTTCCATAGGTATAGATTAGAAACCAGCCGCGGGTCCTGCCTACACTCCAGGGGAGAGGAGATTACACCTGGCATTTACCCAGGGCAAGAACCTAAGGGGTCATCTCAGAATTCTGCCTTCCAAATAGATCCTCGGTGGAGCTCACATGCCTGGGCGAGCACCAGCCTTTGTTTAAAGGCAACAGAGAATGATGCCCTGGCTCAGATCTCCAGCAAGCCCCCAGAATGATAGTCCAGTCTCTGAACCCAGGGCCAAGGCAGCAGGAGCTTTGGGTGCACATGGGGGCTTCCCCCACTTTGAAGTGAGTCATCACATCCGTATTAGACCCTAGCTGTTGCTTAGGCAAAAATGATGATTTAGAAGAAGATGGAGAGAAGAGGAGAGTTAATTTAAAAGTACTTATATTCGGCTGGGCGTGGTGGCTCATGCCTGTAATCCCAGCACTTTGGGAGGCTGAGGCAGGCGGATCACGAGGTCAGGAGATGGAGACCATCCTGGCTAACAGGGTAAAATCTAGTCTCTATTAAAAATACAAAAAATTAGCTGGACATGGTGGCGGGTGCCTGTGGTCCAAGCTGCTCGGGAGGCTGAGGCAGGAGAATGGCGTGAACCCAGGAGGTGGAGATTGCAGTGAGCCGAGATCCTGCCACTGCACTCCAGCCTGGGCAACAGATCGAGACTCCGTCTCAAAAAAAGAAAAAAAAAAAAAGTACTTATATTCATTCCCTAGGGCTGCCACAACCAAGTACCAAAAGCAGGGTGACTTGAAACCAGAGAAATTGATTGTCTTGTGGCTCTGGTGGCCAGCAGTCTGAAATGGAAGTGCCAGCAGGGCCACGTTCCCTCCTGCACTTGTCGGGGGGTCCTGCCTTGCCTCTTCCTAGCTTCCTGTGGTTTCCTGGCAGTCTTCAGTGTTCCTTGGTTTGCATACGCATCAGTCCAATCTTCCGTCCAATCCATGGCCTTCTTCCCTGTGTCTCTGTGACTCGGCGTGTCCTCTCCTCTTTTATAAGGACACCAGTCATTGACTTAGGGCCCTCCCTACTCCAGGATGACTTCATCCTAATCAATAGCATCTGCAATAACCCTATTTCTTTCTTTCTTTTTTTTGAGACGGAGTTTCACTCTTGTTGCCCAGGATGGAGTGCAATAGCGCGATCTCAGCTCCATGCAACCTCCGCCTCCTGTGTTCAAGCGATTCTCCTGCCTCAGCCTACCGAGTAGTTGGGATTACAGGTATGGGCCACCACACCCAGCTAATTTTGAATTTTTAGTAGAGATGGGGTTTCTCCATGTTGGTCAGGCTGGTCTCAAACTCCTGACCTCAGGTGATCCGCCCGCCTCGACCTCCCAAAGTGCTCGGATTACAGGCATAAGCCACCACGCCCGGTCCGCAATAACTCTATTTCTAAATAAGGTCACGTTCTGAGCTGCTAGAATTTAGGATTTCAACATGTTTTGAGGAGGACTCAATTTAACCCGTAAGAATACTATGTGGGCCACACATGCTGCTTCACATCTGTTATCCCAGCACTTTGGGAGGTTGAAGCAGGAGGATCATTGCTCAGGGCGTAGGGGACACCAGGTGCATAAAACCACAGCGTTGACTGGCGTGGGGGCTTACACCTGTAAGTTTGGGAAGCTAAGGCAGGACGATCACTTGAGCCCAGGAGTTTGAGGCCAGCCTGGGTGACATAGTGAGATCTCATTTCTAAAAAAAAAAAAAAAAAAAAAAATTTAATTAGCTGGGCATGGTGGTAGCCGCCTACAGTCCCAGCTACTCAAGAGGCTGAAGCAGGAGGGTCGCTTGAGTCCAGAAGATCAAGGCTGTGGCGAGCTGTGATTGCACCCCTGCACTCCAGCCTGAGCAATAGAGCAAGCCCTGTCTCAAAAAAAAAAAAAAAAAAAAAAAAGAAGGCATCTCCCTTGTCTTCGGATTCCCTGAGCTGTCATAGAAAGGAAGTGAAGCAGTGAAAGCATCCCCTCGAAAGGGAGCTTTCAAAACCAGCTTAAGCAACATAGCAAGACCTTGCCTTTAGAAAGTATTTAAATTTGAAGGAAAATAAAAAAAAGCAGTACTATGGCACAGAGTTGACAGCTACAAGTGTGGCTACATCCAGGTCCTAAAACTATATCATCAGAATGACCCCTCACCCTCCCCCCCCATTCCATTTTACTTTCTTAAGCATGAACATGAAATTTCCAAGATTGTCTCTCCTTTGGCTAATCTGCTTCTCAGAACCAATCACTGTGGCCAGGGTGGTGGAAGGATACTGGCATCCAGGCTGGGACCACATGCCCCAGCTCCAGATCAGGGTGGGGAATGGCCAGTGGCACACATGCCATGGGGGACTAGTGACTCCTCAGTGGAAAATCGGGGACTGTCATTGGAGAGGAGCGATAGAAGAAAGGCTGACACAGTGCAATGTATCTCCTGCACCAGCCTGGGCCTCGATGTCTTGAGTACTGATGACACAGTACTCAGTCTAGGGCAATCCCAACTCCATCTGTGGGGCTGCCCACAGTACATGGACCCCTCACTGGATTTGCTGACCACACGTGCAAACAGCCACCTCCCAGCCCCACTCCCCGCAGTCTCCCTGAACCCTGTCAAAATTCCCCTCAGTTCTCACCAAGATTAAAAGCTATTCTGAGGGTGAGCGGCTCATTCTGCTAGTTTAACTCTTTCGATTCCTTCTCTCTCCAGAACTCTGTACTTACTGCTCCGTCACTGGTAATGACAATGAACATCTTCACAATCTCAGGTTTTATTGCAAAGTGATTGAGGACCAGTTAGAATAAGTTATGCCACAGAAACTAAAGAAATCCCGTCAAGCAAATGGTGTGTCATAGAAAGTCTTAGGGCAGCCGTGTATGTTTTCTCCCCCAATGAATCAATTGAAAATGAGAAGCTGTTACCGCCATGTTCTGGGCAGAAGCTATCAGAAGTATAAGCCATGATATTATAATTTGATGATTTTTCATCCGTCAAATGGATATGGCCCAGGGGTGAAAAGTGGATGCTCCGTAACTAGATGATGTTCAAGAGTTATAAAAATGAGGTCCTCTATGTTCAACATTTCTCCTTTCTTGAAAGGATACTCAATGTCATGCTCAGGGCCTCTAATGGTCAGAGATAAAATTCCTCCCAGTTCCAGAGCACCCCAGGGCAACCCCATAACCAGAGCAACTGCTTATTACCACGTAGACTATGTACTGTGCAATTCCTGGGGTGGCATTTTCATAAATATGTGGGTGTCGACCCCTGGAGTTGTGCAATGCACATCTTGCACAAATGGTAAGTCATCGTATCCCAAAGTCCACCAAGAAGAGGTAAACAAAATTCCCATCGATGTTGCCATCAGTCATGAGTCTGCCTTTTCTTCATGGGACAGTAGCAAAAACAATTTGGCCAAGTGTGCTTGGATAATCTCTAAGATGGAATCAGGGTCTCTCACTTTCAGCACTATTGACATTTGGGGCTGGATCATTATTCTGTCTTAGTGGGAGTTGTCCGGGGCATTGTAGGATGCTTAGCAGCATCCCTGGCCTCTACCCATTAGCTGCCAGTAGCACCACCTCCTCCAGCCGCAACAACCAAAACTGTCTCCAGACATGGCCACATGTTCTCTGGGGGGCAAAATCACCCCCTGGCTGAGAAGCCCTGAAATAAAGACATAATACACAGATCACATATATGTAAGAGAGCCTAAGGGCCACACAGGTGATGCTGTACCCATGACAAAGACAGAGTCTTCAAGAGGTTAGAGAAGTGGAGAAAGAGAAAGGAAATGAAGTCCCAGCTGCCGAGAGCAACAGATGCTGACTAGATGTTGTTGATAGTCATCTTTAAACTGAGTTAAAAGATGCTGAGAAGCCATCAGCTCCTATCCTGCTCTCCAGGGACAACGCTGCTGAAAAAGGCCTGGAGATCAACAAAGCCCCAAACACAGCTGCACTGAGCAAAGAAACCAGAGATTGAGACAAAATGACATTCCCTCAAAGACTACTCATTTCCAAGAGGGGAGAAAAAGTGGAGTCATGAAAAACAGTTGAGGCTGCATAGAGTGACTCACACCTGCAATCCCAGAACTTTGGGATTACTCCCAGGCTGAGACGGGAAAATTGCTTGAACTCAGGAGTTCAAGACCAGTCTGGGCAAAATAGCAAGACCTTGCCTCTAGAAAAAGGGAAAAAAAATAGCCAGGTGTGGCGATACACACCTGTGGTCTCAGCTACACGGGAGGCTGAGGTGGGAGGATCGCTTGAACCCGGGAGGTAGACGCTGCAGTGAGTCGGGATTGCACCACTGCACTCCAGCCTGGGCTACAGATCTTGTCTCAAAAAAGAAAAAAAATTAAACAAAATTAAGGCCGGGCACGATGGCTCATGCTGTAATCCTAGCACTTTGGGAGGCCAAGGTGGGCAGATCACGAGGTCAGGAGATTGAGACCACCCTGGCTAACACGGTGAAACCCCGTCTCTACTAAAAATACAAACAATTAGCCGGACATGGTGCTGGGCGCCTATAGTCCCAGCTACTCTGGAGGCTGAGGCAGAAGAATGGAGTGAACTCGAGAGGTGGAGCTTGCAGTGAGCCAATATCACCCCACTACACTGCAGCCTGGGCAAAAGAGCAAGACTCTATCTCAAAAAAAAAAAAAAGAAAATTAAAAATTTTTTTGAGAACAAGTCTCACTCTGTCACCCAGGCTGGAGTGAAATGGTGCGATCTCCGCTCACTGCAACCTCCGCCTCCTGGGTTCAAGTGATTCTCATATCTCAACCTCTTACCTCAACATGACTACAGGCATGTTGTCACCATGCCTAATTTTTGCATTTTTAGTAGATATGGGGTTTCACCATGTTGTCCAGGATGGTCTTGAACTCCTAGGTTCAAGCAGTCTACCCACCTCAGCCTCCCAAAATGCTGAGATTACAGGCATGAGCCACCGTGCCCGACCTCTAACTTTTCATTATGGAAATTTCCCATATGCACAAAAATCAGGGAGAGAATTGCACCATGAACCCCCATGCACCCATCATCCCACTGCAAGAACTTGTCAACATTTCACCAATCTCATTCCAGTTCCCACTTTTCTTTTCCTTCTTGCTATTTTAGGATATTTTAAAGCAAATTCCAGACATTTCATTTCACCCACATCCATAACACACCAGGGTGCATTCTTGATGTAAGGATTTTTTGTTTTATAACACCCATGACATTGGCACAGTTAATTGATTTAACATGAAGAAACTAAGATTCTTGAAGGTGGAGAAAAGATCTAATTACCACCTTAAAGCCTCTCCTACTAGCGCTTCTCAGAACTGAACGTGTATTCAAATCACCTGGGCATCTTGTTAAAATGCAGATTCTGGCCCAGCAGGTCCTCCCGGGTGAGCCCTGAGAGTCTTCAGTTCCAAAAGTTCCCAGGTAATGCAATGCTGCGGGTCCATGAATCACACAAGAGGAAGGGTCGGCCAAACACCCACAACAACTGGGTGCAAAGTCCTGACTGTTCCTGACTGCAGGGCCTTCAGTGAACGGGGAAGCTGGGGACCATTAGGGAAAGAAGGGAGGTTTTTCGTATCAGCTCCAGGCCCTGTAGAACTGCCAGGGAATAACAGACACAAGGGCAGCAAAATCTAACCAACAACATGAGTGCATTCATATTCCACAACCACTGCAACAAAGAACCATAAAATGGATGGCTTCAAACAATGTCTGGGCCAGGTGCCATGGCTCACACCTAAATAATCTCAGCACTTTGGAAGGCTGAGGTGGGTGGATCACTTGAGGCCAGGAATTCGAGACCAGCCTGGCCAATATGCCAAAACCTCGTCTCTACTAAAAATACAAAAATTAGCCATGCATGGTGGCAGGCACCTGTAGTCCCCGCTTCTTGGGAGGCTGAGGCAAGAGAATGGCTTGAGCCTGGGAAGTGGAGGTTGCAGTGAACTGAGATCATGCCACTGCACTCCAGACTGGACAACAGAGCAAGCCTCTGTCTAAAAAAAAAAAAAAAAAATTGTCTGGAAGCCAGAAGTCCAAAATCAATCAAATGTCAGCAGGAGCATGCTCCTTCAGAGGTTCTAGAGGTGAATCCATTCCTTGCCTCTTCCAGCTTGTAGAGGCTACTAGAATTCCTCAACTTGTGGCTGCATGATCCAATCTTTGCCTCTGTGATCACCTTGCCTCCTCCTCTTCTGTCTGGGTCTCCTCCTCTGGAGGGAGAGTGTCAGGCCTCTGAGCCCAAGCTAAGCCATCATATCCCCTGTGACCTGCATGTACATATCCAGATGGCCAGTTCCTGCCTTAACTGATGACATTATCCTGTGAAATTCCTTCTCCTTGCTCATCCTGGCTCAAAAGCTCCCCTACTGAGCACCTTGTGACCCCCACTCCTGCCTGCCAGAGAACAACCCCCCTTTTTCCTTTACCTACACAAACCCTGTAAAATGGCCCCAACCCTATCTCCCTTCACTGACTCTCTTTTTGGACTCAGCCCACCTGTACCCAAGTGAAATAAACAGCTTTATTGCTCACACAAAGCCTGTTTGGTGGTCTCTTCACACAGATGCATGTGAAATTTGGTGCTGTGACTCGGATTGGGGGACCTCCCTTGGGAGATCAATCCCCTGTCCTCTTGCTCTTTGCTCTGTGAGAAAGATCCACCTATGACCTCAGGTCCTCAGACTGACCAGCCCAAGAAACATCTCACCAATTTCAAATCTGGTAAGCGGCTTCTTTTCACTCTCTTCTCCAACCTCCCTCACTAACCCTCAACCTCTTTCTCCTTCCAATCTTGCTCCATACTTCAATCTCTCCCTTCTCTTAATTTCAATTCCTTTCATTTTCTGGTAGAGACAAAGGAGACACGTTTGATCCGTGGACCCAAAACTCCAGTGCTGGTCATGGACTAGGGAAGGCAGCCTTCCCTTGGTGTTTAATCATTGCAGGGACGCCTCTCTGATTATTCACCCAGGTTTCGGAGGTGTCAGACCACGCAGGGATGCCTGCCTTGGTCCTTCACCCTTAGCAGCAAGTCCCACTTTTCTGGGGGAGGGGCAGGAACCCCGACCTCTTATCTCTGCACCCCGATCCCTTATTTCCATGCCCAGACCTCTTATCTCTGTGCCCTGATCCCTTATTTCCATGCCCGCCCTTTTATTTCTGAGCCCCGATCCCTTATTTCCACAACCTGACCTCTTATCTCTGCACCCCAACCCTTTATTTCTGTGCCCCAACCCCTTTCCCTCTTTTCTGGAAGGCAAGAACCCCCCATCCCTTCTCTCCATGTCTCTACTCCCTCTTTTCTCTAGGCTTGCCTCCTTCACTATGGGCAAGCTTCCACCCTCCATTCTCCTTTCTTCTCCCTTAGCCTGTGTTCTTCAAAACCTAAAACCTCTTCAACTCACAACTGACCTAAAATCTAAATGCCTTATTTTCTTCTACAATGCCGCTTGACCCCAATACAAACTCAACAGTGGTTCCAAATAGCCAGAAAATGGCACTTTCAAATTTTCCATGCTACAATATCTAGATAATTCTTGTCATAAGATGGGCAAATGGTCTGAGATGCCTGATGTCCAGGCATTCTTTTACACATTGGTCCCTCCCTAGTCTCTGTTCCCAATGCAACTCGTCCCAAAACTTCCTTCTTTCCCTCCCACCTGTCCCTTCAGTCCCAACCCCAAGAGTGCTGAGTCTTTATAATCTTCCTTTTCTACAGACCCATCTGACCTCTCCCCTCCTTGCCAGGCTGAGCTAGGTCCCAATTCTTCCTCAGCCTCTGCTCCTCCACCCTATAATCCTTTTATCACCTCCCCTCCTCACACTGGGTCTGGCTTGCAGTTTAGTTCCGTGACTAACCCTCCCCAACCTGCCCAGCAATTTCCTCTTAAAAAGGTGGCTGGATCTAAAGGCATAGTCAAGGTAAATGCTCCTTTATCTTTATCTCAAATCAGATAGCATTTAGGCTCTTTTTCATCAAATATAAAAATCCACCCCAGTTCATGGCTCGTTTGGCAGCAACCCTGAGATGCCTTACAGCCCTAGACCCTAAAATGTCAAAAGGCCGTCTTATTCTCAATATACATTTTATTACCCAATCTGCTCCCGACATTAAATAAAACTCCAAAAATTAAATTCCAGCCCTCAAACCCCACAACAGGACTTAATTAACCTCACCTTCAAGGTGTACAATAATAGAGCAGAGGCAGCCAAGAAGCAACATATTTCTCAGTTGCAATTTCTTGCCTCCACTGTGAGACAAACCCCAGCCAAATCTCCAGCACACAAGAACTTCCAAACGGCTAAAGCGCAGTGGCCAGGCATTCCTCCAGAACCGCCTCCCCCAGGAGCTTGCTACAAGTGCCAGAAATCTGGCCACCAGGCCAAGGAATGCCTGCAGCCCGGGATTCCTCCTGAGCCATGTCCCATCTGTGCGGGACCCCACTAGAAATTGGACTGTTCAACTCACTTGGCAGCCACTCCCAGAGCCCCTGGAACTCCAGCCCAAGGCTCTCTGACTGACTCCTTCCCAGATCTTCTTGGCTTAGCAGCTGAAGACTGACAATGCCCGATCAATTGCCTCGGAAGCCTACAGGACCATCACAGACGCTCTACCTAACTCTCACAGTGGAGGGTAAGTGCATCCCCTTCTTAATCAATACGGAGGCTACCCACTCCACATTACCTTCTTTTCAAGGGCCGGTTTCCCTTGCCTCCATAACTGTTGTGGGTATTGACAGCCAGGCTTCTAAACCTCTTTAAACTTCCCAACTCTTGTGCCAACTTAGACAATACTCTTTTAAGCACTCCTTGTTAGTTATCCCCACCTGCCCAGTTCCCTTATTAGGCTGAGACCCTTTAACTAAATTATCTGCTTCCCTGACTATTCCTGGACTACAGCCACATCTCATTGCCACCCACCTTAACCCACAAGTAGAAGATACCTCTGCTCCCTCCTTGGCAACCTATCATGCACCCCTTACCATCTCATTAAAACCTAATCACCCTTACCCCGCTCAATGTCAATATCCCATCCCACAGCATGCTTTGAAAGGATTAAAGCCTGTTATCACTCGCCTGCTACATCATGGCCTTTTAAAGCCTATAAACTCTCCTTACAATTCCCCCATTTTACCTGTGCTAAAACCAGACAAGCCTTACAAGTTAGTTGAGGATCTATGCCTTATCAACAAAATTGTTTTGCCTATCCACCTCAAGGTGCCAAACACATATACTCTCCTATCCTCAATTCCTCCCTCCACAACCCATTATTCTGTTCTGGATCTCAAACATGCTGTCTTTACTATTCATTTGCACCCTTCATCCCAGCCACTCTTCGCTTTCAGTTGGACTGACCCTGACACATATCAGGCTCAGCAAATTACCTGGGCTGTACTGCTGCAAAGCTTCACAGACAGCCCCCATTACTTCAGTCAAGCCCAAATTTCTTCCTTATCTGTTACCTATCTCAGCATAATTCTCATAAAAACACACGTGATCTCCCTGCCGATCGTGTGTGACTCATCTCTCAAACCCCAACCCCTTCTACAAAACAACAACTCCTTTCGTTCCTGGGCATCGTTGGACACTTTCACCTTTAGATACCTGGTTTTGCCATCCTAACAAAACCATTATATAAACTCACAAAAGGAAACCTAGCTGACCCCATAGATCCTAAATCCTTTCCCCACTCCTCTTTCTGTTCCTTGAAGACAGCTTTAAAGACTGCCCCCACCCTAGTCTTGGTTCCCTGACCGGGAAGCGAGGTACTTGATGGACAGTTGAGGCAGCCCTTTAGGCGGCTTAGGACTGCCCTGTGGAGCATCCCTGCGGGCGACTCCTGCCAGCTTGAGCGACGCGGATCCTGAGAACTCTCCCGGGTAGGGAATTGACCCGGTGGAATGCCTCGTCAGAGCAGTGTGTGGTAGGCCCCCGTGGAGGATTGACACAGTGGGTCAACACCGGGAAGGAACAGGCACTTGGAGTCCGGACATTTGAAACTTGGTAAGACTGGTCTTTGGAACTTGCCCACTCTATCTGAGTGGAAGTGTGGCCTGATCACACACGGCGTGCCTGTACTGGCACTTTGGTTTTTGTTTTTGACTTGACTTGAATTGCTTGATAATTTGGTTTTGGTTTGACCTGGCTTGGATTTCTGGATACTCTGATTTTGGTTTTGATTCTGGTTTGGTGAAAACTGAAAAAGTGTGTGTGTGCCTTTTTTACCTATTCTTTGTTCTGTTGTGTGCGTGTGGTGTGAGCTTGGTGTTTTGTCTCGAGGAAACGTGGGTCAGACACAAAGTAAGCCTACTCTGCTAGGAACTATGTTGAAAAATTTTAAGAAAGGATTTAATGGAGACTCTGGGGTTACTATGACACCAGGGAAACTTAGAACTTTGTGTGAAATGGATTGGCCAACATTAGAAGTAGGATGGCCATCAGAAGGAAGCCTGGACAGGTCCCTTGTTTCTAAGGTATGGCACAAGGTAATTGGTAAGTCAGGACACTCAGACCAGTTTCCATACATAGACACTTGGTTACAGCTGATGCTAAACCCCCCACAGTGGCTAAGAGGGCAGGCAGCAGCAGTGCTAGTAGCAAAGGGAAAGATAGCCAAGGAAGGATCCCGCTCCACCCGCAGAGGGAAATCAACTCCTGAAGTTCTGTTCGACCCAACATCAGAAGATCCATTGCAGGAGATGGCACCAGTGATCCCAGTGGTGCCCTCCCCTTACCAGGGAGAGAGGCTCCCCACTTTTGAGTCCACAGTGCTTGCGCCTCCACAAGACAAACATATCCCTAGGCCACCCAGAGTATACAAGAGAGGAGGTGAGGACTCGGGAGAAACACCTCCCTTGGCAGCTCGTTTCGACCCAAAACGGGGATACAAATGCCCCTGTGAGAACAGCGGTATACTGGGATAGATGAGGATGGTCACGTGGTGGGGAGACATGTTTCTGTGTACCAGCCCTTCACCTCTGCCCACCTTCTCAACTGGAAAAATTATACCCCGTCCTATACCAAAAAGCCACAAGCTCTGATTGATTTGCTCCAAACTATTATGCAGACACATAACCCCACTTGGGCTGATTGCCACCAGTTGCTCATGTTCCTCTTTAACACAGATGAAAGGCGGAGACTGCTCCAAGCAGCAAAGAAGTGGCTAGAGGAACATGAGCCAGCTGATTACCAAAACCCCCAAGAGTATGTAAAGACCCAGTTACTGGGAACCAACCCCCAGTAGGACCCAAATGAAAGAGAGGATATGCAAAGGCTAAACCGATACAGGGAAGCTCTCTTGGAAGGATTAAAGAGGGGAACCCGGCAGGCCACAAACGTTAACTAGGTTTCTGAGGTCATTCAGAGAAAAGAAGAAAGTCCAGCACAATTCTAGGAGAGACTGTGTGAGGCCTATGGTATGTATACTCCCTTTGATCCCGATAGCCCTGAAAATCAATGCATTATTAACATGGCTTTAGTTAGTCAAAGCACAGAAGACATTAGAAAAAAGCTGCAGAAACAGGCTGGGTTTGCAGGGATGAACACATCACAGTTATTAGAAATAGCTAACCAGGTATTTGTAAACAGGGATGCAGTAAGCCGTAAGGAAAACTGCAGAGAGAAGAAACATCAGGCCCAGCGAAATGCCGACCTGTTAGCGGCAGCAATCAGAAGGGTCACCCAAAAGAGGCAAGGGAAGGGGGGCCCCGGGAAAGAAACTCAGCCTGGCTGTCAGAGCTTGCAGCGTAATCAGTGTGTTTATCGTAAATAAATAGGACATTGGAAGAACAAATGCCCTCAGCTAAAAAGAAAACAAGGTGACTTGGAGCAAGAGGCTCCAGACAAGGAGGAAGGGACCCTGCTCAACCTGGCAGAAGGGTTATTGAACTGAGGGGGACTGGGCTCAAGGACCCCCAAAGAGCCTATGGTCAGGATGACAGTTAGGGGTAAAGACATTGATTTTCTTGTAGATACCGGTGCTAAACATTCGGTAGTAACCGCGCCGGTAGCCCCCTTATACAAAAAGATTATTGACGTCATGGGAGCCACAGGGGTTTCAGCAAAGGAAGCTTTCTGCTTGCCCCGGACTTCTACTGTAGGAGGACGTAAAGTGATTCATCAGTTTTTGTCCACACCTGACTGTCCCTTGCCCTTATTGGGAAGGCACTTGCTTAGCAAACTGAGAGCCACTATCTCTTTTACAGAGCATGGCTCTTTGCTGCTAAAGTTACCCAGAACGGGAGTCATTATGACCCTTACCGTCCCCCCAGAGGAGGAATGGAGATTTTCCTTAACTGAGTCGGGCCAAGAGATAAGACCAGCTCTGGCTAAGCAGTGGCCAAGAGTGTGGGCGGAAGACAACCCTCCAGGGTTGGCAGTCAACCAAGACCCCGTACTTATAGAAGTTAAGCCTAGGGCCCAACCTTTTAGGCAAAAACAGAAGCCGGTCCTCAGAGAAGCTCTTGAAGGTATCCAGGTCCATCTCAAGCACCTAAGAACTTTTGGAATTAGAGTTCCTTGTCAGTCTCCATGGAACACTCCCCTCCTGCCTGTTCCCAAGCCTAGGACCAAGGACTACAGGCCTGTACAGGATTTGCGCTTGGTTAATCAGGCTACAGTGACTTTACATCCAGCAGTACCTAACCTGTACACATTGCTGGGGTTGCTGCCAGCTGAGGACAGCTGCTTCACCTGCTTGGACCTGAAAGATGCTTTCTTTAGATTCAGATTAGCCCCTGAGAGGCAGAAGCTGTTTGCCTTTCAGTGGGAAGATCCGGAGTCAGGTGTCACTACTCAGTACACTTGGACCCGGCTTCCCCAAGGGTTCAAGAACTCCCCCACCAGCTTCGTGGAGGCATTGCCTCGAGACCTCCAGAAATTTCCCACCAGAGACCTAGACTGCGTGTTGCTCCAGTAGGTTGATGACCTTTTGCTGGGACACCCCACGGGAGTCGGGTGCGCCAAGGGAAGAGATATTCTACTCCGGCACCTGGAGGACTGTGGGTATAAGGTGTCCAAGAAAAAAGCTCAGATCTGCTGACAGCAGGTACGTTACTTAGGATTTACTATCCGACGGAGGAAGCGCAGCCTAGGATCAGAAAGAAAGCAGGTCATTTGCAATCTACCGGAGCCTAAGACCAGAAGGCAGGTGAGAGAATTCTTATGGGCTGTGGGATTTTGCAGACTGTAGATCCCAAACTTTGCAGTATTAGCCAAGCCTTTGTGTGAGGTCACAAAGTTGGGGGACCGGGAAACTTTTGAATGGGGATCCCAGCAACAGCAAGCCTTTCATGAGTTAAAGGAAAGACTTATGTCAGCCCCAGCCCTGGGGCTACCCGATCTAACAAAGCCTTTTCCATTGTATGTGTCAGAGAGAGAAAAGATGGCAGTTGGAGTTTTAACCCAAACTGTGGGGCCCTGGCCAAGGCGGGTGGCCTACCTCTCTAAACAACTAGACGGGGTTTCTAAAGGATGGCCCCCGTGTTTGAGGGCCTTGGCAGCAACTGCCCTGCTAGTACAAGAAACAAATAAGCTGACTCTTGGACAAAACCTGAACATAAAAGCACCCCGTGCTGTGGTGACTTTAATGAATACTAAAGGACATCATTGACTAATGAATGCCAGACTCACCAACTACCAAACTTGGCTCTGTGAAAATCCTCGTATAACCATTGAAGTTTGTAACACCCTACGCCCCACCACCTTGCTCCCAGTATCAGAGAGCCCTGTTGAGCATGACTGTGTAGAAGTGTTGGACTCAGTTTACTCTAGCAGACCTGACCTCCAGGGCCAGCCTTAGGCATCAGTAGACTAGGAACTATACGTGGATGGGAGCAGCTTCATCAACCCACAGGGAGAGAGATGTGCAAGATATGAGGTGGTAACTCTGGACACGGTTGCTGAAGCCAGATCGTTTCCCCAGGGCACTTCAGCCCAGAAAGCTGAACTCATTGCTTTCATTCAGGCCTTAGAACTCAGTGAAACTAAGAATGTCAACATTTACACTGACTCTCAATATGCCTTTTTAACCCTTCTAGTGCATGGAACATTATATAAAGAAAAGGGCCTACTGAACCCTGGGGGAAAAGACATAAAATATCAACAAGAAATCTTGCGATTATTAAAAGCCGTATGGAGACCCCACAAGGTGGCAGTTATGCATTGCAGGGGACATCAGCAAGCTTCCACCTTGGTGGGTTTAGGGAATTCCTGCACTGACTTAGAGGCTCGAAAAGCAGCATCTGCCCCATTCCGGACATCAGTCACAGCCCCCCTGCTCCCTCAAGCACCTGATCTTGTACCTACTTATTCTAAAGAAGAAAAGGACTTTCTCCAGGCAGAAGGAGGACAAGTGATGGAGGAAGGATGAATTCGGTTACCGTATGGGAGAGTAGCTGTGCCACAGCTGCTAGGAGCTGCAGTTGTACTGGCTGTGCAGGAAACCACCCATCGAGGTCAGGAATCACTTGAAAAGTTGTTAGGCCGGTATTTCTACATCTCGCATTTGTCAGCTCTTGCCAAAACGATGACGCAGTGGTGTGTTACCTGCCGACAGCATAATGCGAGGCAGGGTCCAGCCGTTCCACCCGGCATACAAGCTTATGGAGCAGCCCCCTTTGAAGATCTCCAGGTGGACTTCACTGAGATGCCAAAGTGTAGAGGTAACAAGTATTTACTAGTTCTTGGGCGTACCTATTCTGCGTAGGTGGAGGCTTATCCAACACGAACTGAGAAAGCTCGTGAAGTAACTCGTGTGCTTCTTCGAGATCCTATTCCTAGATTTGGACTGCCCTTATGGATCGGCTCAGATAACGGGCCGGCGTTTGTGGCTGACTTAGTACAGAAGGTGGCAAAGATATTAGGGATCACATGGAAAGGACATGCTGCCTACTGGCCTCAGAGTTTCAGAAAGGTGGAGCGAATGAATCAAACTATCAAAAATAGTTTAGGGAAAGTATGTCAGGAAACAGGATTAAAATGGCTACAGGCTGTCCCTATGGTATTATTTAAAATTAGATGTACCCGTTCTAAAAGAACAGGATATTCCCCTTATGAAATATTATATCGTAGGCCCCCTCCTATATTGTGGGGACTTCCAGGCACTCCCTGAGAGTTAGGTGAAATTGAGTTACAGCGACAGCTACAGGCCTTAGGAAAAATTACACAAACAATCTCAGCCTGGGTAAATGAGAGATGCCCTGTTAGCTTATTCTCCCCAGTTCACCAATTCTCCCCAGATGATCAAGTGTGGATCAAGGACTGGAAAGTAGCCTCTTTGTGTCCACGGTGGAAAGGACCCCAGACTGTCGTCCTGAGCACTCCCACCGCTGTGAAGGTAGAAGGAATCCCAGCATGGATCCAACACAACCATATAAAACCTGCAGCGCCTGAAACCTGGGAGGCAAGACCAAGCCCAGACAACCCTTGCAGAGTGACCCTGAAGAAGACGAGACAAGCTCTGCTCCAGTCACATCCAGAAGCTGACTGGTCCACGCATGGCCAAAGCCTGAGGAAGCTCATCATGAGATTCATTTTTCTTAAATTTTGGACTTATACAGTAAGGGCTTCAACTGACCTTACTCAAACTGGGGACTGTTCCCAGTGTATTCATCAGGTCACCGAAGTAGGACAGCAAATTAAAACAATCTTTCTGTTCTATAGTTATTGTGAATGTATGGAAACATTAAAAGAAACTTGTTTGTATAATGCCACTCAGTACAAGGTATGTAGCCCAAGAAATGACCGACCTGATGTGTGTTATAACCCATCTGAGCCCCCTGTAACCACCGCTTTTGAAATAAGAATAAGAACTGGCCTTTTCCTAGGTGATACAAGTAAAATAATAAGTAGAACAGAAGAAAAAGAAATCCCCAAGCAAATAACTTTAAGATTTGATGTTTGTGCAGCCATTAATAGTAAAAAGCTAGAAATAGGATGTGGTTCTCTTAATTAAGGAAGGAGCTGAAGAGTAGAAAATAAATATGTTTGCCATGAATCAGGGGTTTGTGAAAATTGTGGCTATTGGACATGTGTTATTTAGGCTACTTAAAAAAAGAACAAAAGGACCCGGTTTATCTTCAGAAGGGGAAGCCAACCCCTCCTGTGCTGCCGGTCACTGTAACCCACTACAACTAATAATTACCAATCCCCTAGATCCCCGTTGGAAAAAGAGAGAATGTGTAACCCTGGGGATCAATAGGACAGGGTTAAACCCTCAAGTTGCCATTTTAATTAGAGGGGAGGTCCACAAGTGCTCTCCCAAACCAGTATTTCAAACCTTTTGTGAGGAGCTGAATGTGCTAGCACCAGAACTTCTGAAAAAGACAAAAAATTTGTTTCTCCAATTAGCAGAAAATGTAGCTCATTCCCTTAATGTTACTTCTTGTTATGTACGCGGAGGAACCACTATCGGAGACAGATAGCCTTGGGAAGCCCGAGAGTTGGTGCCTACTGATCCAGCTCCTGATATAATTCCAGTTCAGAAGGCCGAAGCTAGCAACTTCTAGGTCCTAAAACCTCAATTATTAGACAATACTGTATAGCTAGAGAAGGGAAAGACTTTATCATCCCTGTAGGAAAGCTTAATTGTATAGGACAGAAGTTGTATAACAGCACAACACAGACAATTACTTAGTAGGGCCTAAACCACACTGAAAAGAATCCATTTAGTAAATTTTCTAAATTAAAAACTGCTTCGGCTCATCCAGAATCTCATCAGGACTGGACGGTTCCCGCTGGACTATACTAGATATGTAGGCACCGAGCCTACTTTCGGTTACCTAATAAATGGGCAGGCAGTTGTGTTATTGGCACTATTAAGCCGTCCTTTTTCTTATTACCCATAAAAACAGGTAAGCTGCTAGGTTTCCCTGTCTATACCTCCCGAGAAAAGAAAGGCATAGCTATAGGAAACTGGAAAGATAATGAATGGCCCCCAGAAAGGATCATACAGTATTATGGGCCTGCCACATGGGCACAAGATGGCTCATGGGGATACTGAACCCCCATCTACATGCTCAATTGGATCATACGGTTGCAGGCCGTCTTAGAAATAATTACTAATGAAACTGGCAGAGCTTTGACGGTTTTAGCTTGGCAAGAAACCCAAATGAGGAATGCTATCTATCAGAATAGATTGGCCTTAGACTACTTGCTAGTAGCTGAAGGAGGAGTTTGTGGAAAATTTAACTTAACCAATTGCTGCCTACAAATAAATGATCAAGGACAGGTGGTTAAAAACATAGTCAGGGACATGACAAAGGTGGCACATGTGCCTTTACAGATTTGGCACGAGTTTAATCTGAGTCTTTATTTGGAAAATGGTTTCCAGCGGGAGGAGGATTTAAACCCCTCATTGTAGGTGTATTGCTAGTGATAGGAACTTGCTTGCTGCTCCCCTGTGTATTATCCTTGTTTTTTCAAATGATAAAAGGTTTTGTTGCTACTTTGATTCATCAGAAAACTTCAGCACAGGTGTATTATATAAATCACTACGGTTCTACCTCAGAGAGAGACTCAAAAAGTAAAGATGAGAGTGAGAACTCCCACTAAAAAGTGAAAATGCTCAAAGGGGGGAAATATGGTATGAGACCACCACTTCTCCTGTTGTCCTTCCCAGTTTCTCCCCAACCTCCCTTTTTCCCTAGTTTGTAAGACAGGAAAAAAGGGAGAAAGCAAAAAGTTGGAAAAAACAGAAGTAAAATAAATAGCTAGACGCCCTCGGCGCCACCACCTGGCCCTGGTGGTTAAAATAACAATAATATTAACCCCTGACCAAAACTACCTGTGTTATCTGTAAATCCCAGACATTGTATGAGAAAGCACTGTAAAAACTTTTTGTTCTGTTAGCTGATGTTTGTAGCCCCCAGTCACATTCCTCAGGCTTACTTGATCTATTATGACTTTTTCGGGTAGACCCCTTAGAATTGTAAGCCCTTAAAAGGGCTAGGAATTTCTTTTTCAGGGAGCTCGGCTCTTAAGACACGAGTCTGCCGACGCTCCCGGCCGAATAAAAAAACCTCTTCCTTCTTTAATCCGGTGTCTAAGGAGTTTTGTCTGCAACTCGTCCTGCTACACTAGCTCTCCGTGACTCATCCCAACCCTTTTCATTACACACAGCCGAAGTGCAGCGCTGTGCAGTTGAAATTCTTACACAAGGACCAGGATCGCATCCTGTAGCCTTTTTGTCCAAACAACTTGACCTTACTGTTTTAGGTTGGCCATTATGTCTCCGTGCAGCAGCTGCTGCCACCCTAATACTTTTAAAGGCCCTTAAAATCACAAGCTATGGTCAACTCACTCTCTACAGCTCTCATAACTTCCAAAATCTATTTTCTTCCTCACACCTGCCACATATACTTTCTGCTCCCTGGCTCCTTCAGCTGTACTCACTCTTTGTTGAGTCTCCCACAATTACCATTGTTCCTGGCCCGGACTTCAATCCGGCCACCCACATTATTCCTGATACCACACCTGACCCTCATGACTGCATCTCTCTGGTCCATCTGACATTCACCCCATTTCCCCACATTTCCTTCTTCTCTGTTTCTCACCCTGATCACACTTAGTTTATTGATGGCAGCTCCACCAGGCCTAATCGCCACACACCAACAAAAGCAGGCTATGCTATAGTACAAGCCACTAGCCCGCCTCTTAGAACCTCTCATTTCCTTTCCATCGTGGAAATCTATCCTCAAAGAAATAACTTCTCAGTGTTCCATCAGCTATTCTACTACTCCTCAGGGATTCTTCAGGCCCCCTCCCTTCCCTGCACATCAAGCTCAAGGATTTGCCCCCACCCAGGACTGGCAAATTAGCTTTACTCAACGTGCCCCGAGTCAGGAAACTAAAATACCTCTTGGTCTAGGTAGACACTTTCACTGGATAGGTAAGGGCCTTTCCCACAGGGTGTAAGAAGGCCACCAAGGTCATTTCTTCCCTTCTGTCAGACATAATTCCTCAGTTTAGCCTTCCCACCTCTATACAGTGTGATAGCAGACCGGCCTTTATTAATCAAGTCAGCCAAGCATTTTTTCAGGCTTCTAGTATTCAGTGAAACCTTTATATCCCTTACAGTCCTCAGTCCTCAGGAAAGTAGAACAGACTAATGGTCTTTTAAAAACACATCTTACCAAGCTCAGCCACCAACGTAAAAAGGACTGGACAATACTTTTACCACTTTCCCTTCTCAGAATTCAGGCCTGTCCTTGGAATGCTACAAGGTACAGCCCATTTGAGCTCCCATATAGACGCTCCTTTTTATTAGGCCCCAGTCTCATTCCAGACACCAGACCAACTTGGACTGTGCCCCAAAAAACTTGTCATCCCTACTGTCTTCTGTCTAGTCATACTCCTATTCACCGTTCTCAACTACTCATATATGTCCTGCTCTTGTTTACACTGGTGGTTTACACTGTTTCTCCAAGCCATCACAGGTGATATCTCCTGGTGCTATCCCCAAACCACCACTCTTAACTCTTAAATAAATAATCTTTGCTGGCAAGGCTATGCTGAACCTCCTTAGGCACTCTCTAATTAGATGTCCTAGGTCCTCCCAATTCTTCATCCTTTAATACCTGTTTTTCTCCTTCTCTTATTCCGTTTAGTTTTTCAGTTCATAGAAAACTGTATCCAGGCCATCACCAATAATTCTAAATGACAAATGTTTCTTCTAACAACCCTACAATATCACCCCTTACCACAAAATCTTCCTTCAGCTTAATCTCTCCCACTCTAGGTTCCCATGCCACCCCTAATCCCCCTCGAAGCAGCCCTGAGAAACATCGCCCGTTCTCTCTCCATACCACCCCCAAAAAATTTTCACCATCCCAATACTTTACCACTATTTCATTTTATTTTTCTTATTACTATAAGAAGACAGGAACGTCAGGCCTCTGAGCCCAAGATAAGCCATCATATCCCCTGTGACCTGCATGTACACATCCAGATGGCCGGTTCCTGACTTAACTGATGACATTCCACCACAAAATAAATGAAAATGGCCTGTTCCTGCCTTAACTGATGACATTATCTTGTGAAATTCCTTCTCCTTGCTCAGCCTGGCTCAAAAGCTCCCCTACTGAGCACCTTGTGACCCCGACTCCTGCCTGCCAGAGAACCCCCCTTTTTCCTTTACCTACCCAAATCCTGTAAAATGGCCCCACCCCTATCTCCCTTCGCTGACTCTCTTTTTGGACTCAGCCCACCTGCACCCAGGTGAAATAAACAGCTTTATTGCTCACAAAAATCCTGTTTTGTGGTCTCTTCACACGGACGTGCATGAAAAAGACTATCCTTTTTTTTTTTTTTTTTTTTTTGAGACGGAGTTTCACTCTTGTTGCAGAGGCTGGAGTTCAATGGCATGATCTCAGCTCACTGCCACCTCCTCCTCCTGGGTTCAAGCAACTCTCTTTCCTCAGCCTCCCCAGTAGCTGGGATTGCAGGCACGCGCCACCATGCCCGGCTAATTTTGTATTTTTAGTAGAGATGGGGTTTCTCTATGTTGGTCAGGCTGGTCTCAAACTCCTGACCTGAGGTGATCCACCCGCCTCGGTCTCCCAAAGTGCTGGGATTACAGGCATGAGCCACTGAGCCCGGACAAAAGTGTCCTCTTATAATGACACTTGTCATTAGATGTACAGCCTACCTAAATTACTCCAGGAGAATCTCATCTCAAGATCCTTAAGTTAATTACATCTGCAAACACCCTTTTTCCAAATAATGCCACCTCCACCGATTCTAGGCACAAGGATCTGGATATATCTTGTGCAAAGCCACCATTCAACTCACTACACTAGAAAGAGGAAAAACAACGAAGTAACAAAATGCGCAGAAGAAAGAACAGATGCAGATTGTGTGGCAGTGGCCATCAAGGCAGGCTGGGGTAAAACTGTGTTAACAGAACCCCCAGATGGAACTCAAGTGTGGCCGTCTACTCCCAGCTACTCACAGAGAACGTTTCTGTTTCTGACAGCAGAGTAAGAGAAGGGGTGGGAAGAGAGATAGCCCATTCTCTGTTGGCCTAATTCCTAAGGAATCGTGCCTCTGCCTTCGGGTCATTCTAAGTCTTGTTCAAGGATAAAATGATTTATTGATAGCCGTAATTAAAAAGCAATGCCAACAGAAGCAGCGTCAGCATTTTTCATTTGTACTTACACATGAGCAAGAGCAGTTTAGGGAAACGGGTGCCTTCAGTTTGTTTTCTCCATCTAGAAAAGGGCTGCCTTTGTGGAATGCTGGCCCTGGGGAGAAGCCTCATTTCTATAGCAGGAATTGATACAGTTTTAAATTCTGATTGGTACACGGAGCTACCTGTCCTCATTTCAAGCACTTCTGGTTTGTTCTGGGTTCAGTGGGTGAGCAATGAGTAGAACGCTGGGGAGGAGGATTTGGAGCGAGGGTGGTTTTGATCCACAGAGGGAGCTGTTTTTCCATCAATGTCTTGACTGTGATTCAGAATGGGCTTCTCCGCTCAAGATGGGAATACTGGGCTGATTTAAGGCAGGTGATTGACTTGATTTGGTGGCTACTTTTATACTAGCTGGTTAACGAGCTATTTTCTTCATTAGTTTCAGGCATGTGAGCTTAATGAAGCATTGGACCTCCCAAATTACAAGGAAAATACACATATAGCTTGTGTGGTAGGTTCAAAGGAGTTAGTGAACAAACACAGTAGGGCCACAAATTATTGTTAAAGACATGAATGCATGAAAGTGTATCTATGTCCAAATGGACTCTCTGCAACCATACTGTTCCACCTGAAAATTAGTAGATAGAAATTCAGCAAATGCTTGGACAGGGGATACTCTCAGAAGTATTCTGACTAAATAGCATGGTTTCATTTCATATCACTAAAGTAATTTCTTCTCAAATTGACTCTGGACTAAATCTTATGATACCTACTTGTTCTGATTGTACTTAGCCACCTGCAAATAAGGTGGGGGCAGTGATAAGAGGAGCTGTTGAATGAAATTAAACATTTGTTGGATGCCTACTGAGGATAAAGCCCTGTGCTTTGTGTCAGGGAGATTCCAGAATAAATGAGGTACAGACTACTCTCAGGAAGCTTTTGCAAACTAATGGAGAAAACACATCTGCAGGCAATGACTTATGGTATAAGAGGAAATGGGGCCAGGTAGGGTAATTCACACCTGTAATCCCAGCACTTTGGGAGGCCGAGGTAGGTGGATCACTTGAGGTCAGGAGTTCAAGACCAGCCTGGCCAACGTGGCAAAACCCTGTCTCTACCAAAAGTACAAAAAAAAAAAAAAAATGAGCCAGTCTTGATGGTGTGCACCTGCAATCCCAGCTACTTGGGAGGCTGAGGCACAAGAATCACTTAAACCTGAGAGGTGGAGACTGTAGTGAGCCGAGATCCCACCACTGCACTCCAGCCTAGAAGACAGAGCGAGACTCTGTCAAAAAAACAAAAAGGAAATAAGATTGGTGTTGAATGGGAAATCTAAGCAGGATGGAATGACAGGAGAGCGCCCACTTGCCCAGCTCCAATAACACTTTTGACAGCCATGACAATATTGCAGGGACACCCATTCCTTATGGTATCTGAAGTCCCATGAAGGCTTGAGTCTGGAGGCTAGTTCAGTCTTGACTTTAAGATAAGGGGATACAAGGAATGATTTTCATCTATCCCAAGCCAATAGTCCAGCCAAAAATCTAGGTCTGAGTTGAAGAGAAAAAGCAAGTCATCAACCATGTCAGCCATTTCATCATCATCATCATCATCATCATCATCATCATCATCATCAAAAACAAAAGACAGACCTGTAACCGTCTTGTGTGCCTGGCTCTCATCTTAGTTCAAAATATAGAAGTAAATTCTATGGCCAGCGAACAATGACCAAAATAGCTCTTATCACTCTCGTCTGCCACCATGTAAGACATCCCTTTTGCCTTCCACCATGATTTCGAGACTTCTTCAGCCACATGGAACTGTGAGCCCATTAAACCTCTTTTTCTTTATAAATTACCCAGTCTTGAGTAATAAAATAGTGGTTTGTCCACAACATCAATGAACGATGCTGTTACTTGTTCCAAGCACGTATCATTTAAGAGGTTTGGATAAACAACAACCTAAAATAAATAAGCACTAAACAAACTCAGGGCTACATAATCCCTGTGGTGAGGTAACTGACAATGGGTACAACTGGGACACTTTACTGTTAAATCACCTCTATCTACATGTGCCAAAGCAGTGAGATACTTGGTTTTAATCCTAAAAAATCATGGTGCACATTTACTCCTGCCTTCCAACTGGGCTTTAACGTCACCTCCTCAGAGAAGCCCGCTTTTCTGAGCTTCCACTCTGCTTTTTTTCAGCATTTAGTAGAGCATCAGTCACCATCCATATATGGGAACAATGATTGTAAGAAACAGAAACCCATTTGCATGAGCTTGAGGACAAGGAGCACACCTTATCTCTAACAGGAAAACTCATGGGCACAAGAAAAAAATGAGAGGCCATGAGAGAATAGAAACTGCAGTTACAGAAACCAAAATTCCTCTTTCTTGCTCTCAGAAGCCCATGGTCTCTTTTTTTTTTTTTTTTTTGAGATGCAGTCTCACTCTGTCGCCCAGGCTGGAGTGCAGTGGTGCGATCTCAGCTCACTGCAAGCTCCACCTCCTGGGGTTCACGCCATTCTCCCACCTCAGCCTCCCAATTAGCTGGGGCTACAGGCACCTGCCACCACACCCAGCTAATTTTTGTATTTTTAGTAGAGATGGAGTTTCACCATGTGAGCCAGGATGGTCTCGATCTCCTGACCTCGTGATCCGACCATCCTGGCCTCCCAAAGTGCTGGGATTACAGGCGTGAAACACCGCGCCTGGAAGCCCATGGTCTTTCTTATCAGCCCTGTGGAATTTCTTATCTCTTCTTCTCACTCACAACCAATTTTCCCTTTTTGCTGGTGGCCCATCTTGGCAGCCAGCAGAGCCCACCCCCAGCTGATCAGTCAGTTACTGGATATCTTGGAGAGGGAGGGAGGGAGGGAGGGAGGGAGGGAGCGAGAGGGAGACAGAGAGAGAGAGTGACAATTGGGCTTCTGGCCAACCAATTGAGTATAGGGAGGGGAAGTACCATGGTATAAATATAGCGCCAAGACCTGCTTTCCAGCATGGCCAGTGAGTAGGGAAATTGAGGGAAGGTACCTGCAAACACAGCAGACATCTCAGAACATGCTCTCTGTTCTTAGTTCTCTCTCCTGCCTTCTCCTAGATTGTAAATATCACAAGACAGTCTAGGATAGTACCTGGCTCAAAATATTTGAGAAAGAGAAAAAGGAAGGCATTGGATCAAACTGTGTACTTCATGGTTTCCTAAATTCACTCTGCAAGTTTTTGGGTTTTTTGTTTTCTGAGAGTCTCGCTCTGTTGCCCAGGCTGGAGTGCAATGGCATAATCTTGGCTCACTGCAACCTCCACCTCCCAGGTTCAAGCAAATCGCCTGCCTCAGCCTCCTGAGTAGCTGGGATTACAGGCACGCACAGCTACACCAGTTAATTTTTGTATTTTTAGTAGAGACGGGGTTTCACCATGTTGGCCAGGATGGTCTCGAATTCTTGACCTCGTGATCCACCCACCTCGGCTTCCCAAAGTGCTGGGATTACAGGTGTGAGCCAACACACCTGGCCGACTCTGCAAGTATGTAAGTGAATGAATGTCAGTCCCTGAGAATCAGAATTTCTTCTGATTTAATGGCATTAAATCTCCATTAGGTTTAATCCTGGTCAGCAGCTGTAGGGTGTCCTGGGTTTGGGATCAGTGGGATGAGGAAAAAGCAGGTTCTCCAAACCACCACACACGGAGGGGAGGTGTTAACTAGGCCAAAGATGATGGGTGGGGTACGTTCCTGGGTTTCAAACAGCTTATGCCAGGCCTAAAAACCGACGCTGAGGAAGAAACTGTATTAAGCAAATTGATGACATAATGGAGGGGGTCAAAAAGTTTAATATTGCTAAGAAGAATACAAATATTGATCATGCAACATGTTATTATCACACCATCTCCTGCTACACGCCAGGTTTCCTTTACCATGAGATACAAGAAATTTGTGGATCTGACCTAACCCTCCAAATTGTAAGGTCCCTGATCGTGGGCTCATGACATTCATGTTTTATAAATGTGGCATAAAGCCTCACGCTGACTGCCATGTGGCCCAATACCAGTTCGATGCTACATTCAAAGAACCATCATTCCAGCATGCAAGCATACTTAAAGGCAATTGAAATGTTTACCACCGTCCCTCAAGACAAACACCAAAGAAAAATTATTTTCAAAATGCATAGCAACACTTCTTAAAATCTTATTTTCCCATCTCTTTCTCTCTCTCTACCACATTCCCAGGAGTTTCCCAGGAGCAAAACTATCATAAAGACCCAGAAGCAAAATGATTAATGACTTCACTATATCTGATTCTGATTTAGTTGGTTTAGAGTGGTGTCCGGTCTTACGTATTTTTTAAAATCTTGCTGGGCACAGTGGCACACACCTGTAGTCTCATCTACTCAGGAGGCTGAGGCAGAAGAATCACTTGAGCCCGGGAGTTTGAGTCCAGCCTGGGCAACATAGCAAGACCCTGTCTCTGAAAAAAAAAAAATAAAAGCAAAAACAAATCTCTCTCAGCTGAAGTCAGGGTTGATAACTAGTTGATCAAAAAATTGTGGTAGCCATCCTTCACAATGGACCTTAATATTCCCACCTCCTGGTGTTATTCATTGTGGAATCTCTCTTAGCTAGTCCTCAATTGGTTCTGGTATCCAGGCCCCACCTTGAGAGGCTAGTCCCACCTCCTACCCCACACATGGTTTTACACTTACTTTCAAGACTGGTCTAAAAATGTAAAATGTATTTATTTTGACCTTGTTTCCAATGAAACAACTATTCTAAACATTCATTTAGGATGGTTAGGGAAATTTGAACACCGGCTAAATATTAGAAGATGTTTGCTTCAAAATAACCCAGATTGGTAATGAGATGATGGCGGCTGAGGCTGGTGATAGGCACAGAGGGCTTCATTATCAAATAGAAACAAGTGGAAAAAACAGAATTTTTCCATAATAAAAATGTAAGGTAAACACGAAAATGTACTGAGTGCATGAAAAGAATCTATGGTCTCACAGGCATTAGCTTATAATTTGAACATCAAAAATAAAAGTGACGGCCAGGTTCAGTGGCTGATGCCTGTAATCCCAGCACTTTGGGAGACCGAGGTGGGTGGATCACTTGAGCCCAGGAGTTTGAGACCAGCCTGAGCAACATAGTGAGACCCCCATCTCTAAAATAAATAAATATAAATAAAAGTGACTAGAATTGATTATAGAACATCAACTCGATTTGAGTCTATAAAGATTCCTGGTGGAGGGGGGCAATAGGGAGAAGGAGGAAGAGAATATATTTGTGACCTAGATTATTTTCCTTAGTTTTGAGAGAATCTTCGGGTCTCCTGGGTCTTCTAGCCCAGTATTTATGTTTACTTTTTATTGATTTATTTATTTTTTATTTTTTTAGATGGAGTCTCACTCTGCCACCAGACTGGAGTGCAGTGGTGCGATCTCGGGCCACTGCAACTTCCGCCTCTCAGGTTCAATCTATTCTCCTGTCTCAGCCACCCAAGTAGCTGGGACTACAGGTACCTGCCACTTCACACAGATAATTTTTTTTTTTTTTTTTTGAGACAGAGTCTGACTCTGTTGCCCAGTCTGGAGTACAGTGTTGCAATCTCGGCTCACTGCAAGCTCCACCTCCCAGGTTCATGCCATTCTCCTCCCTCAGCCTCCCGAGTAGTTGGGACTACAGGCACCTGCCACCACGCCCGGCTAATTTTTTTGTATTTTTAGTAGAGACAGGGTTTCGCCGTGTTAGCCAGGATGGTCTCGAACTCCTGACCTCATGATCTGCCCGCCTCAGCCTCCCAAAGTGCTGGGATTACAGGCATGAACCACTGTGCCCGGCCGCACCCAGCTAATTTTTGTATTTTTTGTAGAGATGGTGTTTCACCATGTTGATCCAGGCTGGTCTCAAACTCCTGACCTTAGGTGATCCGCCCGCCTTGACATCCCAAAATACAAGGATTACAGGCATGAGCCACCACACTCTGCCTATTTTCCTTAGTTTTCAGAGAACCTTTGTGTCCCCTGGGTGTTCTAGCCCAGTATATCTCAAACTTTGCTGCACTGAGGACCTTGTTGAAATGCAGGTTCTCATCTGCGAGGCTCAGTGGGCCAGCAAATCGGCATTGGTTTAGGAAGCTCACCCTGAGTATCAAGCTTCAGTGAGGACCAGGCAGGCCCCTGCCTGCCAACGCCCTCTCAGCTGGGCTTAACTCTGGCTCTCTCCTGCCAGGGTTCCTCCCCTCAAAATAGGAGCTATTTTCAAAAAATCTCTAGGAAAAAAGACCCTGTTTTAAAATTGGGGTGTTCAGGATTGGCCATCTGCTCACCATGGGGTTTTAAGACCTTTGCCCAGACCCCTGCAACCAACTTAGAACTGACATCTTTACTCTTGAAGGCCCCACTCCACACCATATTAAATTCATTAAAATCCACCCCCATTACAGGCATATCTCAGGCATTACACCCTCAGAACGGAGTTGCAGCTGACCACTTGACAGTGTTGTAAAGCATTAAACATGCATTCATTTCAGCCTTGCAGTTTGCACATTTAGCAGCCAATTGTCTTAGGTCTAAAGCATTCATGCCGAAGCATTTTTATGGGCCCCAGACACTATGCTTCCCAGCCTTAATGGCCTCTGCAATGCTGGTTCCTACTGCCCCACCCCTGGGTTCTGGCCGGCTAGCTCATGCCACCTCACTGCTCCCCCATTCAAGTGTGCCTTAAATGTGTGGTTTCCAAACTCATCTACACTTTAGGGTCACCTGGGATTTTTTTTTAAATCTTCCAAAACCCAGGCCACACCCAAGAACAATTAAACCTCAACCTCTGGAATGGGACATAGCATCCGTTTTTTGTTTTGTTTTTGAGACACGGCCTCGCTCTGTTACCCAGGCTGGAGTGCAGTGGCACAATCATAGCTCACTACAGCCTCCAACTCCTGGGCTCAAGAAACCCTCCCACTTCAACCTCCACGGTAGCTGGGATCACAGGTGGGCACCACCAGGCCTGGCTAATTTTTTTAATTTTTTATAGAGACAGTATCTCCCTATGTTCTCCAGGCTGGTCTCAAACTCCTGGGCTCAAGCGATACTCCCGCCTCAGCCTCCCAAACCGCTGGGATTATAGGCATGGGCCACCATGCCTGGACATCAGCATCTGTATTTTTTGAAG